>NC_000016.10:24244061-24547092 GCF_000001405.40 Homo sapiens
GATGGAATAGGAAAAATCCAAAGTACCTTCCTCTCCTAGCCATTTCTCCCACCTCATTGAACTCCAGCCTTCAGTCTAGATCATTGAGATGGGAGTCATCAGAGCGAGGACCACAGAACACACTTGGCCATCTCTTGGTAAATGCTAGGGAGTCATGTGGCAGCTCTTTGGCTCTGGATGTGGGAATATTTCATGCTTATTGTTTTCACCTTTGAGGATTTGGCCAACATTCCAAGCCACTAGGAAGAGCCCCAAACTACATTCTATTTCACTTGATTTTAGGAAGGTTTCCAAAATTTTAGGAAGGTTTTAAGCTTCTTAGTTGTCTATTTGAAGTATTTATATCATCTCTCAATAAAGACACCTTTTGAATCTCTAACTGCCTCTTGGGTCATTTTGTTTTCCTCTTGTGTAAGTCTCAGGGAAACTGATTAACCACGTAATAGCCGTTTGTTATTCTGAAGGTGGCAGATTAAAGCAAATCTCATTAAGAGCCAGCTTCTTTGGCATCATACTTCTATTTATAGCTGCAGCTGACATTTATTGAACACCTAATACGTGCCAGGCACTGTGTTAAGCACTTATGTGTATTATCATATGTAATCCTCATTACACAAGAAGGAGGTTTCATTGACCAAAGATATAGCTTCTATTACTATCCATATTTTATTTATGAGGAAAAAGTGACACTGAAAGATTACATTTCTCAAGGTCACACAACAGATGATGCAATTAGGACTCTAACCCAAGCTTCTCTAGCCCCACATCCCATTTTCTCTACCAATACTATCTGCCATGCTCTAAGTGCAGGGTCTGATGCTTCCATAGATTCAAGTTTTTCTCCTAAAACCTGTTCTGGATTAGAGATGAACAAAGGTTCTTTCTCCTGATTCTTCTGGCAAAGTTTGTCCAAGACACAATTTGGGGGATCTTTATCCTGAGTCTGGTTTCTAAAGTCAAGTCTTGGGGAAATGGCCAATTTCACAACCTCCCCACCTCATACCTCAATCTAGGTGGTGAGAAGAAGAGCAAAGCCCTAGGGAAGCTTGGAGCCAAAGAGATCTGCTATTTTCTTGCCATCTTCCGGGTCTCTGCTACAATTTCTTGTCCCATGGAGCACAGACAAGGCACTGATGTACCACTAAGAAACAAAACAAAACAAAACAAAACAAAAATTTGACCACATCATTCCCCGCTTAAAACCTCTCAATGTTCCCCATAGTTTTCAGGAAACAGTCATATTCCTTAACATCCAAGACATCAATACAATATCTCTTGCCTGAGTTAATGCCACTGCCTCCTAATTCATCTCCAAGCCTTTATTCTTGCCTGTGCCATCCACTCTGTGGCTAGAGTGAAATCTCTGAACTGTAAATCAGATCTTGTTAACTCCCTTGCTTAAAATTGTGCAATGGCTTCACCCTGCAAAAGAATTAACACCCAAACTTCATTTAACCTGGCCAACTAGGGCTATACAGTCTGGCCACAGTCCACTTCCCTAACCTGATTTTCTACCATTTTTCCTCTTGTTTACCATTTGTCTACCACTTGACCATTTCTGTTTTTCAACAAGCTGCATTCATGATCCTTCCACTGGGGATACCTTTTTCTAGATCCTCTTAGAACTGACTCCTCCTTCACTATTGACTTTTCTCAACTCAGAAACCACCTCCCCAGAATGCCCCACTGACCATGCTACCTAAAGCAGTCCTTCTACTGCCAAGATTGGTCATATTGTATCACATTGCTTACGTTTATTTTTTGCAGCATTTTTCACTACCTGCATTTTTTTGTTTGTTTTGTTGGTTGGTTTCATGTTTACTGGCTATCTCCCTCACCTAAAATATAAGCTCTTTCAAAGCAGGGAATCTATCTGTCTTGCTCATTGCTGTACCCTTAGAACCTACAGCAGTGCTTAGCAAATAAGTAGATCTTAATAGATACTTGTTGAGTGACCTAACATGGCTAAAAGTCCCTGAATAATTTGGAATCTGTTTATCTGTAGTGCACAGTGAATAGCTATTATTCTTTACTTCCTACCATTTATCCAACCTTCTTCTGGTAACAGCACCCTCGATTTTCTCTAAAACATCATCCTTTATGCTACTGTCCATCCACATGGATTAAAATAAGGCCAGTTTTCCTTCCTATATGCCCAGAGATTGGAAAGGAAGCCCAAACCTAGAAATCAGTGAATTCCATTTTGTGTCCATTATGATTGGTTCAGGTGGGTATGAACTAAATGAGTCAATGAGAAAGCAGCCCCAAGACATTTACTGTAACTGTTGGTGGAGAGATGTCCTCTTTCTCCTAGGATTGCTCAGCTGGTAAGATGCAAGCCAGGAGCTCTTGGTGCTTGAGAAGACAGCCTGCTAAGTGCAGAGGGGGGAGGTCTGAGATGGAGAGAGACGGACCCCAGAAGCTATAGATATCTACCTTTGGACTTTTAAGTTACATATATTAATTGATTACTTCTGTTTGTCTTATATACTTTAAGTTGGATTTCTGTTAACTGTAACTAGAAGCTTATGACCAATAGGCTACCTCTCTAATTTCATGTCTCCTTGCCTGAATAAATTAGGAATTGTGCTCACCTGCTAAACTTGAAAAGGGGTGAAATACGTGAAAGAGTCTGTTTTCATCATGTAATGAGAATTGTTGAGATAAAAGCTTTTGGCCTGTAGTAGTAGCGCCATAATGCTATCAAGGACTCTGGCTTCTTTCAGTATATCTCTGTTGCCAAGGCTGGAGTGCAATGATATGGGATTATAGCTGACTGCAGCCTCCATGTCCAGGGCTCCAGTGATCTTCCCACCTTGGCCTCCCAAGTAATCAGGATTACAGACATACTCCAGCATACCTGGCAAAAAAAAAAAAAAGAAAACTTTTAGAGATGAGAGGGGATATTGCTATGTTGCTCAGGATGTACTCCTGGGCTCAAGTGAGCCTCCCACCTCAGCCTCCTGAATAGTTGGCATTACAAGCATGAGCCACCACACCTGGATCAGGCTTCTTCTGTTTTATTTTCAGGTATCCTAAACATGTGCTTGTTACCTTATGCAACAACATGGCTGATCTGACTCCACCATTAAGTCCTAGTTCCGGGTAGGAAGAAAGCCAAGAGCAAAAGGTGTCACCTACGTGCTAGCAAAGTCTGTCCAAAAACCTGCTGGGAGGAGATTTTACAGAAAACCCACAGAACAAGTTTGGTTTTCCCTTTCTTAAATTTTGGTAAAATATATATAATATTTGCCATTGTAAATGTTTGTAAGCATACAATTCAGTGGCATTAATCACATTCACAAGGTTATGCAATCATCACCTCTATTTCTAAAATTGTTTCATATATCTAACAAAAATTCTGTAACTATTAAGCAATAACTCCTCATTCCTGTCTCCTCTCAGCCCCTGATAAACTCTAATCTACTGTCTGTCTCTGTGCACTTGCCTGTTTACGTACCTCATATAAATGGAATCATGCCATATTTGTCCTTTTGCATCGGGCTTATTTTGCTTAGCACAATGTCTTCAAGATTCATCCATGTTGTGACATGTATCTGAACTTCACTCTTTTTATGGCTGAATAATATTCCACTCTATGTATATACCACATTATGTTTATCCATTTGTCTGTTGACGAATACTTGGGTTGTTCTCACCTTTTAGCCATTATCTACACTGCAATTTTTGATTACATTGTATCAGTCAGAATTTTATGACAAAACCATCCTACTCTGTGAGGAAAACTGAACAATGTAACTTTATTTCAGCTAGAGAGAGTGTCCCCAGTCACAATTGGAGTCTTATGTAAGAAGAAATAAGGAAAGCCTACTGGGTAAGTAACTAGAAGATTCTGTAACAATCCACTTTTTTTTGCCAGCAAATATCATTATTTGAAAAATATATATTTAGAGGGTACAAATGCAGTTTTCTTTCATGCGTATATTGCATAGGGGTGAAGTAGTGTACCCATCACCCAAATAGTAGTGTACCCATCACCCAAATAGTAAATATTGTACCCAATAGGTAATTTTTTAGCCCTCACCCCCCTCCTACCCTCTTTTGGAGTCTCCAAAGTCTATTTTTTCTACTTTGTATGTCCATATGTACGCATTGTTTAACTCCTACTTGTAAGTGAGAACATGTAGCATTAGGCTTTCTGTTTCTGAGTTATTTTAGTGAGGGTAATGACCTCCAATTTTATCCATATTGCTGCAAAAGACATAATTTCATTCTTTTTTGTGGATGCATAGTATTCTATGGCATATATATATATATATATATATATATATATACACACACACACACACATATATATATCACGTTTTCCTTATCCAATCCTCCATTAATGGACACTTTGGTTTACTTCACATTTTTGTATTGTGAATAGTGCTGCAAAAAACACACAAGTGTGGGTATCTTTTTGATATAATTATTTATTTCCCTTTGAGTATATACCCAGTATACCCAGTAGTGGGATTGCTGATTGAACAGTAGAATAGTAGTCCTATTTTTAGCTCTTTAAGAAATCTTTTTTTCTTTTCTTTTTTTTTTTTTTTTTAAGACAGAGTCTTGCTCTGTCATCCAGGCTGGGGTGCAGTATCGCAATCTCAGCTCACTGCAGCCTCTCTGCCTTCTGAGTTCAAGTGATTCTCTTGCCTCAGCATCCCAAGAAGCCGGCACTACAAGCACATGCCACCACACCTGGATAATTTTTGTATTTTTAGTAGAGATGGGGCTTCACCATGTTGGCCAGGCTGGTCTCAAACTCCTGACCTCAAGTGATCCACATGCCTCGGCCTCCCAAAGTGCTGGGATTATAGGCGTGAGCCACTGCGCCCAGCCGAGATATTTTTATACTGTTTTCCATAGAGGCTGTACTAATTTACATTCCCACCAACAGTATGTAAGCATTTCCTTTCCTCTGCATCCTCACCAACATCTGTTATTTTTTGACTTTTTAATAATAGCCATTCTAACTGGAAAAAGATGATACCCCATTGTGGTTTTAATTTGCTTTTCTCTGATAATTAGTCAGAAAATGTCATTCTATACATAGAATACATTTATCTTTACCCAAAGGACATCACCCCCAAAGTCTCATCCACGTAAAAGGTAAGATTTCTGGGCAGCTTGCAGCCCTCTACAGCAGGTTTGGGTGTGTCCTCTCTTGGTCTAAACTAAAAGACAATTTACTTGCTTCCAGCACATCCATCATTTAATTGTGCAGAAGGAGCCACATAATAAAAAAAAAACTCCTTTTAAAAGCAGAGACTAAAGTACACACAGCAGTCACACATGTATAGAAGTGATCAACTGAGCAAGAATAATATTTGTCTTTCCTAAGAATGGAAGACTTTCCTGGCTGGCAAATCTGTTCCCTTTTCAGAGAGAAACTTCCTTATTCATTACTTTTCATCACCCTACTCTCTGCCCCCTGGAAGGTTCTTCTGTGTCCATCTCTCTCCCTAGATTCATCTGAGGTGGAATTGGAAAGGACAAGCTTCTTGTTGGGCTCAAGGATCTTTTAGGAGTTTAGCTGTTTAGGGATTTAATAGTCTCAGGTTGCTATGTATCAAGCTTGGGAACTGTTTGGGAATGTAGTTCCTTACTATTCCTCCTTGTTGTCTTAGGTAGCATTCCCTAGAAGCAGAGCCTAAGGCAGACATTTGGATGCAAAAGACTTATTGAGAAAGTAACCTTTAGGAAAAACCCCAAGGGAGTATGGGAACAAGCATAAGAAAAGGCAATGATTCTCCAGTTGTGGTTTCCTAAAGAGCAGTATTAATACCTCTTGAGAACTTGCTGAAAATGAACATCTTCAAGCACCACCCACCTTGGAAACTTTGAGGGTGGAGCCCAATAATGTCTCATTCAACAAGCCTTCTAAGCGACTCTAATGCACACTATGGTTTGGCAACCATAGAGGATGGAGATGAAGCCCAACGAGGATGTGGTAGTCTTGGCCTGATCATCGGAAGACTCTAGAGCATAAATTGTATCTCAGAGTTGTCCCTGCCTCTGGGAAGAGGCCAGACTTTTGCACCCTTGTATCTGACTGCAGGGAGAAGGGCTCTAATTCCTCGGGAGAGGCAGCTCCCATCAGCTGAGACCAATTATCCCTGGAAGGGGCAGCTGTGGGTTAGAAAGGTCAGGGCTAGAGGTGTATAAATGAATCAATTCAGTAAAGAGAATCTGAAGAGTGGTGTACCAACAACAACATCTTCTTCTTCTTCTTCTTCTTCTTCTTCTTCTTCTTCTTCTTCTTCTTCTTCTTCTTCTTCTTCTTCTTCCTCTTCTTCTCCTTCTTCTTCTTTTTCCTCCTCCTTCTCCTCCTCCTCCTCCTCCTCCTCTTCTTCTTTGAGACAGGGTCTCACTCTATTGCCCAGGCTGGAGTGCAGTGGCACCATCATGGCTCACTGCAGTCTTGAACTCCCAGGCTCAAAGGACTCTCCTGCCTCAGTCTCTTGAGCGGCTTGGATTACAGGTGTTCACTACCATGCCTGGCTAATTCTAATTTTATTTATTTATTTATTTATTTTTGGAGAGACAAGGTCTCACTATGTTGCCCAGGCTGGTCTCAAACTCCTGGCCTTAAGTGATTCTCCCACCTCAGCCTAGCAAAGTGCTGGGATTACAAGCACAAGCCACTGCATCTGGCCTGCAATTGCTCTTATTGGTCCAATTGTCTCTGTCCTCTTCATGAGACTAAGAGTTTCAAGTGATCAAGAGCAATCTCTTTCCTGCTTGTTATTTGCTCATCAGTGCCTGTCACAGGTGTAAATCTTAATAATTACTTATGCAGTTAGTTGATTAAACAAATACTATTTAAATGCCTACTATATCCTGAGCACTATTCTAGGGTCTGATAATTTAGATTTGAACAAGACAATGCACCTGTTCTCATGGAGTTATTTGGCTTTAGTTGGGAAGATGACAATAAGCACAAAAGCATATATGTACATATATACAGTATAATGTCAGATATTGATAAATGCTATGAAGAAAAAGCAGAGTGAGAGTATAGAGAGAAGTATGGGGTGTTATTTTTAGATAGAGCAGTTAAAGAATTCTCTAAGAAGGTGACATTTGAGCTGAGGTATGAATGAAGTGAGGGATTGAACCATGACAATATCTAGTGGCAGCAATTTGTGTGTAAATTCAAAATTATTTTAAAATAAATGTTTCTTACATATAAAGTATATTCAGGGAAGAGCATTCTCAGCACAGGAAATCAATGGGTGAGTCACAGGAAACACCTGGCATTTCTGTATCAATAAAATAGGAGGTAGTTGGAGGAGAAGGACAGGTGGCACAGTGCTTACTGTTTTTATTTATTTTTGAATTAACTTTAAACTTTTATCAAAACATACATGTATAAGATTTTTAAAATCAGATAGAAGTGGCTGTAGTGAAAAACAACTGTTCTGGTCCCATCCTGTTCATTCTCATTACTCATTTCATTTTATTTTAGTTCATTTCACCTCAACCTCTCTTCTTCTCTTCTCCAAATATAGATTAGAATATTTTTATTTTTATATTGGTTATCTTTAATTTTCAATGACATACCAGATACTCTAGATCTCCTTTTATCAACTCTAGAAGTATATCTTGTCTATTCTCTTTGTATAATAATATCAGGATGTTACATCCTACCATTCCCCTCCTTCTACCTCCAATTTCTATCACTGTCTAGAGAGTAGAAACATAACTTCATGTAATTGGGTTCAAAGAGAGAATAGAGAAAGAAGAGAGAATAGAGAATAGAGAAAGAGAGAGAATACTGAAAGAAGGTTAACAAGACTGAAGTTGAAATAATGATGTGTGAATGTTTTGTAAGCATATTTGGTTTTTAATGCTTTTTTCTATAGGTTGAATCTAAAAGTAGAAAACTCATAACAAGGCTATGTGTGAACATCAAGAGAGAATTCAAGATGGCGGGGATGACACTCTTTAGTCCATGTGTGCCTGGTTTTCATCATCTCCTTGACTTACACACATGTGGGTGCCTTTACCTCTGAAGACTTTTTCTCTTCTAACTGATGATGCTCCATTCTCTTCTGACAAAAGGTAAAGCTGGTTTGGTACCACTGACACCCAGGTTAGTTGGGGTCCAATATCTTCTAAGCCCCATATCCTGCCATGTTGTCTTCTCCTTCGTGGTCACATTTTACTGCTGATCCCATGGACATCACTGGAGTGGTGCCACAAGTAGATCACATAGACTTTTCACAGAAGTCTTCTGAGGTATCACAGAATTTCCCCCTTTTCTAAGAACTATCCTCCCACAACTCACAGGGGCTGGTCCTGATGGCTGCGTTTATAGTACATGACCCTGAATCGTTGGCCACAGCTGCATGGACCAGGAAGTGGCAAGCAACATAAGCTAGGCTGATCAGGTTGTCTCTCCCGGAAATTTTGAATTAGGACTAAAACTTCCCAGTTTAGTCTGGGTGGGTTTCTTAAATAGAGATGACATAAGAACTCAAAATCTAGCTTCTATTTCAAGGATCAAAGAATAGATGAAGCAAAACAATTTTTCAACTAAAAATATGAAAAGAGGCAGAGATGCAAAATGAAGTGACTGTCAAGACTCCTGATGGCATTTTTTTTTTTTTTTTTTTTTTTTTTTTTGCTGGTTCCAGCTCCCTGCCAAGGCCTGATTGAACCTCTGCCCTGTGGTTCCTTGAAACATCGTCATATTCTTGTACTAAATTCCCCATTTTCTTAAGCTAGCTCTGGTAAGTTTTTGCCATTTACAGTCAAAGTGAACTCACTAATAAAATATTCCCAACTGCATAATCTTCTCCCTGGGGGATGGGAATCATATCTTTGTATTCTCCAAGGTGCTGAGCACATAGGGGAATGCCTTGCACATAGTAGGCACTCGAAAAGCATCTGTTGAATTGAAGCAACTGAGAGTACTCCTTCCTAAATGACACAACCATTTACAGGGATCACTGACCCCTCCAGATGTTATGAGAAGATGGACAGGAAAAAGCATAAATAGATACACCGTGCCAACTACTTCACTAGCTGACAGCCCAATAGAAGAAAACAAAAGTCTTAATAAGAGAATCAGACATCAGTTGCAAGATGTCTGAATGTCTCCTAGTCTTCTGCCAGATAAGTGGGATCAGAAAGGGCTATTAGTAGACAAGAGTCTAGCTCCAGCCCGCCCTGGAGAGAGCTCTGAATCTCTTGGGTCCCTCATTGATCTGTTGAAAGAGCCCTCTAGTGGTGAAAATGAGGAACGATCTCTAGCCTTACAAGCAGATTCTACGCGCCCAGGTCCACACACCTACACATTCAATTGAATGAAAGGATGAGGTCACCCCCTAGTAAGTTGGGAGGCATGATAGGGAACAAACTGCGGCCTCCCTGCCTCCACACTCCCACTCCGTTCAGTTGTTCTGACTTGCTCCACATGCAGGCTCGGGACTTCCCACAGTGATCAGGTTGGCCCTGGACAGCAATTCCAAAGAATGAGCCTGCCTCACCAAGTCAGAGGCTCAGGACAAAGCTCCAGTTTTATCACATGTATCCCTTTCTCTTATTCAGCAAAACTGGGTGCATCCTGACCCATAATTGTTACCTTCATCTACCTGAGCTCCTGATCCTTTTCCCCCAACTATCCTTCTGCTAGGCTCCTGGGCACCATACTCTGCTTGTCTGCGCTTCTGTTGTAGAGCTAAGTGGGTGGAGATGAAGATGCTGCTGTTCCACTGTGGGTCTGGTAAATGGAGAGATTGGGGCATACTGTCCCTTAGCCCGAAGCTCACTCACCTTTCATCAACATGGTCCTTCTTTGAAAGAAGACCTTTCTCACTTCTATCCAAGCAAGAGAAGAATCAAACAGATCCTGAAATGACTGCTTTGATCATTAGTAATTATTTCATCTTATTTACCTTTCTGAGAGTGGGGAGAGAAATTTTTGCTAACTGAATTAATCCCTCCCAAGAAATACCAACCTCACCTCCATGTTACATATGGCTTTCCCTTAAAAAAGAAAGGTAATAACAATCAAGGCAGGATATTTTTATTAAGATGCAAATTTTCATTTCAGGAAAGAAAATGACACTAAGAAACTTGTAGGGGCCCTCGTGTATCCTCTCCCTACTATCTTCTGTCATTCTTCTGGAGTACGGCTGTGGTGCTGGCCCCAAGTTTATCCATTCCATTGTGGATTATGTGGCAAGATTTCAGTATTTCTACCTCCTGTCCATAAATCAGTGTTTTTGAACCACGACACATGCATATGCAACTAAATGCTCATAGGTATACACACCTACATATTCAAATCTATACTATACCTACACACGTGCATGCATACACATACATGTGCAAATATGTATGCATATGCATAGCAAAAATGCTAGGCATTTGCAGCAAATATGTTCACATGGTCCATAACACTGTCTGCAGGTACAAACATACATTTACATACTTGCTTTACTTCTATGACGGATTCACAGGCATTCAGAATTTATAACTAAACTGAACATAGCACAGGTGAGCATTCAAACACAATCACTCCACAGCTATATATTCAAACTTCCTCCTGCACATGAGTATTTATCTAACACCAAGAATAAAGTCTTCAGTCTTAACACCAAAATGAAAGTAGCAAAGTCACCAAGAAGTTGTGAGCTGCATTTGCGAACCCTTCAATATATTCCTGCTACCCAGTCACCTGAATAGAAGTTCCCAGGCAGCCAGAGATGGCACCAGGGGAGTATGTTTGTCTGCGATTACCTCCCGTTATATTTCTGTCCAGCTAAATAACATTCAAACATGACAGTTGGTTGCGGACACATCTCAGGAACTGTGGAAACAACCCAAGCAACCTCATTTCCAACTATCTGACCTCTGGATATCAGTCCCAGGATGCCATAAGAAAAAAAATAATAAGGGCATTTCTGTGGGCTGTTTCTAGTCAACTCGGTGTGTGCCCATGCATATGCCGGAATACATAGTAATAAAAAGCTGGTTAAATGCTGGTCCTTTGCAATACTGGCTATTTCCAAGGAAGAGAGCTTTCAGGTGTGCAATGCCATTTGCCCTTTGGACTAACAAGCAAAGCAGACCTAACTTCACCTGCTTCATGGTCTCACTTAGATAACAATGTTAACAAATGATATCTCAGAGACCTTTGAACAAAATCTGACATTTTCAGTGACTCTCCCACCATGAATCCATCACCCCCTTCGATGTAGATATGTTAAAATGTATAAAAGGCATATTCAAAGGCCAAAATCTTATAGTCTTTTGCCCAAGGTCCCTAATATGTGTATGACAGAGTCTATGTATATTTAGCTTCTTCCATCTTTTAGGAATACATGATCATGTATATATGAACAGTTCCGGGTCTGATCTGAGCGGGTTGTCTTCGGTGTAAACCAGAGCTCCAGAGAAAGGAGGGTAGACATATTGGTTTGTTTGCTGGGGAACCAAATTGAGACAGACTCTACACAGATGTGATTGTGACAACACTTTTTGCCCGCCTAAGCGAGCCATAGAGCCGTCTCCAGAGCTGCCGGTGCCTTTAAGAAGACTCGGTCTTTCGGGTCTTCTTTTTCCCCAATGGGCTCCAGTGGTGCCCGCAGCAAAAGGCAAACTTGCCTGGCTCATGGGGTGAAAGGGAGGATTGAAGAATGCCGCGTTGGGTGGGTGCTGAGGGAGCGCCAGAGTGCGCTACGGGCTTCGCTCCCCTTCCCCTTTCCTTAACCCTTCCTAGAGCGGAGGAACCGGGTCGTGCTGCAGCGCCCAGGAGCCAGGGCGCTGACTGTCCTCGGCTCCAGAAACTTTGCGCGGAGAGTGGGCTTGACTGGGCAGAGCCGAGCCGGCTGGCTGACCCGGGAAGGAACGGGGGAAGGGCGGGGTGAGGGAAGAAAGACCCTTTAGCACCCCGGGTTTCTAGCCCGGGCGGCGGTGTGCAGCTGCATGAGGGAGCTGTCCCTTCGGCACCACGGACCTTAAAGCCTAGGCGTTAAGACGACGGAGGCGGGGCAACAGGCGGGGAGCTGTCCCTTCAGCACCACGGACCTTGGCGCCCCCAGGGAAACCAGCCGGCCCCCGCCCCAGGACTCTGTCTTTTCTCCAGTTTGAGCGGGGGTGTCGGGAGCAGGCGGAGAGCTTTCCTGCGAGGCTGTGGAAGCAGTGAACACTCTTCTCAGCGGCTCGCCTCCCAGCAGTGCTATTTTTTGCCATCCGCCCTCACCCCCAGCACACGCGCTCGCACACACACGCACGCACGCACACACACACACACACACACTCACACAGAGACCTCTCTGGGTTTCTTTGCCTTGAGTCTCCCGGGGCTGTGAGAAGCCAGGCGCATCTCAAACCGAGCTGGCAGCTCCAGGCTCCGGAGCCATGCCCTGCACGGACCCTCGTCTTTACCACGCTCCTGAGGAATGAAAGGAACCCAGGGACCCTCAGAAGGCAGCAGTGATGCGGACCAACCCCCCGGAGCCTGCACCCTTCCGAGGGCCATAGGCGACCCAGGGAACTGGAGAGAGCTCCAGAAAGGAAATCCCAGCTTTCCCAAAGTCCCTGTGGATGCTGACAAAAGGAGACCTGAATTTTTGGAAGAGCCTGTACTAGGTTACCCGGCTGCAGAGTGATTTTCCCCTCCGGCACTGACTCTCCCCCTCCAACCCCCAGCCGTCCAGAGTACCATGAAGAATTATGAGGATGTGTGACAGAGGTATCCAGATGTTGATCACCACTGTAGGAGCCTTTGCCGCTTTTAGTTTAATGACCATTGCAGTGGGCACGGACTACTGGTTATATTCCAGAGGTGTGTGCAGGACTAAATCTACAAGTGATAATGAAACCAGCAGGAAGAATGAAGAAGTAATGACCCATTCGGGGCTGTGGAGGACCTGCTGCCTAGAAGGTATTTACAATTTCCTCTCAATAGCTCTGAATAATCCAGTTCTGATATTCTGGTGGGTGTTTGGAGGAGATGGAAATGGTGATAAGGAAAGAAGAGAAGTTCAAATTATTGCTGAGAATGTGCAGGTGCCCAGACTCTGTTAACAGCAAGACTGACGCCATGTGGGTTAAAGGGGTTGGGTCTTGTTGATTGTTTTTAGTATAAGCTTCATGAGATGAGATTTTTGTCACACTCTAGGCAGCTTCTGCAGTTTAGAAAAGTCTTCAAATCCAAAATCCCTAGGCATATTGTCAACTGCTTGGATCTCTGGCTTGAGATGGGGTCTTTAACCCTGCTTAAATTGGATTTCGAAGGGAGGGGGAGGGAAGGGAGGAGAAGGGACAAGAGGAAAGAAGTGAGGGGGGAGAGAGAGAGAGAGAGAGAGAGAGAGAGAGAGAGAGAGAGAGAGAGAGAGAGAGAGAGATCCTGACCCGGTCTGGCACATTCTGAGCTATTTCATTATTTCTCAACATAGACTTATCAGTTTCTCCTGAGTTTGCTCTAACTAGATATTGTCATGAACTTCCACTGCCAATCAGTAACAGGGTAACATATGTAAACCCCTACTCCCACCCACACCCTATGCACACATTTTAAGAAAAAATCCTTATTGATACATGTTTTATTAGTTTGGATCACAACAAAACTGAAGTCTTGGTATTTTGTATCCACCTGTCTTCATTCCTAAATCATTCCCAAACCCCTAAAAAGGTATTTCCATGACATTTACAAAAGACTGATTCTCCAAGAATTGCAGTTCGTCATTTCTAGTTCTAAAAATTAGGGAGTAGTTATAACTTATAATGAAGAAGAAAGAGCAATTTAAAAATATAAAGCCCTTTTGTAGCCTATCACACTATTAAACTTGCTTTCACCACACCAGAAGTCACTCTCAGCACCAGTAGGCAATGCTTGGATATCACTGGGAGTAAATAGAAAGATAAGGAAGAAAATCAAAGCTCTTTGGAGCCTATGTGCCTGAGGGAAGTCACTGGATTAGAGGGGCAGTAGGGGTTTTCTTAGGCTTCCGAGAAATCTGTGAAGCTTGTCACAGTGGTGGGCAAGGAAATCTGCGTTTCCTGTGTGGTCCCCTCCCCTGCTTGCCATTGGTTCTTCACACTGCATTTTCACTGGCTGGCATTTGTCAGGGCTTCTTGAGAACTTGCATTTATGTAAATCGCTTGGGAAATCATGCTATGACATCACTTGCCAGTGTAATATTGCATCATTCTCTGGCCTTTTTCCCATGTCCTGACACTTTGAACAACTGCTCTCCTGACCGTAGCGCTACTACAATTGATTCTGTTTCTAACACAAATTTGCAACTGGTGGGAAGCCCAGGTAGGAAAGGGCTACCTTTAATGCAGCAAGGATCATGTGAAGTCAGAAGACCTGGGTAATGCTGCAAAGTATCGCTGTGGCCTTGGTTAAGACATTTACCCTCTCCAACTCTCAGTTTATTCATCTGGGAAATGATACGTTTGGATTAGGTGGTCTTGAATTAACATTATCTAAAGCTTATACTGTATTCAATATACTGACAGAAATTCTAGAATAATTATTTCCTAAACAATGACAAAAGTTGGATATTTGTGAGCATTTGTGATTGGGTATGGTGAAGTCATTTACCTCAGGGAAATTCCATATTTCCCTTTCTTATATTGGCTATAAGGAATTGAATTATCTTTTGTAAAACTGATTTGGTGGATGTTGCGATATCTACATGGTTCTAGAGATGGCATAGAAGTTCTAAGGTTCCTCCAAGCCAAAAATGGCACATATGTATACAGTGCTTTAGCCATTTCCAATTCTTCTGCCTCTGGGAATCAAACCTGAGAATGCACAATTAAAAATGAAGTTTGACGTTCCTCATTATGATCTATGAAAAAAATATATATCTATAAGAGCAGAGGTAGGACCTAAAATTTCTAAACACTTGCTAAGAATTTCTCAACTGATGATTTCTCTTTTTTCCAACATCAAGTCCTACACCCACAGTTTGTACAAGGAATTGAAACCCCAGCCAGGCATTCTGTAGGCTTAGTGGGAGAAGTGAGAAATTGAATCAAGAAGGAATTGGATGAATTGAAGACATAACCTTGGGCAGGTGAATTCTATTGAGAAAATGTGTTGCAGTCCCCATACAACTTGGCCTGGCTTTTTTTGTTGTTGTTCACTTTTTTGAAGTATTAAATACAGTAAGATGCACAAATCACAATGAATCACAATAAAATATTAGCTATGGCTGCACCCATGTAATTAACACCTAGGTGGGTCCTGGCTGAAATTTGAAGCCAAGATGTGTACTAAACACATCAAGTGTTTGGGGAATTTGCAGAAGCCTCTGATTTCTGCATGGGAAGTCACATGCAGTTGGTAGCATCCATCCCAGGCATTTCCATCCTTTGCTAGAATGAAGATGAACAGTCCTTTCCCATTCAGTATTTCTTACCTACACCTGAGCCTCAAAATCCTCATTTTCTGGTCCTTTAAGTGTCAAATGAAAACTGGGGGTTTTCGTAGCTCCATTTTCTTAGAGGTCAAATTAGAAATGTTTGTTCTTCTGTGCTTTTTTAAAGAGCCATGAGACAATGTGATTATTTTATCCAAAAGAAGAGAATGCCAAGGAGAACATGACAGCTGTCTGCAAATATCTGAAGGGCTGTCATATGAAAGAGAGATTTGAGATGTTCTGTGTGGCCTCAAGGAGGTAGAAGTAGGAGCTAGAGGAAACCAGGTTTTACCTCAATATAAATAACTATCCAATGTGGAATGGGAAGCTTTGGCAGGTGATGGGTCTTCCAACACCAAAAATATTCAAGAATAAGCAAACTACATCGTTTCCCAACTTTGCTGGTCATCAGATTCTCATGAGGAACTTTTAAAAAATTAGATTATCAGGGGCTCCACAACTAGATTCCCTGCTTCCATAGGTCTGAGGTAGACCAGGAAAATCTGAGTTTTCTAAAGGTGCTCCAAGCAATTATGATGTTAAAGCCAACATGTATTGGTATTTGCACTGGTATTGACTATGTGTTTTAAGGATGATCCCATCACTCAAGGAGGAGAAGGATGTTTCCAGTTTTCATTTCTGTAGGTAAGTTATATCCTTCTCCTCCTTGAGTGACATGATCAGCCAAACCAAGTTTACCTTGTAGCTGAATTTGGCCCATGGGCTGCCAGTTTTGAGCCTTGTAAATTACCTAAATGGCATTTTTAATCCAAATTTCTGATATTTTTATATTTGACTCCTGAATTACTCTTTAATAGTCAATAATCACTTTTTCAACCCTTAAAAAATACCTAGGAAAAAATAAGCTAACCTACCAGAATATCCCTTACATTTAGCACTTACTATGTGCTCAGGCTGTTCGAAGAATTTTGAAAAATTAACTCTTTCATCTTCAAAGCAGCTCAGTTGTGTAGGTACTATTATTACCCTCATTTTACAGATGAGGAAACTGAGCCCTGGGGGATTTACATAACTTGCCCAAGGTCACACACCTAAACTCAGCAGGCAATACTTAACCTTAGTCGTGCTGCCTCTCTGAGTATTTGCTAGAAAACATTAATTCATGCTTTGGTGGGTAGCCTGCTACTGGTACAAACATTAGTTTGTGAAAATGCCCAGGCACATGGGTTTTTCCATTCAGAAGTTTCAGATCTCAGAGCACTCACTGTGCCTGTGCAGCATCAGCAGGGATGCAGGAGACACCAGACACACACAAACTTAGAGGCAGCAAAGGACACGCTTTGCATGGAGAGACAATTGACCTGTGTAGAGACACCCACACTGGGAAGCCAACAAGAACGCCCAACTCATTAACTGGAAAGCACGGGAGGCATTCACAAAGTAGAGCCCTAACCTGCTGCGTGTTATCAATAGTGGCCTGTGAATTTGAATGAGAACGTGTTCAATATGTGACTCTCTCATTAAGAAAACCTCATGAAGTCCTGGAGACAATCAAAGCAATGTATTTAGATAGCAGAAAGACCACCAGTCTAGTAGTGAGGAACCCTAAGTGTTCATCCCATTTCCATAACAACAGTTATGTGAATGGTGAATGTTATTTTCCCTCTTTGGACCTTAGTTTACCCAAATCTAAAATGAGAAATTTAGATAAGATTAGAGTAACAAATCCAAATGTTTGTGTAGATGAGGCAGCTAATGTAAAGTATGAAACAAGCATTTCCCAATCCTCTTAGCTCAATTCTCAGCAGGTTTGGAGGCGGGTAACGGTAGATTTGAGAAGATGTATTGTAACTGAAACTCGGTCTCAGTGTGGGGCAATAGGGAGTGGTGAGGACTGTGGCAAACTGGAAAACACAAGCCTCATCTGAAGGATGACTACTACTTGGCTTGATTTGATTTTTACCTTGGAGAAATAGACACCAAGTGTGGCCCAATATTCCAAGTAAAGAAAAGCCAGATGTAAAATATCTTGATTTTTAAAATGCAGGCAACTCTTTCAACTTTTTAAGAATATGATATTAGCCAAACCAAATTTACCTTGTAGCTGAATTTGGTACATGGGCTGCCAGTTTTCAGCCTTGTAAATTACCTAAATAGCACTTTTAATATGAATTTCTGATGTTTTTATATTTGATTCCTGAATTACTCTTTATTAGTCAATAATCACTTTTTCAATTCATTAAAAAATACTTAGAAAAGAAAGCCCACTTATTTAGGATTTTAAAACAAGGAACTTAAAGTTATGGAGAAGAGGTTCAATAACTGATATTTCTGCTACAGATGGGCCAGGATGACATCAAACATCTCGCTGAAAAACTGGAGAAAAAAATTAGCCAGTCATTAGAAGTTCTCCCATATTTCCAAAACTCCAGATGGTTGACTTTTTCAGCCAGACGGGGTTTCAGCTTTATTTATGTTGTCTGAAAACCTTCAGGGAAGCTGCAAAGATGTGGTTGAGGATGGAGGTGAGGAAAAGACATAACATTTATTAACTATTCTGTATGTGCCAAGCTCTGTGCTAGGTGCTTTTGTACATGTTAACTCATACTTTTCATATCTCCTGTCTCCGCCCAAGTAGAATGTGGAATCTGTAAGGACAGGGATTATTGTCTTTGGGGCACTGCTCTACCCCTAAAACTTAGAAACAGTACCCAGTCATCACTTCCGCACCTGCAGTCCTAGATTTAATGCTGCACCCTCCCTCAGACATGGGTTCAGAATGTGCTGGAGTTCTCTTACTCTCTTCCCTACTCCTGACCTTCTCCCAGTTCCTTTTTCTGTATTCTTCCTCCTTGCCACTAAAGCCTGAGAGGCAGATGGAAGAGAGAAATGGGATGGAGTCTTAAGGCAGGATGGGAGGGAGTGACCCTGACTGCGTTTGAGGGTTGAGTCAGGATTGGGCAGGTGGTAGAGGTCAGAGTATGAACATGACTAATAGTCAGACAGAATGTGTCCATAGCGCCATACTGGTTGTTAAAATGTTAAAATACTTTCCTATGTCTTGATAAACAACAACTGGCCCAAGTCTTTCACCAACTCCCCACCACCACTGCACCTACCCTAGCCCTTACTGGGGCTGCTCAGATCCATTAGGTAAAGGGTGAAGACCTGGCCCCACAGATGTCATCGTGACCTTGCTCTGGCCCTACAAAACCATTCATTCTGATTGTCTGGTCTTGTGTCCCATTGGTTGTTACATATTTTAAATCTCATTCCCAGTCGTATCATCATCGGTGGAAAGAAACTTACTCCTCTTCTTTCTTCCTCAAACCCAATCTTCTACCTGACTGTGGGATTCCACCTACCTTAGGAAGTAGATGCCTTGAAAATACTTTCAGTTGTTTCAATCTCTGAAATTTTATCTTCTGGATTAGAATAAAGGCAAGTGACCTTCATTCCAAGGTTGGGTGACCAGTGTGGGTTATTTGTATGGATAACTAGTGTGTGTCAAGAAAAAAATAAAACAAGAACTTAGGCAAAAACATGACTGTGTTCTTTAAATGTTCACATAGAGCACAGTGAAACAAGCTTACCCAAGGGATCATCTGACCCTCAGGGGAAATGTAACTTTGATTGACTCAGCTTTTAGTACAGATTGAGGCCTGGTTGCTACAAAGTTAGATATTTACTTGTAGAAAACTGAGAAAATGCACATAATTTTTTTGTTCAGTAGATGTGCATGTGATTTTCATTCATTAGAGGAGATAACCCCAAATGTTGTGGATTTATTCTCTCCTCTCCTGAATATTATTCAGTTTTATATTACTTTAGTAATCTTATTTCAAAACCTTTTCACTGAAAAAAAAATAGAACATCCTCCTTTGAACTAGTTTTGTCATTCTGCTGGTTCCTCACTGCTGAATTGAACAAAACTTGACATGAGCTATGTATTTTAGGAGAATTATGTTTTTAATAATTTAACATTTCTTTGACATATGGAAGCATCATCCAATGAAAACAATGTTTCTGAGGTTAAACAGAACTGTAGAAAACCCCAAGGTTGTTTTAATTTTCTCCCATCTCATAACCCTGCCACAGCACACTTTTTCAATGTAGGAACAAATAGGGCTTTAATAAGTTAATGAAAGACCACAGAGAATATGGGATATAGCAGGGGCTTTGGGAGCAGGTGGACCTGGGGGCTTATGTGGATCCTGTTATTTACTGACTATGAGACCTTGAAAGTTACCTACCCTCTGAGTGCTAATTTACTTACCTGTGAAATGGGGAAATAAACATAGCAAGTGCCATCAACTGTTTCTGTTTTAATTCTTGTGTTTCCTTCATTTCTTCTTACCTCTAAATAACATGTTGACCATTAGTTCTTGATTTATGCATTTCTACACAAGATCCATTTGCTAAGACAAACAATAAGTTAGCTTTCTTATACAAGTTCTCTCCTTCCTCCCAATACTTGTAGTTCCTCAGTGAGGTACCTGTGGCTCCAAGAAGAATCATTCATAATGATTGAGTGCTGGATTGGACACTTGCTTAAGCAGCATGGCTGCTCATGTGCCCACCTCAGCAAGGGACTTGGAGGGAACAACAGAGCTAAGAGGAGGCATGGGATTGGAGTAGCTTGTTTGGAAAGGTGAAGTTCTGTGTGTGGATTGGATCTGGGAGTGGGCAGCTGAGCTGCCACCCTTGTGTTCATATCTCACCTGGGAGAGCAGCCCATTAACCAAGAAAACTCTAACCCGGCTGCACGATGCTTGTGAAGATGTTGCCCTATACGAGGCTGCCTGGCCGAGGGGTCGAGTAGGGGCTGAGAGTTAGCCCACGCTCCGCTCACCAAACCATGCACCTTGGTTCCGAACTGACTCTATCCAAAGGGAGGAGGGTGTGTAATAAATGTTCGCAGGGTACTGTATGGGTCAACTACAGTCTCAGCAACATGGGCTGTATGTTTTCAGTGGAAGGAGCCAGGCAGGATGGAAAAGACTAGACCAGAGTCAGAGATTCCACACCAGGAAAGGAAGTTGCAGTAGGAAGGTACCATAGGACCCTCCAATAACCAATGCATGTAACTCCACAAGACAGTCAGCACGCAGATCCCTGCTACACAGAGCGCCTGGCAATTGATGTTAGCCAGAGAAGCAGTGACAGCAAACAAGAAAGGTTTACAGCCTCGCCCAGCTAAGTGAAGTGGCATGTTGGCCTTTTCTTTCTTCCTGCTCCCTGCAGGAACATACATACAGAAGGTGCTAGAATCTAAACGAGGAAGGAGCAGGGATAGTGATTTGAATTCAACATGCAATTTGAAATGTTAGACAAAACTGGAAGTTTTAACAACCAAAAGTGACTGGGAAGTTATGAAATCTGCCTAAACTGTCAGTAAGAAAATGAAGGATTTGATATAACACAGTTGAAAGCCAAACTAAAACTGGTGCATGTTTATATCCCACTAAATTGAGACACATCAATAAACATAAATAATGTCACCATGCTTCATCTCAGAAATTTTAACAGTTGAAAACTCTGCAGGCCATGGTGGATCACATCTGTAATCCCAGCACTTTGAGAGGCCAAGGAAGGTGGATCACTTGAGCCCCAAAGTTTGAGACCAGCATGGGCAACATAGTGAGACCTCCATCTCTACAAAAAATACAAAAAAGTTAGCCAGGTGTGCTGGCATGCTCTTATAGTCCCAGCTACTCAGGAGGCTGAAGTGGGAGGATGATTAGAGCCCAGGAGATTGTAGTTGCAATGAGTTGAGATCATGCCACTGCACTCTAGCCTGGGTGACAGAGTGAGACTGTGTGAAAGAAAGAAAGAAAAAGAAAAGAAGCGAGAGAAGGAAGGAAGGAAGGGAGGAAGGAAGGAAGGAAAAAGAGAAGGAAGGAAGGAAAAGAAAGAAGGAAAGAAAGAAAAAGGAAAGAAAGAAAGAAAGAAAAAAGAAAGAAAGAAAAGAAAGAAGAAAGAAAGAAAAAGAAAGAAGAAAGAAGGAAGGAAGGAGAGAGAGAGAAAGAAAAAGAAAGAAGAAGGAAGGAAGGAGAGAGAGAGAGAAAGAGAAAGAAGGAAAGAAAAGAAAGAAAGAAAGAAAGAAGAAAGCAAGCTAGCTCACTCAGTGGTGTATATATATATTATGATGTGTAGCTATCTCTCAGGGTTTGACAAACTACAACTAGGCCAAATTCAGCCCATTGCCTGCTTCTGGACAGCCCATAGCTAAAAATATTTTGTACATTTTAAAATGGTTGAAAAATTAAGTAATATCCAATAATATTTCATGACAAATAAAAAAGATATAAAATTCAAATTCCAGGATCCATAATCCTAAATGTTGTCAATAAAAAATTTATAGAAACTTGTTTTATTTCTTGTCATTTATATTTCTATATAATATCCTCAATTTTGCTGCTTGGCCTGCAAAGCCTGAAATATTTACTATCTTGCCTTTTCCAGAAAAAGTAAAGTTTGCCAAACCCTGCTATATCTCACTGTAGAGACATGTAGGAATCTATAATAACACTCTATTTCTAGAAGGATTATTTGTTTTCCCAAGAGTTTTGAATTGCTTTTCTTTTTTCTTGCACCATCTGCCTTTATCACAGACCGTTCATGTAATCAGATATTCTTTCTTTCCCAGAGAATTCTCACATAGGTCTGATTTTCCCCCTCTCATGGTGTCCAGGAAAATGTAGCCCTTGTCCAGGTGCACAGGGAACAGTAACTGCTAGGGCTGACAAAAGAAGAAATCCTTGGGAGCCAGTGTTTCTACTGACAATAAAAAGAAAGGAACACTATAGATAAGTTTGACAGTAGACTCTGTAAGACACGGTTACTCGGTGGGTGACCCACCACAGGCAGCTGGTGTTGGGAGTTTAGGTACGAATACTGTGTCATTTAGCTCCATGGATGAGGTTCAGTATGCTCATGAAACTTCATGAAAGATACATGAATGGGCACTTCTATGAAAGAATCTCATACTCCAAAATGTTACAAATCACAAAGAGAGAGCTTAGAAGTGAAACTGAGGGTGACACTTAGGGTCATCCAAACATAGATGGTAATCAAAGGTATGACTGTACACAAGAAATGCCAGAAAAACACAAGGAAGAAAAAGAGGGAAAACGATACCCTAAGTAGCACTAACATTGATGGACAAAGAACAGAGGAGCCAGTGAGACTCTGGGAAAGCAGAGATAAAGGAGGAGAAGGAGAATTCAGGATTTGACTAGCGTTTTGTGGGTCTGCTGAAGCTTTTTCTAAAATGGTGCAGATGAATGACAATGTCTACTACTAGAAGCCCTCCAGCCTAAGAGAGCTCTCTGCAAGGCAGGAACCCCACCTGTGGCCTGCCTCCTGGATTTGCATGAGGTGGCTCACTTCCAGGGCAAGTCTGCCCTTCTTCCTGGGATCAGTCAGCAGGTGAAATTGTGTTATGGATCCTGGGAGCTGTTTCCAAGGAAGCTGGAGAGAGAGAGGATGGGCCGTGAGAACCCCAGAAACAGGTGCCAAGGAACTAGGGAAATAATTATTTTTAATTTCTTTTTTTTTTTTTTTTGAGATGGAGTCTCGCTCTATCGCCCAGGCTGGAGTGCGGTGGCACGATCTCGGCTTAGTACAACCTCTGCCTCCTGGGTTCACGCCATTCTCCTGCCTCAGCCTCCCGAGTAGCTGGGACTACAGGAGCCCGCCACCACACCTGGCTAATTTTTTATATTTTTAGTAAAGACGGGGTTTCACCGTGTTAGCCAGGACAGTCTCGATCTCCTGATCTTGTGATCCGCCCGCCTTGGCCTCTCAAAGTGCTGGGATTACAGGTTTGAGCCACCGCACCTGGCCTATTTTTAATTTCTTAATTTTTACTTTCTAAAATTGTTTTGAGACAGGGTCTTGCTCTATTGCCCAGGCTGAAGTTCAGTGGTGCAATCAGAGCTCACTGCGGCCTCGACCTCCTGGGCTCAAGGGATCCTCCCACCACAGTCCCATGAGTAGCTGCGACTACAGGCACATGCCACCATGCCCAGCTATTTTTAAAATTTTTTGTAGAGATGGGGTCTTGCTATGCAGGCCAGGATGGTCTTCAACTCATGGGCTGAAGCAATTCTCCCACCGTGGCCTCCCAAAGTTCTGTGATTACAGGTTTAAACCACCGTGCCCCACCTAGAAAAAAATAATTAATAGCTAATACTTAACAAACACCTTCTATGTGCCTAGCAATGATTATTGTGGTAGATTGTGCATTCATTTGTTTGTTTGTTTTTGAGGCAGAGTCTCGCTCTGTTGCCCAGGCTGGAGTGCAATGATGTGATCTTGGCTCACTGCAACCTCCGCCTCCCGAGATCAAGTGATTCTCCTGCCTCAGCCACCCAAGTAGCTGGGACTACAGATGTGGGCCACCATGTCAAGCTAATTTTTTGTATTTTTAGTAGAGACAGGGTTTCTCCATGTTGACCAGGCTGGTCTCGAACTCCTGGCCTCAAATAATCTGCCCACCTTGGCCTCCCAGAGTGCTGGGATTACAGCCGTGAGCTACCGTGCCCGGCCTCATATCTGGGCCAGCCCCTGAGCATTTATTCATTTATTTAACAGACACACGCTAGATGCCAGGCACTGTTCTAAGGATGCACTTTACAATTATTATTTAACCCTCCTGATTTATTTGAGAGATAGATACTACTATTACCTCCATTTTATAAAATGCACATAGTTAGTAAATGCTGGGCTGGGATTTAAACTGTACCTTCTTCTGTTTCTCATTAACTGTATTCTGGGCCCTTGGATAAAACCTTAGCATAAACAGGCTAAATTGAGCCTCATGATAGCCCTGTCTACTACTAGTTGTCTGCTCTACCAGCAAGGAGACAGAGGCTCAGAGAGGTAAAGTAGCTTGCACAAGATCACTCTGCTAGGTGGTGACAGGGCTGGGATATAAACCACAGTCTCACCCTAATCATCACACCACACTGCCTTAATTTAAGGACCTGGGCTGGTGGGTTGGGTCTCCTCCAACCTGCTCAATCCTGTGTCAAGGAGAGCTCAGCATCAGTCAGAGGCTCTGAACCATTCAACCACTGGAGATATTGTGAAAAATAATTCACCCAGTGTCTGCCAATTCTGATACCAAATCCAGAAAGCAAGGTCAAGGAAAATAAATGGTAAAGCCAATAAAATTGAGACATCGTAGCACTAGGCTGTGAAGAAATACCACCTCTGGAGATCAAATGTAAATTTTTCTTTAAAAAAGTAACACTAATGATTTGGAAGTGAGAAGAACAGGGAGTCTGATGGGATGCAGGTGAACAAATGATTTGAGATTCTCACATCTTCTACGCTGGAGTTGGGGTGTTCGCCAATGGGGGGATGGCATCAGGTCCATGGCTGTTCCACTTCCTGAGGAGTAAACTTGAGCATGTTATTTATTTGACTTCTTTGGGTTTTAAACTCTGCGTCAGGCACGAGTCAACCCTACCCTCATCCTCAACTCCAGGTTTTGGGCTTGGATGACTCTGTAACATAGACGATGCGAATCTGCAGCCAGGTTCTCATGCAGCACTCAGATGGCCAAAAACGTCTTTGAAAGGCACCAGACTTGGAATAGACAAATGTACCAGCAGGCCTGGTTCTTACTGGCCTTGGGTTTGAATGGGTCAGGAATGGGCAGCTAGGCTAAGATTTGGGCAGGCAAGACCCAACACCATCTATCCACCTTTTAGCCTGCAGGTTGTAGGAAATGTTATCAAATATCTTATTGCCACCCAAAAAACTATCCGCCACAACTCCCTGAACCACCAGCCTAGAACCACAACCTGTTGTACAGCAGATCTTCAATAAATACACCTTGAATTTTTTTCCAGAAGAAAGATAATTCAATTACCTTAAGCTTTTCCTAGTGAACTTATACTAATCCCTAACAATTACTGTTTTACTCTTAGGTGCTTACAAATTACCCTATTAATAATATCTCCTATAATTCCAGCCTCAATTGTTTACAATTCAGCAGCCTGTAGTTTGAGAGAGTCTAGCTCTCCAGTCTTGAAAATCTCAGCCGAGTGCGGTGGCTCACACCTGTGATCCCAGCAGTTTGGGAGGTCAAGGTGGGTGGATCGCTTCAGGAGTTCGAGACCAGCCTGGCCAACATGGTGAAACACTGTCTCTACTAAAAATAGAAAAATTAGCCCAGTGTGGTGGTGGGCACCTGTAATCCCAGCTACTCGGGAGGCTGAGGTGGTAGAATAGCTTAAACCTGGGAGGTGGAGGTTTCAGGGAGCTGAGATAGCACCATTGCACTCCAGCCTGGGCAACAGAGAGAGACTCCATCTCAAAAAAAAAAAAAAAAAAAAAGAGAAAGAAGAAAGAAAGAAAAAGAAAGAAAGAAAGAAAGAGAAAGAAAGGAGAAAGAAAGACAAAAGAAAATCTGTGTTATTTGTTCATTTGTTGTTTTTTTTTTTCCATTTTATCCACGAAGATTATCCAGAGTAGTTTAACAGTCTCATTTTAAAATTCCCTCAATATCCTGGGTGCAAACTGAGGAAAAGAAAAAAGAAAATATATGTTGTATGGACATATTGTGCACAAATCCCACAGACACTGTTTCTATTCCTTTTGGCTAAGAGTCTATATATACATTTGGTCACCTGCACATTTAGGAAGTGGAATTTCCACCACTCTGTATTGTGTACCATATGCTGTTTGACATCATGCATAGCTGCCCTGGAATACAATAATACTTACCTGTTAAATTAAACTGATCCAAAAAACCATGTTGAGGTTAACTGTTGAGGTGCCTTCCATCACCTCATTCTACTGTCACCTGTAGAAATTGGTTTTGGCAGACAGCAGTTAATAAAGATGTATATTTACAAATCATTTTGACCCTTTGCAAATTACAGGAGAGCAGAACCAATTAGCTGTTTATTAGCTTAACGTGCCCTAAAATATGTATTACCAAGTAAGTCTTGATTTTTCAAAATGTTACTTTTCACCAAAGATGAATCTGGCAGGCAATCAAAATGCTCTGGGTGTTTGGAGAAAAATAGAAAGATCAAATCAAGAGGCAATGATGTTAATCTGAGCCAGAGGTCTGCTGCGCAGCATAATAATTGCTCTTTTCTGCTTTTTCACTCTTTGGTGAGTGATGGCTTAGCTCCTGAGCAGTTGGGAGATGGCAGGGGTTGGGTTTCAAGAGATAATAAGGTCTGGACCAAGGAAATCAGGTCTGGACCACCCCAGGATGATTTTCCAGTTAGAATCCCTGGGGCTCAGCTGCAGTGACAGCTCACTGGCTTAAGAAAGAGATAATCTTAGCATAGCACAATGGACTTCTTCCAAATTACTGTAAAGCAGAGAAGGTGTGTTGGGGTGGGTGGGGATGAAATTGTAAATGGTGTGGTCAAGGTAGGCTTCTCTGAGAAGGTGACATTTAACCCAAAATATGAAGCAGGTGAGAGGCAAAGCCAAGTGGCTCACTGGGGGATGGGCATTCCAGGCAGATGGATCAGCAAGCGCAAAGGCTTGAAGCGGGGAATGTGCCTGGAGTGTTCAAGAAAGCCAGGGTGGCTGAAATGGGGGAGTGAGGAGGAGAGAAGCAGATCAGTTTAGGATAGTGCAGGCCGGGTCATGTAGAGCCCTGAAGGGAATTGTAAGGACTTTGACTCTTAATAAACTGGAAGCCTCTGAAGGATTTTGAGCCCAAGAATGGCTCTTGAATTCACCATGGCTGAGTCTTCTTCTCAACTGCACTATTTGCTGTTTGACAGGAAGAGAACTCTGTCCCTTGACCTCCCTTGTTCTCTCAGACAAGTACTTTAGCTCTAGGCTTTTAACACTTTTGCCTCGCCCTTCTCTATGACTCGGTGCAGTGAAGTAGCACCTCATTAGCACTGTCTTCCTTCTTTCACTGAAGACAAGTCCGTGGTCCCTTATTATTTTTCAGTATTTCATTTCTCATTGTGGAAAAATAGGTTTTTTTAAATGACGTTGATGTAGAAGTTTCTAGTCCTTACCAAATCTTGCAAAGCTCCTAGAATCATCATTCTTGCTGGGCAGCCCCTTCCCAACTCACAGATTCTCACCTTTCATTGGCTCAGGCTGGTATTTACTCCTGTGCAGCTTCCCCTTCTCAGCCTGGAGATCCAACAAGAGATGCAAAGTGAGTGATTTGAATTTAGGGGGACCTACAGCCTGGGTTCCCTGCACCAAATGTACTTATTGAGCCGCTACTATGTGCTAGACCCTGTGTTGGGTCCTGAGGATTTAGCAGAAAATAAGGCAGACATGGTTCCTGTCTTTGGTAAGCTCACAACTGTGTAGGAAAGACGCTGATAGAGTGCACCCAGGTGAGCAGGGCATGGGGCTCCTGTATGTGGCAGAGAGTATCGGTCCTAGAACAGTCATGGCAGGGGTGTCACAGAAGTGTTCTCTTAGGGTTTGTGAGTCCCCCAAGGTGCCCCTGGTTCACAGTAGGTGCTCAAAACACATTTGCCAAACACACAAAAAGGCTTGTGCAGCATACACAGGGGAGAACTGACCTCTTCAAGTACTCGGGGCTGGAATAGAAATGAGCTCAGAGATACTTGTTTCTTATCCTTAAGCAGAGGGGAAAGAGAACATGGAAATAGCCTACCCCTAGAAATCCATGAAGACACATTGAGTGATTATACATTTTCTCTCTCTCTTTTTTTTTTAATCTTTAACTTTAAAAAAAAAAGAAAGAAATCCTGGATATTTTATTGTTATTATATTCTTTCGAGTGGTATATTTTTCCTATTGTATTTTGTTAATTAAAACACTTTTTATAATATGAAAGTAATGCAAAAACATGTTCTCAATATAAATGTTTAAAACAAAGTACACAAGACAAGGTTTCCTTTGTACCCTCACTATAGACTCATCTCCTTTCCTCAGAATGACAGCTACTTCTGGTTTGGTAAATAGCCAATAAATCTCTCTCTTTTTTTTTTCCTCTACCAAATCAAAGAGATTAGGGAGCATACATTTTTTCTTTCAGTTCAAATTCTTCATAAGTCACTCCACAACTTTTTAACAATTATCTTACAATTTATTAGACATTTAATCATGCACATTATTTTATAATATTTTATTTTCATTTTTTGTCATGTAAGTTGAATTTATTCAATTTTTTCAACTTGCCATTTATTTTTCAGTTAACAAAGTGTCCTAGAGATCTTCCTACAATTATCTCACAATTTATTAAGACATTTAATCATGCACGTTATTTTACATTATTTTGTTTTTAATTTTTGTCATGTAAATTGAATTTATTAGATTTTTTTCAACTTGCCATTTATTTTTCATTTAATAAGGCATCCTGGAGATCTTTCTACATCAGTAGAGAAGTCCACTTTATTCTTTTTGGTGCCTATTTAGTACTTTGAAATATTCCATTATATAATTGCTTTTTTAAAATTTTATTTTAAGTTCAGGGGTACTTGTGCAGGTTTGTTATGAAGGTAAATTTGTGTCATGGGGGATGTGTTATACAGATTACTTCATCATCAGGTGTTAAGCCTAGTACCTTTTAGCTATTTTTCCTGATCTTCTCCCTTCTCCCACCCTCTACCCTCCAGTAGGCCCCAGTGTGTGTTGTTCCCCTCTATGTGTCCATGTGTTCTCATCATTTAGCTCCCACTTATCAGTGACAACATACAGTATATGGTTTCCTGTTCCTCATGCACATTATTTTAAACATTAAATCATATGGAAGGGCTTTTCATGAGAAGCATCCACGTCAGAGATACTGCTGTCTCCCCACCCTAAGTCCAATTGCTTTTTTAAACCATTTTTTATTCAGTCCTTCTGGTAGTTACATCCTTATCCCTACATAATATGTTCATCCCTCTATTTCTTGATTTATAATCTATTGACTTCCTGCCATGATAGGTGAGGATTTAGCAAACTCACTCCTCCCTCTGTATTGATTAGCTTTCTAATTTTTTAAAATAACGCACATCTTCATTTCCTCACCTTTCGTAGACTGTCTTAGCTTCCCATTTTATAGAATGAGAAAGTTCACATTCCTCACTTCCATCTACCCATGCCTGTAGCTGTATTTTTACTTTTTCATCATCAAGATTCACTCTGGTTGCATCCTATTCTGTAACTAGACCAATGTCTTCCATGCTTGGGCTACGGATCGATTCTGAAGTTTGAAAACCGATGAACCTTATTCTGATTATGTAGATAATGTTCATTGTGAAGCTGAGTCATTTTCTGAGATTACATTTTTCTCTTTGTGGTTTCAATGTCACAATCTCTGAGTCACTCCAAGAAAAATGTCCAAATGGAGTTGCCTAATACTTAACCAGTCCATCAAAATCATGCCATATATTTATTTGCATCACACTTGGGCTTTCTGGTACAGTTTTCATTTTTCCTGGCATTTCTGATGGACTCAAGGAGTTTTTTTAACAGATCATTTAAGAGCAAAATTGGGCTTTTTAAACACAAGCCCTGTATAGGAGGAAACACTTTTCTGGAAAAATAACTCCTCTTCCTTTTTTCCTGCCTCCTCAGTATAGTATAGCAGTTAAGAACTCAACCTCACCAGCTTGGCCAATATGGTGCAACCTCTTCTGTACTAAAAATACAAAAATTAGCCAGGCTTGGTGGTGCATGCCTGTAGTCCCAGCTACTCTGAAGGCTGAGGCAAGAGAATCGCTTGAACCTCGGAGGCGGAGGTTGCAGTGAGCTGAGATCACACCATTGCACTCCAGCCTGGGCGACAGTGCGAGACTCCATCTCAAAAAAAAAAAAAACAAAAAAAAAAAACTCAACCTCTACTACCAGATTGCTTGGGCTCAAATCTGAGATCAGCCACATATGGCTGTGCAACTCTGACACATTACTTAACCTCTCTGTGTCTGTTTCCTCACCTATAAAAAGGGGGGATTGTCATTATACCTACTCATAGGGTTGTTATGGGTACTTAATATTTGTTCAACTCTTAGAACAGTGCCTGGCACATGTAAGTACTAATTTGGTGTTGGTTATTACCATTTTCCTGGGATAAATAGATTGGACAGAATCTACTCATCTGCATTGCTCCACCAACAGCAGGGAATCACTCAGGTCATGGTTACCACTGCTCTGTTAGTCCCCCAGAATCTTTAGGAGCCTTAGGGAAGACTGAGGCAAAGCCAGTGATGCAGTTGATGGAGCCCCTACCATGGAACAAGATTTATGGCATATGATGACAAATCTTGGGCCTGACTTCATACTGGTTGATGAAGGTAGTCAAAACCTTAAGGAATAGATGTTCTAGAATATCCCCGAGATGAGCTACATCGGGGAGCCATTAGCACTTAAGTTAACAACAGCAAGCGCCTACTGAGTGCTCACATACATCATCTCACTTTGTCCTCCCAAGAGCCTCGTGGGACGTTAGACTCGTTTTATCAATGAGTAAATGGAACTCAGAGAAGTAATTGTCCCAAATTCTCGAGACAGTAAGTGGTAGAGGTAGAATACAAACTTAGGTATTTTAAATCGGAAAACCGCTGTCCTCAATCCTGATGTTATAGCTCAACATCCTCAAAGGGTGGTCTATTAATTCCTAGGATAAGAGGGGGACTTCCTAAGATCCTTTTAAGGGATTGGCAAGGTTGAAACTATTTCAGAATAATAATAAGATATGGCTGGGCAACGTGGTGCACATCTATAATCCCAGCTACTCAGGAAGCTGAAGTGAGAGGATTGCTTGAGCCCAGGAGTTTGAGACCAGCCTGGGCAATACAGCAAGACTCCATCTCCAAAAAAAAAAAGATATGATTTGCTTTTTTCAATGTGTTAAAATTTGCACTTATGAGGCAAAAACAATGGTAGGTAAAACTGTTGGAGCCTGACCACAAAGGAAGGCTGTGGCTCAGTACTCATTGTATTCATCACCACTCACTTGCAGGGGAAGAAAATGCTAGCCTCACTTAAAAATGTCCCTGATGAAGCCATAAAGAGGCATCAATTTTATTAAATCTCAGACCTTGAGTGCTAGATTTATACAGTCTGAGTAACCAAATGAGAACTATGCATTGAGTACCTCAGCCAGAGTATGCTAGTGGTCTCAAGCAAAGGCACTTATGCGACTGAGTTGCGAGCTGAACTAGCTGCTTTTTTCCATGAAACACCATATTTACTTGAAAGAATGACAGGTAAATTATGGTTATTCAGGCTTGGGTATTTGGCAGACATTTTCTCAAAAATGAGCTAAGTGAGCCTGTCACTTCAAAGAAAGCAACTGACAGTATTTGTTGCCAAGGATAAAAATTCAAGGTTTCAAGTGATAATTATGATTTTGGAAAACTTGTGTCCCTGTGAGCCAATGTGATTTGTTTTTACACTGTGTAATGAAATGTGCCAAATTTAGAAGACCTGCATAACTCAGTGAAACAATACTTTCCGAATGACCAATGAATGATGTTACAAAGTTATGCCTGGCTAAAAGACCCATTCAACGTGCAGGATTAGAAAAATGGATTTTCATGTAGTAGAGCATGAAAAGTTAATATGGTTTCAGATTCCACATTGCAACTAGCCTTTAAGGAACTACCACTTGTCGAGTTTTGGTGTAGTATCAAAGAATATTCACAGTTATTTCAAAAGCTATTCAAATACTGCTCTATTTGTCAAACTTGTGTGAGGCTAGGTTTTCTTCATAAACTTCAAGTCTAACAACAGTGGGCAACAGATCAAATGCAAAAGCAGATATAAGAATCTATCTCTCTTCTCTTGAGCCAGACATTAAAGAGATTTTCAAAAGCGTAAAAACAATTCTTCTCACTATTTTTTGTTCTGGAAAATATAGTTATTTTTATACAAATATTTATGTTAACATGCAATTGAATTTATCATTATTTTCAAATGAATTTTAAAATAACTATTTCACTATTTTAGGGGGGTTTTAATTTCTGATATAGGAAATATTAAATAGATACAACCCACATAAACAAAAGTTCAATAATTTGCAAAAGTGTAAAGGAGTCCTAAGACCAAAAAATTTGAGAGCCTCTGCTACAGCTGTATTTTAATTCTGTTGACTAACTTCATATAGTTGAGGAGAGAAACTAAAAGAGCTATTTCCATACTTTCATCAGAAGATTTCCTTCTAGTTCTGTCTTTTCTTCTCCAGTGGGAAATGAAACAGTCCCTTGGTGGGTTCTGGTATCTTTTTGACTTCTCTTTAGTTGCAGCTAAGCTAAGTCATTGTTCCACCATCACTGGGATGGAAGAGGCAACATGAGATTTCAGCAGGCACTGAAAAAGGTGTCTTTGATTAAAATGCAACCCTGCTGATATAAAGTTGGACAGAGCCTGGAGGATTCATAGCATCTTGTGTCTTTGTTCATGAAAACTGACAAAGCTTAGCCACCACTCCACAAAAAGTTGAGATCTGTGGTGATATTCTTCATATGTGAGATGAAGCAAAGTGCAAAAAAACTGAGATTTTTGACCAAGTTTTTGGTGGATTGGAATTTAAATGTATAAATTTTCCACCTTCTAACCTATAATTAAAGACACTGTGGGTGAGGATGGAGAATTTGGGAAATGGAAGGGTCTAGTGGGCAATCACTGAACAAACATTTATCTTGGCCAGTGCCAGGGCTTGGTTCTTGGAAATGGAGAAATGGGCACTTGAAGGGAGGCTGGATTATGTGGCCACGAATGTTTTTGTTTGTTGTTTGGCCAACCTCACATCCATTCCTCCTTTTTCTGGTCAAAGGAGGGGTTGCCATGTCACCCTGTCCTCAGTCCATGTGGTTTGGGTGGAACTGACTCCAGCCTAGCAGGACCAGCATATGACCTAGGAATGACCTTGAGGATTATCATTCGGCATCTGGAGTTTATACTAAGGCAGTAGCTCTCGACAGGAACATTTGGTAATGTCTGAGACACTTTTGGTTGGGGGATCAGGGAAGCACAACCAGATCTAGCAGGTGATATCAGGGACGCCGCTAAACCCCTTGCAATGCGCAGGACAGCCCCTACAACACAGCATTACCCAGTCCCTAATGTCAGGAGTACCGAGGTTGAGAATCCTGATCAAAAGGTAAAGGGAGCTGAGTGCGGTGGCTTACACCCGTGATCCCAGCACTTTGGGAGGCCGAGGTGCGCGGATCACTTGAGGTCAGGAGTTCGAGACCAGGCTGGCCGAAATGGTGAAACCCCGTCTCTACCAAAAATACAAAAATTGGCCAGGTGTAGTGGCACATGCCTGTAGTCCCAGCTACTCTACTCAGGAGGCTGAGGCAGGAGAATCGCTTGAACCCAGGATGCGGAGGTTACAGTGAGCAGAGATTGCACCACTGCACTCCAGTCTGGGTGACAGAGCAAGACTCCATCTCAAAAAAAAAAAAAAAAAAGTAAAGGGAAGCCATGAAAGAGTTTTAAGCAGAAGAGCAATAGGATCTAAATTGATGTATGTATGGTATTTGTTTGTTGTTGTTTACTTTTTATAAAATAGAGATGGAGATCTTACTATGTTGCCCAGGCTGGTCTCCAACTCCTTGGCTCAAGTGATCCTTCTGCCTTGGACTCCCAAAGTGCTGGGATTACAGACATGAGCCACAGCACCTAGCTAACTGATGACTTTAAACTGTGGTCAGGTCCCAGGTAGAAACAGATTTTTGAGACGTAAGAAGGGAGCAGGAGATAAGCCAGTGGGCTATTGCAATAACTTTAGAGAGAGAAGACCCTTGGAGTATGGAAGGTAGTATGATGTGGAAGGAGGTATGATCTGGGAAATGCACATTTGGAAATCATCAGTGGTAAAAGGCAGAATCTTGAATGTGAATAAGAGCTTCCAATAAGACTGTAAAAAATAAGAAAATAGGACCAAAGACAGAGCCTTGGGGGAACATCCATGCATAACAAGTAAAATAATAATAATATCTAACACTGGGCAGGGCACAGTGACTCACACCCGTAATCCCTGCATTCTGGGAGGCTAAGACAGGTGGATTACAAGGTCAAGAGATTGAGACCATCCTGGCCAACATGGTGAAATCCCATCTCTACTGAAAATACAAAAATTAGCTGGGTGTGGTGGCACATGCCTGTAGTCCCAGCTACTTGGGAGGCTGAGGCAGGAGAATTGCTTGAACCTGGGAGGTGGAGGTTGCAGTGAGCCGAGATTGCACCACTGCACTCCAGCCTGGCGACAGAGGGAGACTCTGTCTAAAAATAATAATAAATAAATAAATAAATAAAATCTAACACTGTTTGAGAGTTTATGTGCCAGCTTCTATGCTAAATAACTTACACGATTACATCTGACCCTTTTTAACAACCCTTCATATCTCCATTTCACAGATTAAAAACCTTAGGCACAGAGAGGTTAAGTAACTGGCCCAAGGTCACACATGGAGCTATTATCTGAGACAGGATTTGAACTCAAATGATATAACTCCATGGCTTTCCTTCTTATCTACCAAGCTGACTCCTTGAATGGAGAAAAATCTTCCAAAAGGAAAATTACCTCTTAAGAGCTGAAAGATGAGCAAAAGTTAGAGAGATGAAGGGATGGGTTGTTGTCCCGGGAAAAGGGAACAGCAAATACCAAGGTCTGGAGGCTAGATGGAGCATAAAGAGAGCCTAGGACAGAAGCCAAAACATACAGTAATGGCTGGAGCAGGAGTGGGCTGAGTGGGGAGAATGGCAAGACTGGAGAAGTAGACAGGGGCCGTGTCATGCAGATCTTTGGGAGGCACGTTAAGTAAGACTTTATTCTAGGGGAAACAGAAATTCTTTGGAAAGATTAAAATAGAAAATTAAAGATCTGACGTAATCAGGTTTTCATTTTTGAGGCTCATTCTGGCGGAAGTGTGGGACATGGACTGGGGAATGGAAAAGGAATAGTTTTATTTTTATTTTTCTTGAGACAGGGTCTCACTCTGTTGGCCGGGCTGGAGTGCAGTGGTGCAATCTCGGCTTACTGCAGCCTTGACTTCCTGGGCTTAGGTGATCCTCCCACCTCAGCCTCCTGAGTAGCTGGGACTACAGAGGTGCACCGCTACACCTGGCTAATTTTGTTTATTATTATTATTATTTTGTAGAGAGAGTATCTCACTATGCTGCCTAGGCTAGTCTTGAACTCCTGGGCTCAAGCAATCCTCCTGCCTCAGCCTCCCAGAGTGCTGGAACTACAAGGGTGACCCAGTTCGCCCAACTGAGGAATATTTGCAGACTGGTTAAGAGACATTAATGCAATAATCCCATAGCAATAATAGAATCCTATATAAGGGAGATGGACTCATTGGCCATCACTTTGGTAGATGCTTGAAAGCTGGAATCAACTTAATTTCCTGACTGTTGCATGTAAAGGTAAGAGAGAATGAGCTCAAGGCACATCTAGGTTTCTGCCTTTAACCTTTGGATGGACAGTGATCCCCTTTAGGATGAAAAGTTTAGTGATGGGGAGAGGGTGAGTCTGGTTTTAAAAGTGTTGAGTTTGCAGCTTCCTTTGTAACACTCAAGTGGAGGTGTTAAAAGGGCCGCTGAATGCACTGCCCAAGAACTCATGAGGGATATCTAGTCTAATTACTTCCATATATATGGAGCTATGCTTTTTTGATCAGGAAACAGTCAAACATGTACATTCCAACCACTAATTCTAACAGAGGCAACCGGTGAAAGGTCATTAGCTAAGGTTCCGTGTGACAGATGAACTGATGTTAAAAGTCTGAATGCAACACCAGGAGGTCACTGCCAGTCTAATTAGGCACAGATAGAGTTTATTGGGTCGTGGAAAGCCAGTTGTGTGTAACCGTCATTTCAGCCCTCTCTCCTTCCATTTCTGACTTGTCATCTGGTTTTAAGTGAACATTAAAGTTTCCTTTCATAAATGGTGACCTTTAGAATTTGAAATGATGGTTTCTGGCTAATTTCCATTCCAGCCCTGGGGCTGCTGCTTGAAGCTCTTGACTAGTTTCTAGCCCTGTGTTCTCAACCATAATTTGGAAAAGGGCAATGTTGTTTTCGTCCTTAAAACGCCCATCATTCGGATGAAGGATCGTCATTTCTAATTGTGCAACCACACACTGTTTGGGGATGAAAAATGTACTAGGTGCTGAGCTTATGCTAATAACAAGACCAGACCCAGCCAGGCGCAGTGGCTCATGCCTGTAATCCCATCACTTTGGGAGGCTGAGGTGGGTGGATCACTTGAGGTCAGGAGTTCGAGACCAGCCTGGCCAATATGGTGAAACCCTGTCTCTACTAAAAACACAAAAATTAGCTGGGCGTGGTGGTGCATGCCTGTAATCCCAGCTACTTGGGAGGCTGAAGCATGAAAATCACTTGAACCTGGGAGGCAGAGGTTGTAGTGAGCCGAGATCAAGATTGCACCACTGCACTCCAGCCTGGGTGACAGAGCAAGAGTTTGTCTCAAAAAAAAAAAAAAAAAAAAAAAAGACCAGACCGTTTATTCTGGAGATTTTGGGAACATTTTGTCTGAGGTCACAATAGAACAATAATATGGTTGTATAACCTAGAATTCATTCAGTTGGAAGTGACAGAAAACTAAATTCTAATTGACTTAAGAATGGGGAGACAGAAAGAGAGAAAAAGCCCTATTGCTCATATACTGAAATAACAGAGGTATGGCTATATGCGGGGACCAAATTCACAAGGACACTGTATCTCTCACCATTGTTTCCTCTGCTTCTTCTCTGTTGACTCCATTTCAGAGTAATGGATGGGATACTCAGGGATTCAAGATGGGGAACAGCAGCTCCCAGGGCTATATTCTGTTTTGTTGTTGTTGTTTGTTTGTTTGTTTGAGACAGGGTCTCACTCTGTCACCCAGGCTGGAGTGCCGTAGTAGAATCTCAGCTCGCTGTAATCTCGACCTCCTGAGCTCAAGTGATCCTCCTGCCTCAGCCTCTGGAGTAGCCAGGGAACTACAGGCATGCACCACCATACCCAGCTAAATTTTTTGACTTTTTTTTTTTGGTAGAGACAGGGGTCTTGCTATGTTGCCCAGGCTGCTCTCCAACTCTTGAGCTCAATTGATCCTCCCCCTACCTTAGCCTTCCAAAGTGCTAGGATTACAGGCATGAACCACTATGACCAGGAGGGCTGTGTACTTGAATCCAGCATAACAGCATGAGTTTCTTTTCCAGAGGCAAAAGTCTCATTGCATTTTATTGGCTTCAATTAGGTCATATGTCCATTATTGAACCAATCACTGCAGACAAAGGGTCCCCGAAAGGTTGATTGGCTTAGGCCTGAGTCACGTGATTCAATCTTGAAGTAGGAGGGGCATAGATCCCCAAAGATAATTATGATGATAAATGACAACCATTATTGACCAGTTGCTACATGTTCTGACCAGCATGAATGCTTTTTTCGTGTGCTTCTCATGACAACACTTTGAGATAGGTGCTATTGTCATCACTCTTTTAACGTTGAGGAAAACAAAACTATAGCAAGATTAACTAACTTGCCCAGGACCGACAGCCAGTAAATAACAAAACCAAGGTGTAGAGAGAGGTGACTGTAACCTTTCCAAAGACCCACAGATGGTAAAAGATGGAGCCACTATGCAAATTCAGGCAGCCTTTCACCAGAGTGTAGGCTCTAAACCACTACTCTATGACACCATCCTGAGTTAGGGTAGGGTTACCAGATGTCCACTGCAACGCAGCAGTTTTCAGTGACAGCAGGCTTTCAAACATGACTTTATTTTTCCTCACAACAACTTTAAAGGAGACCCGACCGGGAAGCACGATCTCCATTTTCCCATGAGGAAATGGAGGTTCAGGTTGAGTGCTTTGCTCTAGGTCAAACATGAATTAAACAGTGGAACAGAGACTAGAATCCTATGGCCGCCTTTTCTAGTCATGCAGTAATGTAGCTTGAGCGCTTAGGAAACGTTTGGGAGGCCACACAGACTGAAGAGTCACACTGGGCTTATTGCGGGCTAATCCTCCACCCACACTTATCCACTTGTGCGGCTTCTTCATTACTTCCTTTTTTTTTTTTTAAACGGAATCTTACACTCGGATAATTTGTGTATATTTAGTAGAGATGGGGTTTCACTCTGTTGGCCAGGATGATCTCGATCTGTTGACCTCGTGATCCGCCCACCTCAACCTCCCAAAGTGCTGGAATTACAGGCATGAGCCACCGTGCCCAGCCTCATTAACTTTCCTTCTGTGATTGTTATAGGTGGACATGAGAGTCCCAAGAACGTGGACACAAAGTTGCTCTCAAAGATGTAAACTGTAAATTAAGCTGTTTATGAAACAATTTATCCACGTTGAATTTACCTTTTATTAAACTCAGACACACATATGTATGTATATGTGTATACATATTTATGTACATATGAACATATCTATTTCTGAACCTTCTATTCTTTTCTTTTAATCTATATTTCTATTTCTGAGATTCTACACACTCTCTTTTGAATTCATGTGCTTCACAAGATTCTTTTTTTGTTTTTTGGACAGAGTCTCACTCTGTCTCCCAGGCTGGAGTGCAGTGGCCTGGCCTGATCTCAGCTCACTGCAACCTCCACCTCCTGGGTTCAAGCAATTCTCCTGCCTCAGCCTCCCAAGTAGCTGGGACTACAGGTGCACACCACCATTCCCGGGTAATTTTTTGTATTTTTAGTAGAGACGAGTTTTCACTGTGTTAGCCAAGATGGTCTCGATCGCCTAACCTTGTGATCTGCTTGCCTTGGCCTCCTGAAGGACTCAATACTAGAAGAGCGCCTTCTTCTCTGCTATCCTTCTTTACCAAACATCTGAGTTCTTATCATTTGGTTTTGCTAGCAAATATTCTAACTATTCTGTCTCATTGTAGGATATTGAGATATTAATTTTAAAATGTAATTAACAGGCTTATTTGGGAATGATCGACATCTTTAGGATATTGAGACTTCGCATTTAACAACATAATGTATCTCCCATTTATTAAAATCTTCTTTTAGGTTGTTTAGAGAAATCTTAACATTTTCATCATTCAAGCCTATGCATCTATTGTGTACATTATTTCTAGGTAGTTTTTATGTTTTTTGTTTACTCACATTAATGGATGGTGTTTTCCAGGATATTTTCTAAGAGGCTAGTATGACTGGTAGGTGAGAAAGCTATTACAGATCTATAATTATTTATAAGCTGCTTGAACATTCTTACTTAGTGAATTTCATTTGCTTTTCCAGGTAAAACAATCATAACATCTGCAAATAATAGGTGGAATATTTTTGCCTCCACTTTTTTTTCTTTGACTGAAGTTTAGAGAATAGTGTTAAATAATGGTAGTGGTCAAAGACCACCTTGCTTTTAGCTGTAATGGATATCTCATGAACAGTGTTTCTCAAAGTGTGATCACAGATCTCGGTTTACATCCCAGAATTTATACAAACCTGGTCATCTGCATTTTAGCAAACTCCCTAAGGTGATTCCTGTCTACACTCAAGTGAATAACTCCTCCAGGTTTTCACCAAGAAGCATGGTATTTGTTATTGGTTTAGATAGGTTTTCTTTATCATACTATCAAGATTTCTGTCAATGTCCACTTAACTAAGAATTCCCATCAGGTATGGAGATTTACATTTTTGATAGTTATTGAGATTATAAGTTTTATCCTCTTTGGATTATTAATAGGGTAAGTTATGTTAATGTCTTTCGTATTGGCCTTTCTACCTTTCATTCTTATAATAATTCCTTTTGGGGCAATTTTGTTTTTGATTGTATAATGCTGAAGTGGATTTGCTAACATATAATTTAGGATTTTTCTATACACTTGTCAATGAAATTTTCCTGTGGTTTGTCTTTTGTGTGTTATTTTTGTTAAGGTTTTAAATCTGAGTTGCGGTAACTTGCTGAAATGATTTTCTATGCTCTGAAATAGACTAAATAGCATGGAAATTTTCATATAAAACCCTCTGGGCCTGGGGCCTTTTTGAAAGTAGTTCTTTGACAATTTCTCTCACATCTTATTTGCCTATTTTGAGCCTTTTTCTAGAGTCATTTTTACTCATAGAAATGTAAAAATGTTTTAGTCTAGGGTTAAATAGTGTGATTGCTTATAATTCATTTTATTCCAAATCTGTCTTTTTTCTTCTCTATTTTCTCAACTTGTCTCCGACTGCATTTATAATTGGTGTCATTTCTTCCAAGATGGTGCCATTAAGTTGTCTTTCAGTCTTTAACTTTTAGGTTTTGAATTTTCATCTCTTTCTTGGGTTTCTTAATGTATTTTTTAAGAATCTTGGAAGAGCAATTTGAAGGCAGCCAACCAAATGCCATTATGAGCAATACATTTTTGCTCTTGGGATTTTTTTAACCTAGATTTAAAAATCTCATCTTGTTGAGGTTGGCATGCTTTAATGTGAAGAGGTCCTTTTGGCATCCTAACTACTATCCAGCAAAGTCACTAGACCTCGCAGATAAGTGTCATCTGCCAATGTGATTAACTAGCTTGCCATTTTGGTTCTCAGCAAGTCATTGATAAAATCATTGAAGGGGAAAGGTTGAAGGACATAGCAGTGTGGTAAAGAATTAGCCAAACATCTAGTAGTCTTGTCTTACAAACACAGGAATTATAACTTGGTTTTATGGGATTCCCATCAAAAAAAAAAAAAAAAGAAAGACACTCAGAGTGTGACCTCACCTCAGGTTCACTATGCTCAATGAAAAACCACATTCCCTAACACAAGCTGAGTAAATGTTGTTCACTCCTGTGATTCACACTCATCAGGACTTACTCTGGGAAAGGCACTGTGCTGGTCTTGGACGTGCAAAGCCAAAAAATATGGCCCCTGCTCTCAGGGACTTTGCATATGAGGAAAATCCTTTCTTAGCTATGTGGTCTCCAATATCACAAGGTTACCAAAACCATTTTTTAAATAATTGCAAACACAGATTGTTTAAGGTCTCTCTTCAAAGATTATAAGAGTAACCCGTTTACTGCACCTAGTGAGACTATTCAAAAATAGAAAAAGAAGTAATAATACCCCCTACTCTATTCTCACCCTGCCCCAACTCATCCCCTTCCAAAGTAACTACCGTTAACTGCTAAATGTGCTTCCTTTCCTACCCTCAAAACGTACACACATACATGCACAGGAGAAGGAGCATCATTTGCTTTTGTTTAAATTAAATCAGAGCCAGACACAATGGCACACACCTCTAGTCCCAGCTATTTAAGAGGCTGAGGCAGGAGGAGTTCAAGTCTAGCCTGGGCAACATGGTGAGACCCTGTCTCTAAAAATAATAGTAATAATAAAAGTTTTTAAAGTGTAAAATAAGTAATTATATATCTAATTGAAGATAATATGTATATATAATTTAAAAAGTATATATAATTAAATCACACTGTCGATGTTAGCCTGCCAGTTGCTTTTCAATACACCATGGCTATCCTTCTGGTTCTATAGGTACTGATTTTTTTCTTTCTTTTCTTTTTTTTTTTTTTTTGAGATAGGGTCTCGCTCTGTCACCCAGGCTGGAGAGCAGTGGCGCGATCTCAGCTCACTGCCACCTCCACCCACTAGGCTTAAGCAATCCTCTCACCTCAGCTTCCCAGGTAGCTGGGACCACAGGCGCATGCCACCACACCAGCTATTTTTTTGTAGTTTTGGTAGCGATGGGGTCTCCCCATGTTTCCCAGGCTGTTCTTGAACTCCTGAGCTCAAGCAATCCCTAACTTGATTTTTTCAATAGCTACATAATGTTCCATAGAATAGAATCACTTCAGTTTATTCAACATGCCTTTGTTCATGGACATTCATCTTGTTTCCAGTTTTTATTGCTGTCATTGTCATTCTTGTCACATGTTGCATGACAACATATGTTCTTATATACTAGTGCTTTTATTTTTCTGGCTAGATTACCAAAAGCAATATTGCTGGATCAATAAGGGTATGGGGTTATAATCTTAATAGATATTGACAGGTTATTATCCTAAAAGATTGTAGCAAGGGGAGTGATTATCAGGCAAATGTCTTGATTATTAAATGAAGGACACACACACACACACACACACACACATATATATATATCATATATATATATATTCAAAGATTTTGCTTTGAAAGGAGATCCCCTAGAATGGATTGGAAGCACAAATAGCAGCCCTGAATTTCAGTCATTCCTAGTAGTGTCCTCTGTTGCCATCGCCATGCTGGCCCCCAGAGGACACTGCTCTGAGAACGCTAAAAACAGCAGCAAAGCCATTTATTGTGTCCCACCCAGGTAATACACTAGTACCTTAGGTACATGTCTTCCGTCTTACTCTCATAGTTATGTAAGAGATAGGTGCTATTACCATCCTTATTTTACAAAAGTGGAAACTGAGGCCTGGAAAGTTTGTCACTTGCTCAAAGTGACGCAACTGGTAGGTGGTATAGCTGGGATTTGATTCCAGTTCTGCCTGCCTCCAAGACCTACGCTCTTAACGACTGTGTGGGATTTCCTCCAAGGATACCGTCACTGAGACTTTCATTAGAGCCCCAGGCAGAGCCACACCTTGCCTCCTGCTGTGAAGGAGGAAGGCTCCTGTGCAAGGTCCTTGCCGCCAGGCTGACCTCCAGGAAGTACCTTCCCTATTCAGAGATAACTGAGTGAGCATGTGGGCACCCCAGAACACAATGGATGGGATGGCATGCTTGCTTGCTCCTGCAAACAACTCAGAAGCTAGCTTTCTTCTCTCCTTTCTCTCTCCCACTCTCTTTCTCTTGCTTTCTCAAAACAAACTGAAGCAATTAAGAGACACTGGTCACCCTTGGTTTGGCCTTTCCCCATTCTGTTGTGATAGGCAACAGGTACGCATGATTAAAAGTGTAGGCTCTGGGCCATGCATGGTGACTCACACTTGTGATCCAAGCACTTTGGGAGGCCGAGGCGGGTGGATCACTTGAGGCCAGGAATTCGAGACCAGGCTGGGCAACATAGCAAAACCCCATCTCTACTAAAAATACAAATATTAGCTGGGCCTGGTGGCACTCACCTGTAGTCACAGCTAATCAGGAGGCTGAGGCATGAGAATCACTTGAACCCAAGAGGCGGAGGTTGCAGTGAGCCGAGATCAAGCCACTGCACTCCAGCTGGGGCAACAAAGCGAGACTCTCCAAAAAAAAAAAAAAAAAAAAGGAAGAAAAAGAAAAAAAAAATGTAGACTCTGGAGTCAGAATGACCTGGGTAGGAAACCAACTTGTTAAACCTTCAGCAATTTTCCTGAGACTCTCCAAGACTCATGGTCTCCCTGGCAACAGAACCATCCTACCCAGTGTCTTGTCTTACCTGAGAATGCATCATCATCTCCTTGGGGACAGGTCAATGTCTATGCCTCTTGGCTTACAGGTCCTGAGGGAACCTCTATAACACTAAGCAAAGGTTGATTCTCAATAATTAAATTCAATGGTGTTTTAAGGTAAGATTGAGGCCAGGTACAGTGGGCTTATGCCTGTAATCCCAGCACTTGGAGAGGCCGAGGGGAGAGGATTGCTTGAGACTAGGAGTTTGAGAACAGCCTGAGCAACATAGTGAACCCGAGTCTTTCCAAAACATAAGTAAATTAAATAAATAAAGTAAGTAAGTAAGGTTGAGACCTGAAAAGGGAAGAAAGAAAATGAATTCACATGTATTGAGGGCCTACTTCTGTGTTAGGCAGTATTCTGGAATTTAATAAACATTAACTCAACTCTTTGAAATAGGCGTAATTATTCCCATTGTATAGAAGACAAAAATGAAACTTAGCAGCATCAGGATAACTTTGCTAGGATTGCAGAGCTAGAAGTGATGGTGATGGTGATGGTGATGGTGATGATGATAATGATAGTGATGATGATGATAATAGCTTTCTGTTTATTGAACATCTTCTATGAGTGGCACTATGCTAACAGCTTCACATGCACTCTCTCATTTAATCCCAAGCACAACCCAATAAGTTAGTCCCTTTTATAGATGAGAAACCTGAGGTCCCAAAAGGTTACAAGGGCACTCAGTTAGTAAGTATTGGACCTGGGAATTGAACCCAGGTTTTTCTCCTTCCTTAGGAGTATCGCTCGTGCTTTGGAAGTGAAGGCCTTGGTGGCAGTTATTCAAATTTAAACATTCAGCTGCCTGGACCACTTCTAAATGTGGTGTCATGCAACTGTACAGAAGGCCAGGCCTTTGGAAAAAGAAAACAGATTTTATATCTACTGTCTTTTCCCCTTCATCTTCTGGGCTCTGTGGGCAATAGTTTCATGGCAAGATTCTGCATCCTGTCTCATGGCCACACATACTGTCTGTGCTTGGCACAGCCTGCTGTCTCCATGGAACATCTGCGGCTCACTACTAGTGTGAGTGATTCTATTTTCCACACATCCCCAGCTCGTTAGAAAGCAAGGCTCCCATTTGTTGGTGGATGTTTGCAATCTGAAGCTGAAACACTGCAAAATGATGATTGAGCTGATTCACACTAGGAGAGAGTCTGTGACACATAAACACACACACACACACACACACACCAGACACTTAATTAGTGAGAACTGATCTCTTGCCTGACCTGAAGGGTATGGTGACTTTTTCCATCATGCGGCCATGTGGCTTCTGAGGACAGTTACCCAACTGGAAGCTTTGCATGCAGTCATGGTGGTCTTTCCTGGCCAGGGATGCAGCTCAAATGTCCTCTGGGCCACCCAATTGAAGTGTCAGCATCTTAAGGAAACCGCATGTCTACAAAGGTAGTAAGAAAGTGGAAGTAAACAGCATCCCTCCCAAACGACCCAGGGCTCTGCAGAAAGGAAAGAGCTTCCCCTCTCCTTCCCGATGAATTCGCCTTAGAACTTCCTCAACGTTCCTCTCAGATTTTCCTCTTCTGGTCTTTGGCCAAATGCAATCTTTAAAAATACACATTTGGCAAGAATCTGCAAAAGAAAAAAAAAAAAGAAAAAGAAAAAAAATCCCTTCAGATTGTTATGTGATGGTGGGGAAAAGACACATTTTTTTAAACTCTAAAAAAAGCACCTTAGCATTTTGTAGGCTTTTATAATTCTGAAACAGCTGAAATGCTAAAACTTTCAAGTTGGCAGGATTGAAACTGAAATCTGCAAAGCAGGTTCAATTTGACAGGAGTAGGAGCCTTGCATTTCAGAGGGTTTTGATGAGCTTGTGGGTCTGAGCCATCAACACAATGGGTGGCCACCCACTTGCAGGGAGCCCTTCATGCCTGGGTCTCCATCCCCATTCTAGCTCCCTACAGGGTTCACTCTGAGAGATGCTCTGGGGTAGTCCATGAAGGTACCCCATTTGCCTTCCTAGCTGTGGGTAGCACAGCACGCTCTGTGGCACTAGACTGCCTGGATTTGCAGATCCACTACCTGAAGGACTTTATTCACTTAATTCCTGTGTGCCTCAGTTTCCTTATTTGTAAAATGGGGATAATCACTACCTGATAGGATTGCTGTGAAGATCAGGCGAGTTCATCCTTATAAAAGGCCCTAGAACAGTGCTAAGAATATGAAAAACTTTCAGTAATGTTGGCTATTACTTATTAGCAGAGAAAGCTCAACTTGGAAGAAAGATTTGGGGCAGTGGCTAAGAACAGCAGGAAGCCAAGTCCTGGAGTATTACAGAGGCTTGCGCCCTAGCAGGGCAGGCATAAGGTTAAGACAAAGACCATCATAGACAGAGAAGACCTACTATATGTCAGAAACTCTACTGTAACACTCAAAGTCAACATTACTAATTAACATTTTGAATCAACAAACATTTCATATATTTGTGGATTTATACCCATCTTTTATTTATTTGTTTTTTTATTTGTTTATATTCATCTTGTTCCAGAAAGAATTGGAGAGAGTGTCTAGTTATACAAAATAAGACAAAATAGGATAATTTCTAAATTGGACTAAGGAAGAAAACATGGGAACAGAGCAGAGCCAAGCATGATGCTGAACATGCATATCATAAAGAACTACATTCCTGATAAGGGTAGTTCATAAGGTTGACCGTAAACTGAGCTTCCTGGCAGCCCCTTCACGAAGAGAAGCCTGTTCAATTCCATATTTGCAGTGTTTATAACACTGGAAAAGTTGGTGGCTAAGCAGACTTGCAGTCAGGCTGACCTGAGCTGGCAAGCAGGCTCCAAGATGTGTCCCTGGACAAATGACTTAATGTCTCAGAGTTTGAGTGTCTTCACCTCTAATGGGGATAAAATTGTAGTCATGGGTTATTTATTTATTTATTTAGATAGAGATGGAGTCTCGCTATGTTCCCCAGACTGATCTTGAAGTCCTAGGCTCAAGTGGTGTACCTACCTTGGCCTCCCAAAGTGCTGGGATTACAGGTGTGAGCCACTACACCCAGCCTATGGGTTGTTTTTTTAGAGTAAAGTGAAAGAATATATGTGAAGTGTTTATCACGGCCTACGTACTTAACAAGTGTTTGATAAACACTAGATAAAATAAAATTTAGAACATGTAGATACACACAACTTTCCTTGATACCAAGATCAGATAGGGATGGCTTCCTTCCTAAGAGGATGATGTGTCACATAATAAAATATAGTGTCTCCAGTGAAGGCAGATGGCAAACTCCCCAAAGCAATACTGCACTGTTCTTGGGAGCATGAAAGAAGGATGGGTTGCATCCTAGCTCTGCCACTTACTAGCCAGGTGACCTTGGGCATGTCACTTCACTCTCCTGGGATGCACATTCTTCTGCTGTAAATGGGCAAGATAATAGTACCTCCCTCATAGGGTTCTTATGGAAATCAAATGAGGTTATGGCTGATAAAGCATTTAGCTTAGTTTTGGCACATAGTTAGCCCTCAATAGCCACGTTGTTGTTGCTTGTTGTTGTTGATTACACACTGTGAGTCATCACTGCTGGTCTGGCTTGATCCAAAGGGACACTCAGAATGACTGGAAGAGTAGGGACCTGCACATCCCACAACCCTTGCTGGATATTGCTCCTGTCAACAATACTTCTGGCAACTACCATATGACAATGCACTTGAAGACTGTGCGGTCCAACAAACTTTCAAGTGCAGCGATTTTATCCTGCCAGTTGAGTATGAACCACATAGGCTTAAAAAAATCAAGTGAGGGGTGGAAACTATATTATTGAGAGCAAGAAGATGGAGGTGGGGGCATATAAGGACCTGGGGCTGAATGAAAGGCCACTTCAGGATTCTTCTTAGAAAAATTTTGTTGGTGGAAGGCAGTTATTGTGGGTTGAGTTACTATAGCCAGATGGTTAGGAGCATGGTATAGTGAGTCAGACAGTCCTGGGTTCAAGACCTCCTTCCCCCACTTACTGGGTGTGTGATGTAGGACAAGTTACTTAACCCCTCCTGCCTCAGTTTCCTCATCTGTTAAAGAAAGGAGAGAGAGAAAATAATGGCACCATCCGTGTATGGCTGGGATAAGGATTAAGTGAATTAGCACACATGAGATGCATTCTACGGGGCATACAGGAAAGCCAATCTAAGTGTTAGCTATTAACGTCAAGGAATGAATGGAAGATGAGAAACTGAAGACAGTATGGGGATGAAGGAAAGGGTTAAGGAGGATGGAAGTTTGAAGGGAGGCAGAACGGAGCAACTTTGTTTTAGGATGAGCCAGTGGGGAGAGAGAGAGAGAGACTGAGGTAAGTGAGGGGTGGTTATTGACGAGGTAAGAACGTTAGGGTAACAGATGAGACTGGCTTCTGGGCACAGGTGGAGCGGATAACCGGGCAGGCGGAGGAGGAAGGCATTCAGGATGAGCAAGGTGGCAGCTAAGTTTAGCGCTGGAAGGGAGGGATTTGAATATGCATGTACTGTCCCACTGTGCCAAACAGCTCGATTTTTCAATCGTTCCTCAAGGGGAGTCCTGAATGGCGAAACAGAGTCAGCAGGAATCCCTGTGTTGAGTGCAGTCTGTCTGTTCCTTCTGGACTCAGGCCACTGGCTTCCCCAAGGGCCTCTTTAGGGACCTGGAGAGGGACCTTCCTTCCCTTTGTTAAGTGAAATTACATATTGAGGAACATTAGATCAGCAGAGTGCTGGACACTGATTCCTTTTTGACATAAAGACAGCCTAGTCTTCAATCATTGCTTGCAGATGGCCCGAATTGGAAAAGGGTCCATGCCAGTTTCCTTGCATCATCATCCCTGGAGCTCGAATTCCTTCCAGTCCTGCCTTCCTCTTCTCTTCTCTTTTTCCTCCTCTCTCTCCCATCCCCTCTGCCCAGACTCTCTCCCTCTCCCCTTCTTCCTCTCTACTCCTCTTCTCCGTTTCCCTCTTTATCTCTCTCCCACAAATCTATATTCAGTTTCTGTCTTCCAAAAAGAAAAAGTGAGTAGGAGGACAAATTGTTTAAAAGCAACGCAGCTATTTTAACAAAATGCTTTTTCCTTTGAGTCAGTCCTAAGAAATTTGGGTAAAATCAAAGCCAGAATGAACCAAAAAATTATTCTGAAAAATGACATGGATTAGGGAAAAGAGCCTAAACTCCCCCAGATAGAATGGGGAACAGGAAAGAACCAGAGAGGATGTGATGTGAACACCAATGTGTTGGAAAGAAAACCAAAGGAAGGAATTTGATGAGATTGGAAAGGCAGCAGACAGAAAATGAGAAGACATTTATCCAATCACTTGAGTCCATTCCATCACAGACACCTGACTCTTGGGAACATCTGGATGAAGGTTTGTGTAGACATGATCATTCAGATCTCAGCCACTGAGGACGTGGGCTCCCATCTAAGCCAAGAAGTTATTGTCCCTTGAATTTCAAGGTTCTAGAGCTGTTAAGAAATTATTTGAAATCTTATCTGTTGGAAGAGCCAGAAGCTTAGCTCTAGTCTCAGCTCTGCCCTTAACTTTCTCTGCACCCTGAAATAAATCATGCCCTTTGCTGGGGAGTGGCACTGTTTTCTTCTTTCCAGAAGGAGAGGATGGGTCTAGATGACCTCAATGGTCCTCCAACTCTGATGTTCATCCTCTGGTTCTCTTTAGCCTTGCCCCTCTACTTGACAGCCAATGAAGAGCACAGACTTGGGAGCCACACTGCCTACATTTGAATCTTGCCTCTCCACACCCGATGGCTGTAAATCTTTGAAGAAGCTACTTTGAGCTCTCAGGGCCCTCAGTTCTCCCATCTGAGAAATGGATAACAATAAGGTTCTTCACTTTTCCCCTTCTTATCTAAGAAACTATGTCAGAATACAATTGAGTGACAATAGAACCCGCCCTCATTTATAAAACTCAAAAGCACATCACTTGCACACTTCAAAACCTACACTAGAAGATATTTGGGATGCCTTCTACAATTAACAGTTAAATAGCCTGAAACTGAGATTTGGTTGTTCTTCTGATCTGCTTCCATTTCAGTTTCAGCTTTCTCAAGCTGAGGACCAGAGAGGCAAATCTATCTGCCCAGCATCAGTCAGCAGATGTTCTCGAAAGAGCCAAGGGACACCTAGCAAGGGGAAATCCTCTCTTCCTCCAAGACCCTGCATCTGGTTTCGGGATTCATATTGAAAATATGGGTGAAAAAAAATAAGCCTTGAATCTTCTAGACCCACATATGAACTGTTTCATTCCAGTCCCCTTGCTTTTCGTCCCCATCCATCCTCTTCCTCCAGCCACTTCCTTGGCTGCAAGAATGTGTTTTCATAGGAAATTGCTCTCACCTTATCTCCCTTCTGAGAAAATCTGCTGCTTCTGAAATGATGTATTCTTCCCACAAACCTGGCGTTGTGCACCTGATCGTAGGTGCAGAAGCAGGAAGAAAAATCTACATAGCAGCAAAATTGCTTCCTTTTGCTTATCTGCAAACTCTTAGCTTAGAGAGGATGCTGGAAGAAGGCACCAGAACGTCTCCCCTCCGGGCAGCGAGGACAGTTTCCCCTTGGCTTGGGAGTGAGAAATCCCCGAATCAGCCAACACAAAGGGACACAACACCATTCCTGCTGGCAGCAGAGTCGCCTGTGCCAAGGCCTCGGGGTCCCCAGCCGCTGTTCATTAATGCTGCCCATGGGCTGAGGGAGAAATCTGTCTGTTCTGATGGGCAGAAGGTCCAGGTTCCAGGGCAGTGGAGGGGATAATTGTCTTTATAGCCAGGGGATGCTTGGCAAGGAGGTCAAGTGACTTACACACTCCACAAAGTCTAGGTGGATGATGATGATGAAACCATATTGCCTTTAACTCCTGACAGGAACAAACAAAAGATAATTCAGGGTCTCACTATGTTGCTTAGGCTGGTCTCAAACTCCCGGCCTCAAGCGATCCTCCTACCTATGCCTTCCAAAGTGCTGGGATTACAGGCATGAGCCACTGTACCCAGCACAAATAAGATATTTTAGAAAAAACATGTTGTAGAAAGAACAGTGAAGGGTCATAAGGGAATGAAATTTGGAATCTTGCCTGCCGTAAGAGTCTTGTGACAGTTTGTCTAGCAAAATTAGAAAAAGGATTTTTGGCCTGCGTATTTCATAGAGCTACTATGAGAATTAAATGAGGTAATAGGTGTAAAAGGACTTTGAGAATGATATTGCATTTCATTCATTCATTCCTCCTAATGATAGATAGTGAGTATTCACTAGATGTCAAGCACTGCAGATAGAGTGGTGTAAGGTAGGCATGGTAACTGCCCTCACATGCATGTTGGGGAGGACAGCCTACCACTGCAGTGTGTGCTTTTAAAGGATGAATTGTCAGGAGGGTCCCTCAGAGACCAAGTCCTAGACCTCCACCTGCCAGTTTAGCAAGAAGTCCAATTTCTCCCACCTTGGGTCTCTTCTTAAGTCTCCAGGTCACTCTGGGCTCTAAGTGGTCAGTCCAGCTTTCTCCAGACTTGCCGCCTGAACTGGAGCCCCGATGTACTTCCTGGAGCTATGGTATGTCAAAACTACTACCGAGATGCCAGCTTCAGAATGGGGTTTCATTCTACCAAGGATGTCCCCTGTGTACCTACTGGGACAGGGAAACCCCAATACATTCTCAACTTGCTACTCCTGGTGCTGATGGCGGCTAGATGTCAGTCTCCAGAGACAGTGCAATTTCTGCCTACGTTGTTGTTACTCTTCAAGGTGTTAATAATAAAAATAACTGACAATCAATCGTTATTGAGTGATTTTGCAATTTATGGACTAAGTATTATTCTGAGTATGTTTTATGCATTAACTCATGTAATCCTCAAAGCAACTTTAATGCCAGGTGTGGTGGCTCATGTCTGTAATCCAAGCACTTTGGGAGACTGAGGAAGGAAGATTACTTGAGCCTAGGAGTTTGAGACCAGCCTGGGCAACATAGTGAGACCTCATCACCACTAAAAATTAAAAAAAATTAGCTGAGTGTGGCGGCACACACCTGTAGTCCCAGCTACTCTGGAGGCTGAGGTGGCAGGATTGCTTGGGCCTGGGAGATAGAGGCTACAGTGAGCTATGTTGTGCCACTGCACTCCAGCCTGGGCTACAGAGTAAGACGCTGTCTCAAAACAAACAAACAAACAAACAAAAAAACCTCAAACAGGTATTAGGATTATCTCCATTTTACAGATGAAAAAACTGAGGCTTAGAGAGGTTAAGAAACCCTCCTGTATCACAGCTAATAGGCAATAGACCAGGATTTGAACCAGAGCCATCACCTTTAGCTATCATGCTCTACTGCCTCTAAGGAGGAGGACAATTTTGCACAAGGTGCATCACACCAAAATAAGACATACAGATCTTTAGATTCAGGTCCAAGTCTGCCCCCAGGATGACAAGGTCAGAAGCCCCCCAGTGTCCACAAGCTCACAATTGTCATTCTCTTTCTGTGACCCGACTCCTGGTCCTTCCTCCTGCCTTCTGCCACCCTCAGGGTGACTCCCACCTAGGGATTTACATGGCCTGCCCACACCATGAACTAAGTCAGTTTGCCCTGAGAGTCTACAACTTTCCATCTTGTTCTCCTTCTGTAAATTTGTCCTCTGAACTTGCAGCTCTTCCAGACCTGCATAGCAACTGTCTTTCTTGCAGAAAACAAAATTAAACCTCTTCCTTACCAGACACCCAGCTGTGCACAAAAACTTAATCAATTACAGTTGAGATTAGAGCTGCAAAGAAGCTGCTCACGGGACTGTGGCGATACTACCGTTATCTCTGAAGACACTCCTGAACCATTCTCTGGAGAGGAAGGTCTGGGCTTGCTGGGATGTGTGCTCATCCTGCAGGTATTTCAGGACTAGAGACTCCCCCGTAATACTTTCTTCCCCCTCTTCTCTTAAGTAAAAGTATTAAAGAATTAACCCTCTTCATTCTTTGATATACATGACAACTACTACTGTGTCTGAATAAGTGAATTAACTTTATATTATAAAACTAGGGTTCTCAAAACACCAGCAAAGGGAGAAGAGAGGGGCTGCTTGATGCCTGTGTGTTACTAAAGTCCCAAGAAGGTGATGCCCTGGGCCAGAAAGGGCTTCATTATCTATTTTGAGCCTGCCAGTTATTTTGGGTGTGCAAATGGAGCTGACCTGTAATTGCCCCTCAAACAGGAACAGGAGCTGAGAGTGCAGCCACAAGCAATGATCCTCAGTCCTGGCTGTGCAGGAGGTTCCCTGAGGGGTGCTTAAAAATATTGACGTTAGTTGGGTACAGTGGCCTGCACCTGTAATCCCAGAACTTTGGGAGGCCAAGGCAGGAGGATTGCTTGAGCCCAGCCTGGGCAACAAAGCGAGATCCTGTTTCCACAAAAAACAGAAACAAAAATTAGCTGGGCAAGGTGTTGCAAGACTGTGCTACTTAGGAGGCTGAGGCAGGAGGATGGCTTGTGGCCAGGAATCTGAGGCTGCAGTGAGCTATGATTGCACCACGGCACTCTAGCCTGAGCAGCAGAGCAGAATCCCATCTCTAAAAATAAAATAAAATAAAATAAAATAAAATAAATAAATAAATAAATAAATAAAAATACTGATGTCTGTCCCCCTCCTCCAGACCAATTTAAACAAGAATTTTGGGCAACAGCTTGTTTTGAAGCTGCTCTGGGGATCCTAATGGGCAATTGGGGTGAGAACTGGTGTGCTGCAAGGAGCAGAGCTTCCAAAAACTATAACCAAAACCCTCTCACCTTACAACTGCAAACAAGAGAGGACTTAGAACAAGCTGAACAGAGGATGCATCTACCCGCCCACCCACTCACTCACTCACTCACCAAGTGTTTGTTGAGAACCTACTACCTGCCAGGCAGGTTGAAGTGTCCTCCAGACTCGATAGCCTGAGCAAACAGAGAGCTCTTCTGAGCTAGAATTTAGGCAGCTTAGCTCTGACATCTTGCAGCCTCTGAAACTCAGACCTCTGAGAGTCATCTAAGAACAGAAGCATAAGGGATGGATGGGGAGGGGGTGCTGTGGGTAGAAGATCTCTGCGGTGTTCCAGAATCTCTCCACCCCATGTGAGCCCTTTGTTCTGTTTCCTAGACGTGGTCAGCAAGAAAACCCTCACACTGTAAAGGATTTTTCTGCATTTTTTTTAGTGGCCTTGAGAAAGGGGGAAAGACTGGATCATACCCCAAAGTTGTTGTCACAGTAGCCTAAATGAGGGTCCTCAGCCTGGGCCTGGAGGCCTGTGTCTTCTTTTCTTTTTCAAAAGATCTGTGTGTGTGTGTGTGTGTGTGTGTGTGTGTGTGTAATTGCTTTTCTTTATTACAGAAGCAATGCATTATTCACTATAGAAAATTTAGAAAATTAAAATTCGTTTGAAAGGTACAAGTAATAATTATCTTTATATTCTCTTATCCCAAAGATAAACCCCTTCAAGTAAGTATATTTACATTTTCTACTGTATGTGATTAGCCCTTGTTTTTAACCAAAATGGGGTGATATTCTACATTTTTTTGTAATGGACTTTTTCCTTTACTGAAATACCATGATCATCCTTTCTATATCAGATATTTTACTCCATCACTTAATGACTGGATAATATTTCATGGTATAATGTACCATAAATTATTTAGTTAATCCCCAGTTATTGGGTATTTAGTTTGCTCCCAATTGAAAACCACACACACACACATACATCACTGTAATTAAATCCTTGCACACACTCATCATAGTTTTCTAAAACTGAAATTATTGAGTCAGAAGATTATAGTATATTTTTAAATAAACTTTTTATTCTAGAATAGTTTTAGATTTACAGAAAATCTGCAAAGATAATATAAGAGTTCCTGCCCACATCCAGTTCCCCCATCGTTAAGATGTTACATGAATATGAGACATTTGTTCCAACTAATGGACCAGCATTGACACATTGTTATTAACTACATGTCATAGTCTATTCTGATTTCCTGAGTTTCTCCCTAATATCCTTTTTCTGATCCAGGATCCCATATTATGTTTAGTCATCATATCTCCTTGGGTACCTCTAGACTGTGAAGGGATTTCAAACTTTCCTTGTTTTTGATGGTTTTGACAATTTTGAGAAGTGCTAGCTAGTTATTCTGTGGAATATCCCTCAATTTGCCTTGGGCTGTTTTGCTCATGATTACATGAAGGATCATGGGTTTGGGGGAAGAAGTCCACCAAGGTAAAATGTCCTTCTCAACACATCAAATCAAGGACATGCTATCAACATGACTCACCACTGATGACGTTAGCCTTGATCGCCTGTCTGAAGTCGTGTTTGCCAGGTCTCGCCCCTGTAGAGTTACTTTTTTTTCCCCCTTTCCCTATTGTATTCTTTGGAAGGTAGTCATTATGCACAGCCCACACTTAAGGAGTAGGAAATTAGGCTTCACTTCCTTGAGGGGGCTGTGTTTACATAAATTATTTGGGATTCTTCTGTACTGGAAATGTGCCTATTCTCCCCCATAGGCTTATTTATTTATTCATTTATTTACATCAGTATGGACTCAGACATTTATTTTATACTTTGGGTTATAATCTAATACTGCATTGTTTATTTTATTGCTCAAATTGTTCCACCTTCGGCACTGGGAATGCTTTCAGCTGCCTCCTGTGTCCCTTTGAAGCAGCCCCCATCAATGAGTATTTTGAACACATCCTTGCTTTCCAGCACCTCAAGATGCTCCAGGCACATCTTGTACATTCCCTGCCCCAGCCCCAGAAGAAGCCATTTCTGCAAGGGTCCTTGGTTCCTTTGACTGGAGAATGGTATTAGAAACCAAGATCTGAGTGCTGGGTGTGCTCATTGCTATTGGGATAATGCTGTTCCTGTCAATGTAAAGAGCTTGGAAATCTGTGTATATATAGCAACCCATGTAAATAGACACATTCATAACTATTTCCATATTTATCTACTTGTATCTATCTTAAGCTGAACATGACTTCATAGTGATGTATCCAGTGTAAAGACATGTATGAGACTGTTTATTCAGTTGAATCCAGTATGACGTGGTTCATTCTAGCTTTCTCCCTCCTTGAAGATAGCCATATTTGAAAGGCTTTTGAGTCATAGTACCATACTGCCTTCCATGAAATTTGGGAGAGGGGGTAGGGGAAGACAAGTGTGCCCTGAACCTATTTGCTGCCAATCAAGTTTTAATCAAGTTATCTGCACATGCATGGATGCACACATGCACACGCACACACACACACACACACACATACGATAGAATGATGTATTTTAACATAACATTTCTTATGTTGTATGAGGGTCTTATCATCCCTTTTGCTTGAAGGGATCAAAACCTGAAAGTACTGTCTGTACAAATCACCCACTTTGATAACCAGAGACCACGAAAATTAAAGAATTCCAGATGGAAAGCTGTGGTTATTTCTATGTTTGTTTTTTACTTTGTAGCATCTTCTTTTGAGTGATGACTAAGGCCTTTTGATCTAAACTGCTTCCAAACTGCTTTCACATCCCAGATAAAGAGTTAGTCTTTTGTTCCCAATTTACGGCCCATAGACCTCATGGGGGAGACAGTGGGCTCTCGAATCTGTACACAGGGGCCCCGATAAGGTGTCTACAGAGGCCAGGCAGGTTACGCGTGTGAGAAGGGGCGGGGTGAGGACTCTGGCAAACTGGAAATTGCATGGTCTGTTACAGAAATGCAGGCCCATTGTTGCCAGGTCTTCTGATTCTGGGGGGGAAACCAGAAATCTACATTTTTGTGTAAACACCTACAATTTTGAAATGTTGGCTATGATTGTCAATCTTTCCAAAACACTGCAAGAGCCAACCAAAATACATCCTCTGGCAGGATCACCCATTTGGGACCTTGGTATCTGAACTCTCTTGTTAATTAAAAAACAAAACAAGACAAAAAAAAAAAAAAACCATAGACTGAGCATGGTGGCTCATGCCCGTAATCCCAGCACTTTGGGAGGCCAAGGTAGGCAGATCACTTGGAGTTCAAGACCAGCCTGGCCAACATGGCAAAACCCCGTCTCTACTAAAAATACAAAAATTAGCTGGGTGGGCCAGTGGACCACGCCTGTAATCCCAGCACTTTTGGAAGCTAAGGGGGGCAGATCACAAGGTCAGGAGTTTGACACCAGCTTGGCCAACATGAAACCCCATCTCTATGAAAAATACAAAAATTAGCCGGATGTGGTGGCACACACTTGTGGTCCCAGCTGCTCAGGAAGCAGGAGAGTCGCTTGAACCTGGGAGGTGGAGGTTGCAGTGAGCCGAGATCATGTCACTGCACTCCAGCCTGGGTGACAAGAGCAAGGCTCCATCTCAAAAAAAAAAAAAAAAAATTAGTCTGGCGTGGTGGCACACACCTGTAATCCCAGCTACTCGAGAGGCTGAGGCATGAGAATCACTTGAACCCAGGAGGCAGAGGTTGCTGTGAACTGAGATTGTGCCACTGCACTCCAGCCTGGGCAACAGAGTGAGACTCTGAAAAAAAAAAAAAAAAGCATATGAGCTCAATTATATGGGGATCCATGAATATCTTTTTATATTAAAAAGGGGTCCCACATATTAGAAAATATGGGTAACATTGGGTCATTTTATCTTGCAACCACATTCACTTTCATTTTTTTCCTGAGCTGATGAGCTTCCAGACAACTTGGAATCTAGATTCTGTGGAGGTTGAAGAATTAACTCTGGAACTGAACAAACCACTAAAGGCAAAAATGATCCAACTCAGTCAACTTGTCTATGAGGCGTATGCGGTGTTGGGAGAAGTGTGGTATCCTGCAGCTCACGACGGTCACAGAGAGGGTGCAGGCAGGAAAGGACTTCAGCCTGCCCAGTGATTATACATTTCTCATTCTCTAAGGTTGCCATTGTTTCTTTTGCTTTTCTGACTCATGACTCTCCCTCCTGGGGCTATGGGGATTGGTTTGAAGACATCGCACAAGGTACAAGGGAATGGAGCTGGGGGAATTGTTCTCTATTCAGCAGAGTCAGGCCTCCAAATAAAAACCATACTTCCTTCCTTCATCTTCGCATGCAGCATTCATCTCTCACCCAAGAGAGCACTATTCTATTCATCGGCAACAAAAGAGTGGAGACATTAAAGATCATTTTCTTACAGTTTAAAACAACTGCCTATTCTCCTCCTCTGGACCTGTCCATAGCTGTATTTCCTTTCTGCTTTCTGAGATCTCTGTGGTTGGGGATAAATCTGGAATTGAAAATTATGACTTGGCTAAGTGATTCATCCTGGGATAGTTCTGAGTATTTAATGAGATGACATAGGTGAAGGTTCTAGATCCAGGCCTTGGACACTGTGAGTTTCTAATTTCTCTCCTGCTATCCCCATGCTCAGAACCCGTAGGGCCTTGGGCAGCCTGGAAAGCAGCAAAAGTCACTCATCCTCCTTCTGATTCCTCATCACTTGTCATCCGGCTTCCTCTCTTGTCTGCCTCCAATCCATGTTCCACAATGTAGCCTGAGTAACGTTTTGAAAACATCTGTAAGGTTGTGCTATCCTTCTGCTTAATATTCTCCAACAGCTTCCCCTGGGTCTGTAAAAATAAGCCTCCTTATCACAGCCAAAGCCTTGCTACTCAAAGAGTCACCCTTGGACCAGGAGTATACAGCGTCCCCTGGGAGTCTGTAAGAAATGCAGTTACAAAATACAAAATACAACCAACGGAGTCAGCATCTGCCATCAGGACGGGTTCCAGGTATTGATTTTTTTTTATTTTTTTATTTTTTGAGATGGAGTCTTGCTCTGTTGCCCATGCTGGAGTGCAGTGGCATCATCATAGCTCCCTGCAGCCTTGAACTCCTGGGCTCAAGCCATCTTCCCACCTCAGCCCCTAGAATAATGGAGACCACAGGCATGCACCACTATGCCCAGCTAAATTTTTTTGTTTGTTTTTGTTTTGTTTTGTTTTGTTTTGTTTTGTTTTGTTTTGTTGAGACAGAGTCATGCTCTGTTGCCCAGGCTGGAGGACAGTGGTGCAATCTCGGCTCACTGCAAACTCTGCCTCCCAGATTCAAATGATTCTCGTGCCTCAGCTGCCCAAGTAGCTGGGATTACAGACACACACCACCACACCAGGTTAATTTTCGTATTTTCAGTAGATGCGGAGTTTCACCATGTTGGCCAGGCCGGTTTTGAATTCCTGGCCTCAAGTGATTTACCCGCCTCGGCCTCCCAAAGTGCTGGAATTACAGGCATGAGCCTCTGAACCTGACCTAATTTTTTTTTTAAATAGAGATAAGGTCTTGCCGTGTTGCCCAGGCTGGTTTTGAGCTCTTGGGCTCAAGCAATCCTCCTGCCTCAGCTTCCCAAAAGGTTGGGATAACAGACGTGAACCACCGCACATGGCCTAATATTTTTTAACGCTCCCATGGTGATTGTTAAGGTGCAACTGGGCCTAAAAACAACTGCTTTGCCCCATCTTCCCCTTCCCTCTCCAGCCTCATTTCAGCCACATTCCTCGCTGTCTCCTCTACTCCAGACTCACCTACCTTTCTGTCACAATCTAGGAAACTCTTGGGTCCACAGTTATTGCATTCCCACTACCTAGAAAGGTCTTCTCATGGTTGGCTTCATCTTATTACTTAGAACTCTATGTGTGTATTTATTTATTTATTTATTTATTTAGTAGAGGTGGGGTCTCACTGTGTTGCCTAGGCTGGTCTTGAACTCCCGGACTCACGTGATCCTCCTGCCTCAGACTCCTAAAGTGCTGGGACTGCAGGTGTGAGCTACTGAACCTGTCCTAAGGTTCTATTTAAATGTTAACTTCTCAGGGAATCTTCCTTTACTACTCCCACCCCCCACCACCTCTCTATCTCTTTGCCTTGTTTTATTCCCTTCAGCATTCGTTGCTGTCTGCAGTTACCTTGTTTCTGTATTTGCTTGCGAAGTGGTTGGTTTCCTTCACCAGAACTTCCTTCTTTAGAATTGGGAGGCGGAGACAGGTGGATCACCTGAGCTCAGGAGTTCAAGACCAGCCTGGGCAATGTGGCCAAACCTCATCTCTACCAAAAATGCAAAAAATTAGCTGGGCTTGGTGGTATGTGCCTGTGGTCCAGCTACTCAGGAGGCTGAGGTGGGAGGGTAGCTTGAGCCTGGGAGGCAGAGGTTGCAGTGAGCTGACTGCACTCCAGCCTGGGTGACAGAGCAAGACCCCATCTCAAAAATAAATGAACAAAAGAATTAGGTGGTGCACACATGTGGTCCCAGCCTACACCATAGGCTGTGGTGGGATGAGCCCAGGAGTTCAAGTCCAGCCTTGGCAACATAGAGAGACCCCCATTTTTAAAAAGTAAATAAAATAAAATAAAAACAATTTCAGTTCCAGGAAGATAGTGACCTTGTGGTTTTATCTATCGGCAGGACTGGATTAATAGCAAACTAAAACACGTGTTTTGGGCAAGAATATGTGGCGGGCTAGTGGGGGAGTGGAGAAAGAAAAAGTCTTTTAAAATGAGATTTGCTATCTCGAAAGCTTATTAAAGCAGTCATCATGGGAAAAAATAGATTTTTTTGGACTTCCTAATATACATTTTAAGGATAGAGTTTCCTTTTAATTATGCATAGGAAAGAGTATTACCTTCTTAGTGCTTAGAACATTTCATTTTTTTTAGCTTTTTAAAAATTAAAGTGCATGTACAGAGAAATGCACACAGTGTAGGTATACAACTCAATGAAATTTCATAAACTGTATACCTCTGCCTAACCAGCGTCCAGATCAAGAAATAGCACCTGATAAGCCCCTAGAAGCTTTTCTCATGTTCCTTCTGGTCACTACCAGCCCTGGGAGTGCGCTAACTTGACCTCCAACAGCACAGACTGGGGTATTTGGTTTTGTTTTGTTTTTATAGACAGTCTCACTCTGTTGCCCAAGCTGGAGTGCAGTAGCGCAATCTCAGCTCACTGCAGCCTTAACCTCCTAGGCTCAAGTTAGCCTCTCGAGGACCTGGGCCTACAGGTACACGCCACCATGCCCAGATAACTTTTGTATTCATTTGTAGAGACAGGGTCTCACCATGTTGCCCAGGCTGGTCTCAAACTCCTGAGCTCAAGTGATCCTCCCGCCTCATCCTCCCAAAGTGCTGGGATTACAGGCATGAGCCACCGCGCCCAGCATGATTTCTTAAGTTTTAATCCAACATTATTACCTCTGTGACCCAGTAACTGGAACAGTGCCTGGCAAAAACAAGATGTCAATCAGTGTTTGTTGAATAAACTAATTGGTAATCAATTAATTACTTTCCTCCATTGGTCTCCACGCACATCCTTTGTGGAGAATCCAGAGAGTGTGGCTGTCAGGGGCTTAACTGTCAAATTTGAGTAACAAAAAAGGGATGGAACCCTAATGTAAGTGATGGATTCTGGGTGGTGATGAAGTGTCAATATAGGTTCATCAGCCGTGTGTGACAAATGTGCCATTCTGGTGGGGGATGTTGATAATAGGAGATGCTATGCATGAATGGGGATGAGGAATATGGGAAATCTCTGTACCTTCTGCTCGGTTTTTCTGTGAGCCTAAAACTGCTCTAAAAACTAAAAAGTATATATATATATACAAACTTATATACATAAATATGTGTGTGTGTGTGTGTGTGTGTGTGTGTGTGTGTGTGTGTGTGTGTAGACAGGTTTAGAGACAGGTTTGCTCTGTCACCCAGGCTGGAGTGGAATAGGGTGATCATAGCTCACTGCAGCCTCCAACTCCTGGGCTCAAGGGATCCTCCCACCTCAGCCTCCTGAGTAGCCGTTGCACCCAGTTAATATTTTTTTAAATTATTTTACCATCATTATTGGAAAACTAACATAGGAACAGAAAACCAAACGTTCACTCATAAGTGGGAGCTGAACAATGAGAACACATGGACACAGGGAGGAGAACATCACACACTGGGGCCTGTCCTGGGTGGGGAGCAAGAGGAGGGAGAGCATTAGGACAAACACCTAATACATGCGGGGTCTACAACCTAGATAACGGGTTGATAGGTGTAGCAAACCACCATGGCACATGTATACCTATGTAACAAACCTGCACATTCTGCACATGTATCCCAGAACTTAAAGTAAAATTTAAAAAAGAACTTTAAAAAGAAGGAAAAAAATTATTTTATAGAGATGAGGTCTTGCTTTGTTACCCAAGGTGGGGTCTGGAACTCCTGGCCTTAAGCAATTCTCTGCCCTGTGCCTCCCAAAGTGCTGGGATTGCAGGTGCGAGCCACTGTGCCTGGCCTGTATATATGGTATATACACATTTAAGTGATGGTCTCAGAGCTGACCTCAGCCTCCTTCAGATCCAAGGCAATTGACAGGCACTTTTACCGGAAGTAGTTGGTCTGAGTGCTTTGATGGAAGCCACCAGGTGAACTTTCTTCCTCTGGTGCCATTCACCCAGTTACACCACAACTCTCCATACATTAGTGGGACTTGTCACACCAGTGGGCTTTTCTTGGAGCCACCGTGTGGTCACTGCCTTTGGATTTCTTTGCATTTGACTGCAGCTTATATTTAGCCCGTTGGAAGCTCAGGGTTTCTATTCTTCCTTCCGGGCTTTTCGTCTTTTGCCTCCTGGCTGCTGAAGTGACCATACTGAACAAGGTGAAAAGGCTGAACGGTGGCTTCAGGAGCAGAAAGCTGCTAAGCTAGAGTTTCCTGTGCAAGAGTATGGGGTAACAAAGCAGAGAGTTCTGGCACTGACCCCAAAAGACAGGGGACGCCTGGCAGTTAGGGGCTCTTTCCCACCTCTGGACTAATAAAGATTCCTTCCACCCATCTGGTATCTCCTTCGCCCACTTCTTTGCCTCTAACACCAGGTACCACAGTTTCTTTAATGTACAGCTGTCCCCAATTAAAAGAAGCCTTCATGGACACTCTCTGCCCCACGCCAAATTCCTGCCCACCCCTACCCCAACACATACACACACCCTACAGTTTGCATCGGGCAGGATACTCTGCACTATCCCAGGCACAATAATAATAACCTCTGCTTGCACTGCCATGCTAGAGATTCACTTACAGCCCTTCATTCAGCCCACCCACTCCAGCCCATGAAGCCCCTCCTGGCCTCACCCCCATTTTACAGATGGGGAAAGTGAGGCTCCAGGAAGTTGACTGACCCCCAGTCTCTCAACTAGTAAGAGATCAAGACTGGCCCCTTAGTCTGTTTGACACGGAGGGCAGGTGTGGTGGCAACACAGTTCTTATCCGACACAACTGATTCACAGTTGAGTGCCGCTCCGGGTACTGCTCTCAGCACAAAGGAGCTGCCTCAGCCAAGGTCACACCCGCTTCCCAGAGGCTTCCCACATCCAATAGCTGGGCAGTATGAGGGTATAGAGGTTCATCTAGCTTGCCTTCTTTCTGGACATCTCCAAATGCCATCTTTGCTGTTGTTGTTGTTGTGTTGTTTTCTTTTGTTTTGAGACAGGCTGGAGTGCAGTGGCGCGATCTCAGCTCACTGCAACTTCTGCCTCCCAGGTTCAAGCAATTCTCCTGCCTCAGCCTCCCAAGTAGCTGGGATAACAGGCACACACCACCATACCCAGCTAATTTTTGTATTTTTAGTAGAGACGGGGTTTCACCATGTTGGCCAGGTTGGTCTTGAACTCCTGACCTCAAGTGATCCACCCACCTCAGCCTCCCAAAGTGCTAGGATTACAGACATGAGCCACTTCAGCCAGCTTCCAAATGCCATCTTGACTCGAGTCTCCACAGGACTGGCTGAGTCCACTGTGACAACTGACAGCTGCATCACAGTCCTTCCTCTCCCTCTGTCTGGTCCTGCTTCCCCCTTCCTACAACATGGGGGTTCTTCCCAAGAGTCCATCCCAAAAAACCTCTGGTATGCAAATCTCTGTCCTAGAGTGTGTATTCTGGGGACAGAGTCTAAGACAACAGTCACCCACACACTAAAGTATGCTCCACTGTAAACTCTACCACAGCTCTCTCCATCATGCACCCAACAAATGGATGATGAACAGAGCAACTCAAGCCCCTCCATTTCTCTGTGCACCTCATGGAAGAACTGGAGGTCCCCATGCATAACAGAATGGTGGCGTGAAACATGGGGCCAGGGAAGAAATCCTGCCTGGTGGGTAATTTCATTGCATCGTTGGATCCTTTGCATTTCTGATTCATAACTCTACTTCTTGGGGTTGGTGGTATCTCCCAAGATGAGGTGGGCTGGGGTGGTCATTGTCCCTCCAGCAGCCCAGGGCTTGCAATAGAAGCATCTCTCTTTTTTGGTCCAATGGTGCAAGATCTGTGCTCTCTCATCTGCATCTGAGAAAGCAATGGGTTTGCAGAGACGGGCTGACTCCCCCACGGCACTCTGAACTGTTGATGTGTGGAGCCAACACTTAATTGCATCCAAAACTCCTGGGCATAAAACAGGATCTTTGACTGTGGATACTCAGAAAACATTGCTTGAATGAAGAGATGAGCAGGAACCTGGGAAAAAGTCTATAAACGGTGGAATGACCGCACTTGGTGGGTCATTCCTAGGTCACTCACCATATCATCAAGGAAAGCTGTCTATGCCCCTGGCAGAAGCACCCTGTCTAGTCCTCATTGCTTCCTGGACTAGATGTGACTGTTCCAGAAGCTGCCTACTCTTCTAGTGCCTGCAGCAATCTGAGGTGTGGAGGGCACTCCCATTTCCCTTCCCTGTGCTTGAGAATCTGTAGAAATTGTGCAACTTTGTGCTGCTGGGTTCCATCCATTGCCTCTGCAAGCCGTCCTTGCAGCTGGACAGTATTTACCTGCTTCTATATTCCTAAATCTTCTTGTGCAGGCCTGAACCCATTGTAAGCACTTAATTAATTAATATTATCAGGCCAGGCGCCGTGGCTCACACCTGTAATCCCAGCACTTTGGGAGGCCAAGGTGAGAGGATCGCTTGTGCTCAGGAATTCAAAACCAGCCTGGGCAACTCCATCTCTACAAAAGATTTAAAAATTAGCCAGCCATGTTGGCATGTGCCTCCCAGCTACTTAGGAGACTGAGGTGGGAGGATTGCTTGAGCCCAGGAGTTCAAAGCTGCAGTGAGTGCTGATGTCACCACTGTGTTCCAGCCTGGCTGATGGAGTGAGAACCTACCTCAAAAAAAAAAAAAAAAAAAAAAAAAAAAGAAAAGAAAAAAGAAAAAGATAACTAATTAATATTATCATTAGTAAAAGTGAACAATTTAAAAATATTTACTATGTGCCACTGGCCTGGCTACATTTCTTGAATTGGCTCACTTAACCCTTCACAGCAGCCCTTTAGATAGTTATTCTCATTTTGCAGTTGTGGAAACTAAGACACAGATGTGTCAAGCAATCTGCCTAAGGTTACACAGCTAATAAAGCAGTGGCGGCTGGCTCTGAGTGCAGGCACTTAACCATTGTTCGATTATCTCTCCAATGCGCACAAAGTTAAGGCATTTGAACAAAGAGATAAGGACTAATAAGTATGCAGAGTAGAAAAAGAAGGCAGCAAATAAATGACATCTACTGCCTAATATGCACAAGGTGCATCCCATACTTTATGTCTTTTACTTCCAACAGCTGTGCTATGAGATAAGGGAGTCTCAGAGAGGTTAAGTAACTTGCCCAAGGTCATCACAGCAAGCACCAGAGCCAGGATTCTAATGCAGGCTTCCTGGCACCTGTCAGAGTCACTTCACTCTTTACAAAAAGCTATGAGCCACACAATGTTTCCAGCATGAGAGAGCCACCACATAAGCTTCTACCTCAGGTTGTGACCTCCTGGCGGGCTGCCACATGACTCATTTGTCTTGGTTTTGCACACAGTTCCAAGCACAATGCCTATTGAGTGAGCAGATGAATTACAATTCACGTACTTTCATGCAGGGGTGCCTGGTGCCTGGTGGGATTTGGTGGAAACAGTGCAACGACATGCTGTGAAAGTGATGATTTCTCCACAAAGCAGTAAGAATAATCTTTTTACAGAGTAAATCAGATCATGTCCTGCCATGGGACGGCAGAGAGGGCCTCTCTGAAGAGGTGACATTTTGAACTGAGACCTGAGTGGGAATACAGAGGAGGAGATGTATTCCAGGCAGAGGGCGTGGCGCATGCTAAGGCCCTGGGGTAGTAAGGAGCCTGGGTGTGACCAAGGGGGTCGGGATGAGGGCTGGACAGTGGACAAGAGCTGGATCACAGAAGGTGTCATGCTACATCGCGGGGACTTCAGACGTAATTTTAAATAGGACAAAAAGCCACTAGAGGGCTTTAAAGCCATGGAGTCATGTGAAGTGGCTTTGTGTGTGCGTGTGTGAAATGTCACTATGAGAAAGAAATGAGCAAGACCAGAAGCAGAGTGATCACAAAGGAGATTGCTGGGGCCATCCAGGTAAGGAATGGCGATGGCTTGGGCCAGCATGAGGGAGGGAAGGATTCCGAAGAGAGACTATGCTTTGCAGACTGAGTTAACAGACTCTGTGGACAAATTCAATGTTTGAAAGTCAGAGAAAAGATATCGAGAAGTCAGCTCTTCAGAGTGAGTCAGCAATGAAAATAGCTCTTATTTAAACAGTGTTAAGCTGGGCACAGTGGCTCACGCCTGTAATCCCAGCACTTTGGGAGGCCAAGGTGGGCGGATCACTTGAGGTCAGGAGTTCAAGACCAGCCTGGCCAACATGACAAAACCCTGTCTCTACTAAAAATACAAAAATTAGCCGGGTGTGGTGGCGCATGCCTGTAATCCCAGCTACTTGGGAGGCTGAGGCAGGAGAATCTCTTGAGCCCAAGAGATGGAGGTTGCAGTGAGTCGAGATTGCACCACTGCACTCCAGCCTGGGTGGCAGAGCGAGACTCCATCTCAAAAACAAACAAACAAACAAACCAAAATAGTGTTTATGACATGCCTGGCACTGTTCTAATCATTTAACATATATTACCTCATTTAATCCTCACAAAGCCCCTGTGAGATAGGTATTGTTGTTAACCCCATTTTACAGATTAGGGAAATTGAGGCACAGAGTGGTTAAGTGACTCACCCAAGGTCACATACCTGGTAGGGGGTGCTGCTGGGATTTGAACCTGGATAGTCTGCCTCTAGAGTCTATACATCGGAATTTCACCCTGTATTCTCCCCACAGAGGAATGTTCATTCAACAGGAAGTTTTCTGGGCTCCCCGCATCCTTCCCTGAGCCTCTCAGTCAGTATGCACAAATTGGCTCCAGGAAGCTACTCTGCTGAAGATGTTTGAGGTCCAATGGAGGCAAACATTCCTCCAGGACACAGTCTAGACAATGTCCCTGCACCCGTTTCCATGTTGGGAAGCAGGAAGCCAGCCCAGGGGCACTTGGGTTGTCCCCATTAACCACAGTGTGAAGCAAAAGTTAAGAGCAAAAGCTCTACAGATAGATCCAAGGCAATTTACAAGATCTCTGTGTGTCCCAATTTTGTCATCTGTAAAACGCGGACAGTGTTAATATCCCATGGGGTTATTATGAGTTAGTGTGTGTAAGGTGCCATTAAAAAGTACCAAGTGCGGTGGCTCACGCCTGTAATCCCAGCACTTTGGGAGGCCGAGGAGGGTGAATCACCTGAGGTCGGGAGTTTAAGACCACCCTGGCCAACATGGTGAAACCCCATTTCTACTGAAAATACAAAAATTAGCCAGCATGGTGGCACCACCTGTAGTCCCAGCTACTCAGGAGGCTGAGGCAGGAGAATCACTTGAACCTGGGAGGCAGAAGTTGTAGTGAGCTGAGATTGTGCCACTGCACTACAGCCTGGGTGACAGAACAAGACTACATTTCAAAAAAAAAAAAAGTGCTAAGTACATTCTAAAAGCTTTTACAGTATGTGATAAAGAAATTAAATGGGCCTGGCGTGGTGGCTTACACCTGTAATCCCAACACTTTGGGAGGCCCAGGCAGGCAGATCATCTGAGGTCAGGAGTTCAAGACCAGCCTGGCCAACCTGGTGAAACCCCATCTCTACTAGAAATACAAAAATTAGCTGGGCATGGTGGCGGATGCCTGTAATCCCAGCTATTTGGGAGGCTGAGGCAGGAGAATCACTTGAACCTGGGAGGTGGAGGTGAGCCCATATTGTGCCACTGCACTCCAGCCTGGGCGACAGAGCAAGACTCCATCTCAAAAAATAAATAAACAAATAAAATTAAATGGTGGTAAGTAAAGGCACAAAGGAAAGAGACGGTGCTTCTCCAAGCCAGGACTATCGTCCACAGACCAGGGTATTTCTGGTCATGATCAATCATCACGTCTGTCCCTGGACCTGACCTATTTGATTTGAGAAAATGTTAGAGTCAGCCTGCACCAGTCTGCTCTCAGTATGGAATCAGAGTCAACAAGAAGGAATGATGGAGCCAGACATTTGTGGCTGAGGCTGAGCAGCAATGAGCAGTGAAGAAATGTGGTTTGTGCTTGGTTCACAGTGTGCCGGTGGGGAAGCTGCAGGTCTAACATGTATCTGAGGGAGAACCCAGACCACTGGATGTCTCCGCTCTGCTATGCCACAAGTCCCTCCAACTCTTCCTGTCATAACTGAGCCGAGCATCTGCTCCTGTCCCATCTATCCTCCCCATCTATGCTCCTTTTCCTGATTTGGTGAATTGCATAATGAAAAGAAATACAAAGAGTATGACGTCCAAAGTCAGATTACCTGGGTTCTAAACCTAGCTCTGTCACTTGTTAGCTGTGCTCTTTAGCATAAGTTCCTTATCCTCTCTGTGCCTGTTTTCTCATCTGTAAAAAAAAATGGGTGATAATAATAGTTATCTTCTGGAGCTGTTGTGAGGACTAAATGAAAGTATGCTTCTGGCCAGGCACGGTGGCTCACACCTATAATCCCAGCACCCTGGGAGGTTAAAGCAGGAGGATAGCTTGAGGTCAAGAATTTGAGACCAGCCTGGTAAACATACCAAGACTCTGTCTCTTAAAAATTTTTTTTTTAATTAGCCAGACACTGTGGCACACACCTGCAGTCCCAGCTACTTGGGAGACTGAGGCAGGAGAATCACTTGAGCCCTGGAGTTCAAGGCTGCAGTGAGCTATGATCCCACCACTGTACTCCAGCCCTGGACCACAGAGTGAGACCTTGTCTGAAAAAAGGCAGGGCAGAGCTGGGCAAGACAGGGTGAAAGAAAGAAAGAAGGAAGGAAAGAAAAAAAAGAAAGAAAAGGAAAGAAAGAAGGAAGGAAGGAAGGAAGAAAGAAAGAAAGAAAGAAAGAAAGAAAGAAAGAGAAAGAAAGAAAAGAAAGAAAGAAATAAAAGAAAGAAAGAAAGAAAGAAAAAGAGAGAAAGAGAGAGAGGAAGGAAAGAAGAGAAAGAGAGGGAGAGAGAGAGAAAGCGAGGGAGGGAGGAAGGAAGGAAGGAAGGAAGGAAGGAAGGAAGGAAGCTTCTGTCATCCAGTAAGCACTGAATAAATAGTAATTAATGTGTATAAGCCATTAGTCTTTTTAAAAAATAACAGTAGCTAGAACATATTCATTAAAACATTCACTATTCCAAGAACTTTTTATAGTGAACTCCTTTATTTCTCAAAACAACCCTCTGAGATAAATCCTATTATTAGCTCCAATTTACAGAAGAGGAAAATGAAACTCAGAAAGGCCAAACAACGTGCCCCAGGTCACACAGCTTGAAGTAATACAGTTGGGATTTAAACTTGGACACTCTGGCTCCAGAGTCTAAGCTCATAAACCCTACACTAAGTTGTCTCAAGAGTTCCTTTCGGCACTTTTATGTTTTTGATTTTTTTATTTTTTACTTATTTATATTTGTTTTTAGAGACAGTAACTCACTCTGTGTCTCAGGCTGAAGTGCAGTGGCACGATCATAGCTCACTACAGCCTCAACCTCCACAAGTGATTCTCCTGGCTCAGCCTCCTGAGCCAGGCACATGTCACCACACCCAGCTAACTTATATACAGACAAGGTCTTATAATTTTCTCCAGGCTGGTCTCAAACTCCTGGCTTCAAATGGTGCTCCTGCCTCAGCCTCCCAAAGTGACTTTTATGTTTTTATTTATTTATTTATTTATTTTTTGAGATGCAATCTGGTTCTGTCGCCCAGGCTGGAGGGCAGTGGTGTGATCTCGGCTCACTGCAACCTCCATCTCCTAGGTTCAAGTGATTCTCCTGCCTCAGCCTCCCGAGTAGCTGGGATTACAGGTGCGCACCACCACACCTGGCTAATTTTTGTATTTTTAGTAGAGACAGGATATCGCCATGTTGGCCAGGCTGGTCTTGAACTCGTGGCCTCAAGTCATCCACCCGCCTCAGCTTCCCAAAGTGCTGGGATTCCCAAAGTGCTCATCACACCTGGCCTTATGTTTTTAAAAACGTTTACTTTTCTACACCCTTCAGGATAAATGAAAAAATGAAACTGGCCAAAAAGACAGATCTAGCAGTTTTTCATGTGCTAAAACAGTTTTCCTCAAGGTATGCTTGTCATGGGTTACTGGTGTGCTGAGCAGGACCAGTACATAATTTATGGGGTCCAGCACGAAATGAAAATGGGGAGCCTTTGGTTCAAAAAAGTGTTAAGAATTTCAAGAGAGTGACAGACAGTAGAGCACTAAATGAAGCCAGAGACGCTTCTCAGTGTGGGACCTCGCATAACTAGTCAGGCAGAAGTCGCAGCTTCTTATGCAGAAGTAAGAATCCCCTTGGCCCTCAGGTCAGTCCAGCAGCCACGGGTGATCGAGCTCCAGGCCAGCTGCCTAAGGGCTGTGAGCAGCCTTGACCTTTCTCCCAATGCACCTTGATGTGAAAAAGGAAGGAAGCCTTGTGCTCGTGGATGAATCTGGACAGCAGGCTCTTCTCTAGTCTCCAGCACATCTGAACCAAAGCCCAGTTCTGAAAAGAAAAAGATTTATTAACCATCAAAATGTTCTGCATGTGTGGGTTGCCACAACCCTCACGGTATAGATATATATGTCCCTGTGTTTCCACCGACTCCCAGCAGACATGTGGCAGCTACATTTTGAAGCCTGGCAAATTCTCCTAGGACTCTCGCCTCCTCCTCCTCCTCCTCCTCCTCCTCCTCCTCCTCCAACCTCCACCTACTCTCCTTCATTTTCATGCCTTCCAGGAGTCCCACACAATCAGGAAACCCAAGTAGGTGACAGGAGGATGGAAAATAGGGGCTGCAGGTTCCGAGGGTTATGATGATCGAAAAACCAGAGTCCCTGAGCTTGCAAGTCTGTGAATCCCTTGGGCCACTGCATAAAGAAGCTGTGAGCTTGTGCAAGATAGTTTTATTCTCCACCTGGGTTCCTCAGGAGGCTCCTGGAACATGGAGGTGTCTTGCCCACCTGACAGTCAAAAGGACTTGGTTCTAGCAGGGAACAATGACCAGCCAGTGGCTGGTGCTGCCACTTCCCTGACATTAGCATCCCTGGTGCCTTTGCAATGCCTCTCAGAATTATTTTTGGAAATCTATTAAATCAACAAGTATTCACTGTGTGATGTACCTGAGGGCCGGGCCATAGTGTCCTACTGCCAACTGGTTTTGCACCTTTCACCAAAGTTTACCCATCTCTGCATCTCACCCAGACATTCGGCAGGGGGAAGGGTCTCCTCCGAATCCTAGGAAGGGATGTTTGGACTCCTGGGGTTTACTTCCCAAGCTGCCAGAACACACCTATCACATCACTCCTTCCTACTCTGATTACCACCCTCAACCTCACCATCATCATCTCTCCCTCCCTCCCTCCCTCCCTGCCTTCCTTCCTTCCTTCTTTCCTTCCTTCCTTTCTCTCTCTCTTTCTTTCTTTTCCTGCTTTCTTTCTTTCTTTTCCTTCTTTCTTTCTTTCTTTTTCCTTTTTTTCTTTTCTTCTTTCTTTCTTTTCTTTCTTTCTTCTCTTTCTTTATCTCTTTCTTTGTCTCTCTTTCTTTCTTTCTTTTTCTCTCTCTTCCTTTCTCTCTCTCTCTCTCATTCTCTCTTTCTTTCTTCTTTTAACAGTCTTACCCTGTTGCTGAGGCTGGGATGCAGTGGCATGATCTTGGCTCACTGTAACTTTCACCTCTTCCCAGGTTCAAGCAATTCCCCTGCCTCAGTCTCCCAAGTAGCTGGGATTACAGGCATCCACTACAATGCCCAGCTAATTTTTGTGTTTTTAGTAGAGATGGGATATCTCCAGGTTGGCCTGACTGGTCTTGAACTCCTGACCTCAAGTGATCTGCCTGCCTTGGCCTCCCAAAATGCTGGAGTTACAGGTGTGAGCCACTGTGCCCGGCCCATCATCTTAATTAATAACACTTATTGAGCATGTACTATGTGCCAGGCAGCATGCCAGGCACTTCACAGATATTGTCTCATTTAATGCTACAGCAAATTAGTGAGCCCGTATTATTATTATCCCTATTTCACAGAGGAGGAAGCTGAGGTTCAGAGAGTGTAAGCAAGTTGTCCAAGATAACACACCCTGGAAGCCAGGCTATCGCCATCACTTTAACATCCCTGCTTTGGGGGACTCTCAGGAACCGTCTGGACTTTATCCATCATGCAGGGCACCAAGAGCAAGCACAGCTCTCCTTTCTCACCTCCTCTTCCAATCCCTGGCAGCAGCCCTCCCCATTGTCGGAGCTATGCCATCCCCTGAAACATGCCCCCACGCCTTCCCAGGGCAGCACCCTCACTGAGGACCAGGCTTGGCCTGTCCTTCAAGCCCCACCCCAAATGTCCGGCACACTGAGAGCATTCTCTGCCTGCTCTAAAGTGGACTCTGTGAGTCTGTGTTCTCTCTCCTCAGTGAGACAAAGCTCCTGCGGGAAGGACATGGCCTGCTTTTCTGTGTCCCCCACAGAGCCAGCATGGCGTGGGCACCATGTTGCTTACTGGGGCATCAACTGATTGATTCATCTGTGGCTTCCCGGTGCTCTGGGCACCTTCCCAGTCCTCCTCACAGCAGCCCCAGTTGAGACACCCCCAGACTCCACTGCACTCCCCAAAGACCTCAGGGCCTCTGACCAGACCCAGGCTGACCCAGGCTGTCCCTTCCCCACCCTTGGCTCCTGGAAGTGAGTGACACGGTTTGGCCCAGTTAATCTGGCTTCCCCCAAGTTCCTGACACAGTGGCCCCATGTGGAGTGGAAACAAACAGACCTGGTGGAAATTCCAAACTAACAGCATATTTCAAAAAGACCTTTGTTCAAATTCCAGCCTTGCTGCTTGGCTGGGTCACCCTTAAATAACTTCCACGAGTGTTAGTGTCCTCGCCAGTGAAATATGGATTAGAATGCACAGCGAATCACATAGCAGGGAGAAAATCTAATATAATACCTAGGACAGAGGCATCATGACACCAGTTTCCTACATAGGGAACTCCTGTGAATAAAAGGGTCCCATGAGTGACCCTCCAGGCTACATAGTAACTGTCATCATCATTATTGCCCACACATCCCATGTCTCAGGGGCATGCTAGGTGCTTTATATTATCTCATATAATAGGTCATTCCGATTTTCCAATTGAGGAAACTGAAGCTTAGAGATGTTGAGAAATTCAAACAAGGTTACATGGGTAAGAAGGTGTAGAAGCAAGCCGGACTTGGTGGCTCCCACCTGTAATCCCAGCACTTTGGGAGGCCAAAACGGGCGGATCACTTAAGGTCAGGAGTTTGAGAACAGCCTGGCCAACATGGTGAAACCCCATCTCTACTAAAAAATACAAAATTAGCCAGGTGTGGTGGTGCATAACTGTAATCCTAGCTACTCAGGAGGCTGAGGCACGAGAATTGCTTGAGCCCAGAAGGCAGAGGTTGCAGAGAGCTGAATCAAGCCACTGCCTCCAGCTTGGGTGACAGAGGGAGATTCTGTCTCAAAAAAAAAAAAGAAAAAGAAAGAAAGAAAGAAAGAAAGAAAGAAAGAAAGAAAGAAAGAAAGAAAGAAAGAAAGAAAGAAAGAAAGACAGACAGAAAGAAAGAAAAGAAAAGAAAGAAAGAAAGAAAGAAAGAAAGAAAGAAAGAAAGAAAGAAAGAAAGAAAGAAAGAAAGAAAAGAAAGAAAAGAAAAAAGAAATGCTGAACCTCGGGTCCCACCCCAGACCTGCTGAATCAGATCCTCTTGAGTTATGGCCCAGGAATCTGAAGCCAACCTCCCTCTGACCCCCACTCCTAGGGATTCTGCACCCCCTGAAGCTTCAGAAGTGCTTCCTTGAAGATGGGGTGATGAGAGGTGAGAATTCCAGCCTCTGGGCCTGTGCACTTGCTGGTCACTCAGCCCAGATGCTCTCCCGCTCATCTTAATGTGGCTGCTCATGCTTGGCATTTGGTCTCAGCCCAGATGCCCCTTCTCTGAGAGGCTTCCCTGACCTCCCACTGTGACAGGCTATCCTGCCTCCTTGTTTATTTCCTTCATATGATCCTTCTCCATCTCTCCCATATTCACAAAGGCAGGAGCTTTGTCCCTCAGCATCCCTAGAGCTGGGTATGGTGCTTAACACGTAGGAGGCACTCAGTATATCCTTTTGTATTTTTTTTTTCATTTTTCTTGAGATGGAGTCTCACTCTGTCACCCAGGCTGGAGTGCAGTGGCACTATCTCAGCTCACTGCAACCTCCATCTCCCAGGTTCAAGCCATTCTCCTGCCTCAGCCTCCCAGGTAGCTGGGACTACAGGCATGTGCCACCACACCTGGCTAATTTTTGTATTTTTAGTAGAGATGGGGTTTCACCATGCTGGCCAGGCTGGTCTCAAAGTCCTGACCTCAGGTGATTCTCCCACCTTGGCCTCACAAAGTGCTGAGATTACAGGCATGAATTACCGCACCCGGCCTGTATATCCTTTTTCGAATGAATGAATGAAAAAACAGCAGCTTCTTGCCTAGTGCCCAGACCCTGGGGTCTCACTTCCAGCCAAAACAAGCTACTAGGCTCACCACCCTCTGGTCATACTATGGCACCTCCCAGCGATAGTGGCTCAAGGATAATAAATGTCCTTGTGATTACAGTTCAACAGGACACCTCCTGTTGCAGGTGGGGTCACATGTTACCAAGTAGTTTTGGGCATATTCTGGGTGCTCTAACCAGAGGAAGGGCAGCTGTTAATGCTGTTCCTTGAAGCATGGATTATCTGTGCTACCTACCTCAGGTTGAAGGGGTTGGGGGCTAACTAGTCCCTTCCTTCTACCAGGCAGGCAACCCCACCAGTAGGAGGCTCCCTGGCTGCAGGTAGCATCTACCAAGGCTGCTATGTGGCATCCGGACAAGGCATTAAATAAGATCTCACCACATGGTGAGAAAGCTATTTCCTTTTCAATTCATGGTATCTGGCTGGAATTTAATAAAATCATTTTGTTTTCATTGTGTTTATTTTTACAGTGGCCTTCTATTTACAGCCAGAGATACTCACTTTCCATTTACAGTTGGGTTATAAAGTTTCCTTTGAAAATAAATTTAAGTTAAAAAAGAAACCGGGTTGATTTAAAGAGTGTCAACCTAAATGACAGAGAGGAAAATGCTTCAAAAGAAAATGACGTTTATTAGGGAATAGGCATTGCAATGGGAATACAGGTGCCATAGTGAACTATGCGCATATTTAGGCAGGGAGGTAAAGGAAGACAAAGGTTTTTAAAGGAAAAATCAGGGGGATTGTGTAATTGTTTTGAGATAGTTATCCTTGGCTACAAGGATGAATAACAAGGGTGGTGCCAGTTCGAGGTTGGACAGGCAGTTGCTGGGAAGATGTCCTCGTAAAAGTATTTTTTGTGTGTGTAAGGTTGCAATGGTCTTTGTGCAAAGTTATGGTTTTTGCAAGAGAAGAGGTCTTGCTTTGTCTCCCAGGCTGGAGTGCAGTGGTGTGATCATGGCTTACTGCAGACTTGACCTCCTGGCCTCAATCAACAACAGGGACAATAGGCATGTGCCATGCCTGGCTTTTATTTATTTATTTATTTATTTAATTTATTTATTTATTTTCATAGAGATAGAGTCTTGCTGTGTTGCCCAGGCTGGTCTTGTACTCTTGGCCTCAAGCAATCCTTCTGCCTCAGCCTCCCAGAATTCTGGGATTACAGGCATGAACCACCATGCCCAGACTTGTCAGGGTTATTTTTGTTTGTTTGTTTTGTTTTTAAAGAGAGTCTCACTCTGTTGCCCAGGCTGGAGTGCAGTGGCACAATCTCTGCTCACTACAACCTCCGCCTCATGGGTTCAAGCGATTCTCCTGCCTCAGCCTCCCAAGGAGCTGGGACTACAGGTGCACACCACCATGCCCCGCTAATTTTTGCATTTTTAGTAGAGATGGGGTTTCACCATGTTGGCCAGGCTGGTCTCGAACTCCTAACCAAGTGATCTGCCTGCCTTGACCTCCCAAAGTGCTGGGATTGTTAGGGTTTTTAACACAAGTGACTCCATTTTTATTCTGACAACTTTCACAAGAGAAATGTAACATAAATGTTAAAGCATGTGACATAAATATATGGAGAAAAGCATAAAAACTGGGGAATGCGTGATCTGCTGTGCTCATTATGGTATAGGTCCACAGTCTCATACTCAGATGCGTTTCAGAAATTCAAATGTTTAGGATTTTACAAAGGCATGAGGGTTCATTTACCACAGATAACTTAACACCCCCGGGCAGCACCCTGCAGTCAGATGCATTCATTGCTCTGCAGCAAAACTTAGAAATAATCATAACAAGTGAAATAAATAAAGACCATGAATACTTTCCCAAGTCAGCTCAGGTCAGATTTTGCTCCCAAATAAGTCCATGTGATGACCTCACAGTTTGCTGCTGTATAAAATCCAAGGAACTTTTATTTTTTTCAGAGCTTTTTGGATTTCAGGAGCTTGGATAAGGGATTGTGGACCTTAGAAATAATGCTAATACTAATATACCAATACTATATTATTAATACAGTATTAGGACTAATACTAATCCTAGCTGAAAGTTAATGAGTATTTCACTGTGTTCTGTGCTTCACTTTCCTTGTTTTCAGTTACCTATGGTCAACTAAGTTTCGAAAATATTAAATGGAAAATTCCAGAAAGAAACAATTCATACGTTTTTCTTATTTTATTTTATTTTTTAGGGATGCAGTCTTGCTCTGTAGTCCAGGCTGGAACGCAGTGGCATGATCACGTCTCACTGCAGTCTCAACCCTTTAGACACAAGCAATCCTCCTGCCTCAGCCTCCCGATTAGCTGGGACCACAGGCATGCAACACTATGCCTAATAATTTTTTTTTTCATTTTGGGTAGAGAAAGGGTCTCACTATGTTGCCCAGGTTGGTCTCAAACTCCTGGCCTTGAATGGTCCTCTCACCTGAGCCTCCCAAAGCACTGAGATTACAGGTGTGAGCCAATGCACCTGGCCTAATTCATAAGTTTTAAACTGCACACTGTTCTGAGTAGTGTGATGAAATCTTGCACCATCCCACCCAGGATGTGAATCCTCCCTTGTCCCAAGTATCCACACTGTAGATGCTAACCACCTGTTAGTCACTTAACCGTTGGCTTGGTTATCAGGCCAGGCACAGTGGCTCACGCCTTTGTGTAATCCCAGCACTTTGGGAGGCTGAGGCGGGAGGATCACTTGAGGCCAAAATGGTGAAACCCTGTCTCTACTAAAAATACAAAAATTAACAGGGTATGGTGGCATGTGCCTGTAATCCCAGCTCCTCAGGAGGCTGAGGCAGGAGAATTGCTTGAACCTCAGAGGTTGCAATGAGCCGAGATCTCACCACTGCACTCCCGCCTGGGCAATGGAGTGAGACTCTGGCTCAAAAATAAATAAATAAATAAATAAAAATAAAAGAAATAGAAATAAAGAGTTGTCTCGGTTATCAGATGGATTGTGTTAGTATTACAGTGCTTGTGTTTAAGTAACCCTAGTTTTACTTAATAGCATCCCCAAAGCACAAGAGTAGTTATGCTTGCCATTCCAATACGCCAAAGAGAAGCTGTCAAGCGCTTCCTTTAAGTGAAAAGGTGAAAGTTCTTGACTTACAAAAGAAAAGAAAATCATCTATTGAGGTTGCTAAGATCTAGGGAAGGAATCTCCTATCCATGAAATTGTGAAAAGTAAATTCAGGCAAGTTTTGCTGTCACATCTCAAACTGCAAGAGTTATGGCCACAGTGAGTGATAACTTTCATGATGATATACTGCTATAATTGTGCTGTTTTATTAATTACTGTTGTTACTCTCTTACTGTGTAGAATTGATAAATTAAACATTATCATAGGTAGGTACGTAGAGGAAAAATCAGTATAAATAGGTTTTTGTACTATTCGCAGTTTCAGACATCCACTGGGGGTCTTGGAATGTATCCCGTGTGGATGAGAAGGGACTGCTGTATACCCGTGTACCAGATGAGGAAACTGAGGCCTCAAGCAGTTAAGTCACTTGCCAAAGTTATACAGCTAATTCAATGGGGGAACCTGAATTGGAAACCAGACAGGCGGGAGGAGGAGAGCAGGGAAGAGCCTGGAACTCAGACATAGCCACCCTCACCCCCACCCTGTGCCCCGCTGATGACTCTCACTCTCCCATTTGGATTGAAATGCTCACGTCAGCATCACTCCTTCGTTAGGTGAGGAAGGAGCACCGTCTCCAGATGCCCCGGGAGAACACCGCCCAGCCAGTGCCTGTGAATGACTCTATCAGGTCATTAGCGCCTCAAAGGAACCCCGGCCACCCTTGGGGACCTGCCACAAGCTGCCAAGAGAAGCTGGATGCTTCACAGCCACAGTTTCTCTTAGTCTTCTCCTCTGCCCCCTCCCCACTAAACACACTCTTTTTTCTCTTTAGTTGCCATTTTTATTGAACATACAAATCTCGTGCCAGGCAGTGCTTAGCTAAACATTTTCTTATGCATTAGCTCTGTTTTTAGAAGACTTTTACATTTGTAAAATACAAGAAAATGGAGCCAAAAAGAAAAAAAAAGTAAAACTCCCTCCTAAAGCACTTTTAAGAGGAGAGTGTAAGAAGCAAAAGTTTTTCCCCTTCTGCTTCTCAAATTCTACCCCCTCCCCAACCCACAGAGGTTCCTTAAAGTAACTTTCTCAGTCATTCCGTGTGCATATTGAGACATATCTATATTCATGTCTTTATCTGTGATTATGTCTATAATCTAAATCAATATCTACCTATTTTGCTATCAAGCCACAAAATACCTCTATACAGTTGCTCAGGTAGTGCACTGCTCAACTCCCAGGGCCACTATTCACATAACCAGCCTTGCAATCCACTCACATATATTTTTCGCCTTACAAAAATGAGATGAAGGCCAGGTGTGGCAGCTCACACCTGTAATCCTAGCACTTTGGGAGGTTGAGGTGGGAGGATTACTTGTGCTCAGGAATATGAGACCAGCCTGGGTAACATGGCAAGAGCCTGTCTCTACAAAAAACTTTTTAAACTAGCTGTGCATACTGGCAAATGCCTGTAGTCCCAGCTACTCAGGAAGCTGAGCTGGGAGGATCAGTTGAGCCTGGGAGGTTGAGGCTGCAGTGAGCCATAATTGAGCCACTACATTCAGCCTGGGCCACAGAGCAGGACTCAAAAAAAAAAAAAAAAAAAAAGAGAGAGAGAGAAAGAGAGAGATGAGGCCTTCCATATGGACATCTTTCTGGGTCATCAGATGGTCAGAACTTCCTCATTCTTTATGATTGCTGCCTATACTAGACCCTAGCATGGATGTATCTTAGTGAATCTAATCCTTCCCCTAATAAAGATTATCTAAGATGTTCCCAAGCTTTTTGATTTTTACAATGGCCTTTTAATACTCATAGCAGTCTTTTGAGGATAGCAGCATTACACCTATTTTAAACAAAGAAAACTGAAGCTCAGAGTGGTTGAATAACTAGCTCAAGGATGCAGTTACTAGGGGGTAGTACCAGGATGCAATCCCAGGTCGGTTTGACTTCATGTTGATATAAAGCAGTTGATACTGAGGTTGGATCACAGCAACGCTCAGTAAGTCAAGATCATCATTCCCACAGGTTGATACTAATAAATATAATAGACAAATGGAGTCATTACCTTTGCCTGGAAGGGCAGAGGGAAGAAGAATAAAACTTACTTAGCACTCAGAATGTGTCCAGCACCTTACCAGATGTCCTTCTTTTTGAGGCAGAGTGTCACTGTGGCCCAGGATGGAGGGCAGTGGAGTGATCTCAGCTCACTGCAACCTCCACCTCCCAGGTTCAAGCGATTCTTCTGCCTCAGTCTCCCGATGAGCTGGGATTACAGGTGCACACCACCACACCAGGCTAATTTGTTTATTTTTAGTTGAGATGGGGTTTCACCATGTTGACCAGGCTGGTCTCGAATTCCTGACCTCAGGAACTCCTGATCTGCCTGCCTCGGCCTCCTAAAGTGTTGGGATTACAGACGTGAGACAATGTACCCAGCCACTAGATTTCTTATATACATTTTTTATTGAATTCTCAAAGAGCCAGACAACAATAAAGCCTGTTAGAAAGACACTGCCATCCCTGTGTATAAAAAGCTGAAGTTCAATAAAGGTAAAGGTCCCAATGTCACACAGCAAGTGGTGGATCTGGGATTTGAACCCGCATCTGCCTTGCTTGTATTTCTAGTGGATACAGAATTCAGCCCACAAACCCAGGTGTGTGTGAATATAACTATTTTTCTGCAAGTGAACTTCATTTCTTAATTTCCTTGCTAAATCTGCCTCTTGCCTAGTTTTTCCACCTCATCTCCTAGTACCACTACTTACCCCAGCCATACACAGGCAAAAAGCATAGACATCACTGGTGCCTGTTTCCCCCACTCCCCAGACCCAACACACCAAGTCTCATTGGCTCTGCCTTCAAAAATATCATCGTAGCCAAAGGCAACAGCTTCTCCCACTTCCCCAGCTGCCAGTTTAGCTCAAATCACCATTGCCCCCACCCCAGATCATTCTCCATCTGGCAGCCTGAGGGACCATTTACAAAATGCATATCCTATCATATCACTCTCCTGCTTAATCCCTGAAAGCCCCATTGCCCTTGGAATAAATGCTCCTCAGTGGCCCATGTGCTCTCCCTCCTGTGGTCTCAGCCTTCTCTCAGCTTTTCTCTCCTTCTCCCTCTACTCTGCTGTTCCCTACTGGGTCTCTTCTGTTCCTCCATGCCCCAGCTTATGCTACTACAAGGCCAGCCCTTCCTCTTCCCTCTGCCTGCACTGCTTGCCCTGATTTGCAAGGGGGCTGTTTCTTTCCGCTTTCAACTCTCAGGCCACACAGCTCTCTCAAAGACCTCCTCCCTGCCTCATCACCCTGGGTCACTCTGAGCCCCTTATGTTGAGGGTCTTTTTAGCTCTGATTGCTGTTGGAAGTCATTTGTTCCATTGTCCTCCCCATCCCCTTTGAAGAACCAAGAGTGCTCTATGTCATGCCTGCGGAGCCACAGTGCCTGTAGAGATGCCAGGCACAGGGCAGATATTTACTGAGTGAAATGAATGAATGAATTTATGTTATGAGTTCTGTGTCTACTGGGGGAAGAGGGCAGGAATTTAATATCAGCCAATTCTTTAATCTTAGCCAATTCCTTCCCTTGAGGGGTGTCTAAATTCTGGGGGACAGCAGAGGTGGGTACATGTGGTCTGGATCATTGATCCATGACAGCATCTGCTGAGATGTTCTCATTCCCTGGGACAAAAGAAACATCATCAGGTACATGGGAACAAGGGTTAGGGGGACGTCAGTTAACATTCAGCAGAGTCACCCACCACCAACCTTTAGCCCACTCTATTCTCCCACACTCCTGAGATCAGAAACACTCGGGACCCTGGGAGCTCCCTTTCCCAAGTCCTAGGAGCCAGACCCCAGTGCTGGCGTACATCAGCTGGAATGCATTGCTGAGCGCAAGCCCCGCCAACCCCAGCGAGCTCTGCGGCTGGGAGAAGGTGCCCAGTACTGTTATGCAGCACGGGCTGGTGATTCACAGTTTATGAGCCGCCTCATACCCATCACTTTGATGCTCACAACAAGCCCGACAGGTAGGAAAAGTAGAGTTTATGAGCTTCTTTTCACAACTGTGGAAACCAAGATCACAAATGGTAATAATGTGAGTTGCTCAGGTTTGCAGAGCAGGCATGGAGGCAAAGCTGGGACTGGGAGACTATTACATGGTTAGAGCTTAATAAATGGTAGGTGCTGCTGTTCCAAACAGGTGAGGACTCTCAGTTTGTGAGGACTCTCAGTTGCAAAGTACAGAAATCCATTTCAAATAAGCGTAAGCAGCCACATAAGCTATTGGCTGATGGAACTGAAATACCCAAGGTTTACCTGTTTCAAGCATGGCTGGAGCCAGGGACTCAAATGATATTAGCAAGATTCAGATGGTCAACACCTCTCAGCTCTATTCTGAAATCTCTGCCTTGATTTCACCCTCAAGCTTGCTGTCTCCAACGTGGGGGGGTTGGGGGCTTGGCAACTGTAGCCCCAGCCCACTAGCTTAGCCACTCAATGGAAAATAACATTTTTCTTTTTTGTTTTTTCTTTTTTCTTTTTTTTTTTTTTGAGATGGAGTTTCGCTCTTGTTGCCCAGACTAGAGTGCAATGGCACAACCTCTGCTCACCACAACCTCCGCCTCCTAGGTTCAAGCAATTTTCCTCCCTCAGCCTCCCGAGTAGCTGGGATTACAGGCATGCGCCAGTAGGCCCGGCTCATTTTGTATTTTTAGTAGAGACAGGGTTTCTCCATGTTGGTCAGGATGGTCTCGAATTCCCGACCTCAGGTGATCCGCCCGCCTCGGCCTCCCAAAGTGCTGGGATTACAGGCATGAGCCACCACACCCGGCCAAAATTTTTCTTTCTCAACATTTCTAACCAATGTTCCAAGACTATCTTCACTGGACAAACTTGGTCACTTGCCCTCCCCTGAACCAATCACGCCAATCAAGGTGGTGAGACATGTTGATTGGCCAGATCTGGGTCATGTGCTCACCCTCTTAGCCAACCACTGTAGCCAGGAGAATTTAGAATTCTGATTGGCCAGGACTGAATCACATGCCCACTTCTGAAACTGACAATGGAGTCACCCTATGCTCACCTCACTCTCTGCACAGGCTGAAGAGGGAGAGAAGGCATTCCCTACAGTGGAATGAAGGTAGCCTTACCAGTGGAAGGGAGAATGGAAGCTCCTCTGGCAGCTAGAACAGATGTTCCCTCCAGATGCCTGGTACAGACCAGTAACCTTAGCCCCTTGACCAGAGAAACACGCCATGATCTCGCTCCCCTGCCACCTGATCCTGAACCAGTCTAGCTAATGACGCTAACTGGAGGCTCCAGGCTCGAGGCTCAGGCCAGAAACAGAGGCTGGCCTCTCCCTGCTAATGGCAGCAGGTGATGGGGATGAAGGAGGTGGCGGTAAATGTGATGGTAGCCTGGCTTCCTCCTCATGCAGAGAGGTGGAGTCCTAAGTCTCTAAGGAGTGGCCAAGGCAGGGGCTCCAAACCAAAAAAAAAAAAAAAAAAAAAAAAAAAGCCATAGCAATGAGAGAAGGAAGAGGAAAAGAAGACTTGGGCTCAGAGAGGCTCTGGAATAAAAGGAGAGTCTCAGGCAGTGAAGAGATGCCAATAAACAAAGCTTAAAGGACAGTTCATCCAGGCTGGGTGCTGTGACTGATGCCTGTAATCCCAGCACTTTGGGAGGGCAAAGTGAGAGGATCACTTGAGCCCTCACTTCGAACTCCTCACCAGGAGTTCGAAAGCAGCCTGGGCAAAATAAGAACTTGTTTCTACGAATATATATATGTGTGTGTGTGTGTGTATATATATATATATATACACACACACACACACACACACATATACTATGAATATATACATATATATATATATGGGGGGGCTGAGGTTGGGGGGATCGTTTGAGCTCAGGAGTTAAAGGATGCAGTGAGCTATGATTGTACCGCTGCACTCCAGCCTCAGTGACATAGTGAGAACCTGTCTCAAAAAAAACAAAAACAAAACAAAACAAAACAAAAAAAACAGGCCGGGTGCAGTGGCTCATGCCTGTAATCCCAATGCTTTGGGGGGCTGAGACAGGAGGATCGCTTGAGGCCAAGAGTTCAAGGCCAGCCTGGGCAACATAGTGAGACCACATCTCTACAAAAAATGAAAACAGTAATGGAGCATAGTGGTGAGCAACTGTAGTCCCAGCTACATGGGAGGCTGAGGCAGGAAAATCACTTGAGCCCAGGAGTTTGAGGCTGCAGTGAGCTATGATCATGCCACTGCACTCCTGAGTGTCACAGAAAGACCTTGTCTCAGACAACAAACAAAGTAAAAACAATTCAGACATGAAGGAAATACGCAGTACTCATCCCATACATTCATTTGTCCACTTGTTTATTTAACAACCTACTATGTGCCAGGTCCTGGGAAGACAGTGGTGAGCAAGACAGAGATGCTCTTGGGATTTACAATAGAGAGGAATAAACAGACACATCATTAAACTCATAATTAATCCTTTGTAATATGTGCCTGAAAGAGAAGCACAGGGTGTGGTGCTGTGAGGGCAGATTATTGGATGGCATCAGCCTGGGGACATATTTTTGGTAAGATCTGAAGCCCAGATAGAAATTACTCAAATGCAGGATGGAGAGGGAGAAATAATTGAGGCTGAGGGTGCTCGTGCAAAGGCCCTGAGGCAGGAAAGATAAAACAAAGCCTGTGCAGCAGAAATTTGGTGAGAAAGATCTGGAGAGGGGCTGGGGCCACATCACAGAGGATCTCGTAGGCCAGGTTAAGGACTTTTGTCACCATCCAACAAGAAGTTGCCCAAGATACCTGCAGACATATACAAAGGACAGTCTGATGTTCAGGGCACAGTTATAAAGCACCTACTGTGTATCAGATTGGGTGCAGGATATTTGGGATTCAGTGGTGCTTATAGTCTAGGAAATAAGAAGTCAGAAAATAAACTAGGCAATAAATATAAACAAGATATTTCGCATACTCACGGATCATCGTAAGCTTAGCAAAGAAAGTGACTGGAGATGTTCAAGTGAGGTGAGGACCTGACGGCCCCGTGAAGGGCTGGGAGAAAGTGGTCCAGGCAGAAAGAGCATCAGCTGCAAAGGCCTGGCAGCCATAAGACATGTACTCACCAGTGCACCCACACAGAGTCACATCCACAGGCGGGCATCGTGTGCCCATTTACATTCCTTGCTCTTCCAAAATGCGTCTGCGTCCACCTCTGATAACCTGGGATGCCCTCCACTCTCACCCCGACTTCATCACATACACACATACACCCTTTCGTAGGCTCACCCCACTCAGAGACAGCCCCCGCCACACCCCCATCATATGGCAACTAGCAAAGATCCTAAGGGCTGAGTGGGCAGGGAGAATGGGGATCTGGGGGAGGAGACACCGCCCTGTTTCCCTTCTTCACCCAAGAAGCCTGGGGGCAGCTCAGATTCGAGCAGGGGTGGGGGAACCACCAGGATGTCCATGCAAGTTGGAGGGAGGCGTCCAGGTCTTTACCTTGCAGAACTAAATCCCAGTGTGGTGTTTGCTCAAAACGCCAGAACTATTCCTGGATGTCAGGTGCAGTTAATGGTTGCCGTGGCAACCACCCATGCTTAATGAATAGAAGAGAGTAAAAGATGCCCCGGATAAATGTCAGGGCCCGGGATGGATTTGCTTGGGAGCAAATCTGTTAGTGCTGGGCAGAGCTGACCAGCGAAGGTTGAAATAAGCAGTCCAGGGTAGCTGGAGACAGATCCAGGAGGCTCTCTTCTCTTTCTCAGCTTAACATAGTCAGAATGCTAACGTTTCACAAAATGTCAAAAAGTGTGGCTCTTTATACAGACAGTTAAACATAGGCTCCAGTTTTGCAGGTTTGATTCTGCACATGTTTATGTAGTTTGCAGGGAACAGAAATCCAAGCCCAGGTCTCTCAGGAGTTGAGACGTCACTCTTTGTTTTTTTTCTTTAACTCTTCCTGCATTACCTTTTTTAATGAAGAAAGTGTCACATTAGGGTCAAAAATAATATTTTAAACTCTGAACCTCTACACATTATATTGTCATTGTGCTATTTACATGCTGCTTACAGGATTAGAAAACAACTGGTAGTGGCTGGGCCACAGTGGCTCACGCCTGTAATCCCAACACTTTGGGAGGCCAAGGCAGGTGGATTACTTGAGGTCAGGAGTTTGAGACCAGCCTGGCCAACATGGTGAAATCTGTCTCTACTAAAAAAATACAAAAATTAGCTGGGCATGATGGCATGCACCTGTAATTCCAGCTACTTGGGAGGCTGAGGCACGAGAATCTCTTGAACCACAGAGGATGGAGGTTGCAGTGAGCTGAGATTGAGCTACTGCACTCCAGCCTGGGCAACAGAGTGAGACTGTGTCTCAAAAAAAAAGAAAAAATAAAAGAAAAGAAACAACTGGTAGTGTCTGGTAATGAGACATAAGTTAAATGCCACGCAATGAGCATCCCTCACATCTGCTGGAGCATCCCAGTGACCATGTGCGTAGCTGCATTAGGGAACCATGTCAAACTCTGTTGGCCCATGAAAGTGAAGCCCAAGTCCAAGGTACAGACCAGCTCTGCACTCGCAGCTGCAGTCAAGGACTCAGGACTCACCATGGCTGTGATGCTTGCTTGTAGGGAGACCTCAGATCAGTCTCAGAAGGCCTCAATCCCAAATCTTCTAAGAGGAAATAACCCTCCCCACAAACCTTCCACATCCCCAAACCTATCTTGCCTATCCTCCAGGCAGGGTCTCAAATACTCCCTGAGGGCAAGTTTTTTGTGAGGTTATGACAATACTGTGTGTCCATCTGACGACAGAGGCTGGAGCACCTCCTGAGGTCACAGCACTGCTCTCAGCCTCTGCTATGCATCAGAATCTTGGAGAAACCTGTTCAAAAACACAGGTTCTCAAAGCCTCTAATTCAGGGCATTGTGTAGGTAGGTGCCCAGGAATGCACTTGTTGGTTTGTTTTAAGAAGAGCCCAGGTGATTCTCATGCAAGTGGACTCAATTTTTCCAGGCACCTCTGAAAGAGAGATGTCACCAGTTAAAAAGCAGCTAAGACCCAGGACACTTGTTCTCTTCAACCCTTCTCCCCAGAAGCTCCAGAAGCCTCTGTGGTCTGGAAACAGGATGAGTTCTTCATGCTTTTGAATGCCTGCCAAGGTAGGGTTAAGAAGACTTTCAGACACTCTAAACAGTGAAATGATCAGGGTGACCACCCTACCCTCACAGATCTCCAGTGTTAGTAATACTAAGCTGTTAAGTAAGGAAGATCAACACACATCTGGTTTTTTTCCATTGCATTTCAATGGTTTTTGTAAACATCAAATATCAAATAATTTATAGTTGTCATTCTCTCTGTCTCTCTCTCTCTCTGTACCCCTGCTTTGCTGGTACCCCAAACACATGACTATTCTACCTAATTGGTGACTCCTACAGCAGTGCCTACAAAGTTTCAAGGTACTGTGTTGGTGAACATGCCCTGTGGTCTAGGCTAGGAAGGGCTGGGCTCTTGGCTCTGAGGTCCAGGACTAACCAGAATCAAAACCCTCAATAACCAAATAATGAAGGACCAAGGAAAACAGTTCACTCTAAACCTCCCAAACACATTCAATGGGCCGATCAAGCAAAGAGCTCAAAACCAGGCTCTTTAGAAATGAAGCAAGCCTATTCATCATGTGCAGAAATGGACAGGTAGCAAGGACTGTCATTCCTCATTAAATTTCCCATACTCTGTTTTAAGGCAGTACCCTCTCTCGAAGAGGCATACCTCTGTGGACTCTGGCTTGATCACTGTTCCACCCCCATCACCAGTGGCTTCTCCAAAAGGCCCAAGGTCACTTTCAATGATTCCTCTAAGATGCACTTTCATTCCTGCTCCTCCACAAGTTCCTAGCATGCAAAGAGATTTCTTACACTGTAAATCAGATTGTGTTTCTCATGTGCTGAAAACCCTCCAAAGCCTGGACCATACATGCTCCTTTTCAGTTCTGGACCCTGGCCTGTAAGAAGCTCGGTGATGTGTGCCTGCTCCTTCATGGGCCTGATCTCATCCCACTTTCCCCCTCACTCATTCTGCTCCAGTTGCCCTGAGCTTGTCTTGGTTCTAGAAACACACTAAAGTGCCATACTTCCCCAAGGCCTTGGCACTTGCAGTTTCCTCTGCCTGGAAGGCTCTTCCCTCAAATCTTCCCATGGGTGGCTTCCTCTTGTCACTCAGGTTGACTGCTCAGATAGGCCCTTTCTGTCCACCCAATCTCACGACTGTCCTCCCCCACCCCAATCACATTCTCTCCAGGGTTTATTATTTTCATGGAACTTACCACTGAAATTATCTTTTCCTTTTTAGTGATGCATTTGTTTCATTTATTTCTTTGTTTACGCTAGATCTCTCTCTGGTAGAATATAACAGCCTGGTCTATTTTGTTCACTGATAAATTTCAAGTGCTGGAAACAGTGCTTAACACAAGCAACCTAGGTGCCTCTCCAGATATCTATTGAACAAAAGAATGAATCAGGGACCGGGTGCAATGGCTCATGCCTATAATTGCAGCATTTTGGGAGGCTAAGGTGGCAGACCAATTGAGGCCAGAAGTTTGAGACCAACTGGACAACATAGTGAGACTCCATCTCTACAAAAGTAAAATAAAAAGATTAGCCAAGGGCGATGACATGCACCTGCAGCTCCAGCTACTTGGTAGGCTGCAGTGGGAGGATCACCTGAGCCTGGGAGATTGGAGCTGCAGTGAGCCATGATTGTGCCACTGCCCTTCAGCCTGGGCAACAGAGCAAGACCCTGTCTCAAAAAAAAAAAAAAAGAATGAGAAAAGAATAAATCAGGATGTGCATCAACCACAGTTCTTTACACCAGAAGAAAATGTTTATTTCTCAGTAACTGACTCGTTGTTCTCTTATTAGAAGCGGTAATTTGTAATTGCTATACCCTAAGTGCTTCATCTTGATCAGGGGCCAAGCTCAGCTCAGGGTCCTTGTTACTATGAATTCATTATCCAAATCCCTGTGTGCGCAAGGTTGCACGGACAGGCAAGTAAACTCTGTCTTAATATGAATATGTGCATTCATGACCGGACCAGTTATAAAATCATTCCCTACACAGGCACCCCCTCCCTACTCCACTCCACACCCCTGCCCCATTTAACACTCTGCAATTCGCGGTTTTTGTCTGACAGCCTGGTTCTGATTGCCAGCTCTTGTCAACACGTGACAAAACAACGAAAATAGGAGGCAAAACGTGATGTGTTAACCACGGGTAGACAAGAGCCTGCTGGAGGGACACAAGCTAACAATGGAAGAAGAGAAAATTGACAAGAATGATGATGTGATAGACACATCCAATGATTTGAATATCAAAGGATTAACAGGAGCCCTTAGGAAAACTGATGACAGGCTCAAATATTGCTTGCAAAAATGACCCATTTTATGATCCTGCTGTGAAAGTCAAACTTTATGATCTTGTCAGGGAAGGGAAAGATTTCATACTGGACTACCACGCAATTTTATCAGAAAAATTATGCATGCCCCAACCCTGCCACTCCGAAATCAACAAAGCTTACTTTTTTTGTTTACCCTAGTACATAGTTAAAGAAGATCAGAAAAAAATCAGCATGTTTTCCTGAATTATAATTTCATTTTCAGATAAAGTTGGAAGCATGTTTTCGGACTTGATTGTTTACTATGAATAGGAGGCCCTGGGTTTTTTTTCTTTTATTTTATTCTCTTAAAAAAATTTTCAAAGTGTTACAGGTCTCATTGTCACCACTGCAATACATATACTCTTATGGAAGCATAACCTGTGTTTCAATTTAGCCACTTACAATTTTCAGACACCATGATCGACAGTGCCCATTCTCATCTAGAAAGAGGCTTTAGTCCCTATTTTTGAGTGGACTCACCTGAAGGCTGTGGTCCTTGACCTTAGCTGCACAGTTAATCACCCAAGGAGCTTTGAAAAATCCACAACCTGGGCAACATAGCAAGACCCTATCTCTACAAAAAAAAATAATTTAAAAATTAGCCGGGTATGGTGGCGTGCACCTGTAATCCTAGCTACTCAGGAGGCTAAGGTAGGAGGATTTCTTGAGCCCAGTAGTTTGAGGCTGCAGTGAGCTATGATTGTGCCACTGCACTCCAGTCTGGTGACAGAGCAAGACCCTATCTCTCAAAAAGAAAGGAAGGGGAGAGGAGAGGAGAGGACAGGAGAGGAATTCAGATGCCCAGATAAAGTAAGAATCCCTGGGAGCAGAACCCCAGCCTCAGCATTTTTCAAGCTTCCCTTCCCAAAGTAATTCCAATGTGAACCAGTGTTGAGAATCACTGTTGTAAGGCATCTTTATTCTCAGATAATAAAGATCTGTTGTAACAACAGGGGCCCAAACATTCTTAATCAAGGGCTTAACCCAAGTACTCAGGAAGCATAAACACAAATGATATTTGCTCTTCCTTCCTGATATCATAAAGCAAAAATCTTCACAAAAGAGTTCTAGCAAAAGACCTACAACGCTGGACCCTAGGTTCCTGTTGGCCTCTGTTTTGAGCTCTAAGCTGGGCTTTTGGGGGCCTGGAATGTGGTTGCACTGGCTGGACTCATGCTGAGATGGATGTCAAGCTCTGGCTACAGAATTGGCCCTGTTTATGGGTTGGAGCAGGTTCCAGGCACTGTGGCTGGGCTAGGTGGGCTGGTGAGGAGTGCCAGCCCTCACTCTGAGCACATCATGACTGTCCAGAGCCTGCTCTGAAGTGATGTCTCTCTGTTAGATTCGTGGATTCACAGCCACCAAAATCTGCCCCAGGACCCTCCGTGTGGGCTGTGCAGAGGAGATGGATGTGAGAAGACCATCAAGAGGCTCTACTGATATCCTCTCCTTCCACTGGAGGGGGGACATCCTGGGGAAACCTGTCTCCACTCCCCATTTAGGATCTCCCTTCAGGACTGCAAACTTGGAAAGATTGGGCCTTGGATGATAGTCTCACTTCCCCAGGCCTCTCTGCTCTGGATCCAGTATTTCTTGACTTGAAGTCAGATCCACTAAATTCAGAGCTGTCTTTGAATGACCCAGAAAGCTCTGTCTGGCCTTTGGCCAAAATTGGCATGGCAGGTTGGTCTAGGTCTATTCCCTCCCGGGAGTGATGGTTCCTGGGGCTCCTTGCCTGGGTTAGCGCTCTGTGAGAATACACACGCATGCATGCACCCACATGCACAGGTCTGCACATGTGTACCCATGTCTGGGTGAGGGCAGGATGAAGAAGGCCATACCCTCCAATTTCCCATTGGTTTCCTCTCACCCCCATGCCCAAAATAGAGATAATGATATTAATAACTGCCCCCTGTTAACCCTCTTCCCAGTGCTTGGCACTATGTTAGTGCTATTTAGAGGATTTTGCAAGAGCTCAGGGTCTAGGGTTAGACAGACCTTGGTTTTATGACTCAGCTTCCCCTTCTATAAAAGTATTTATTGGGCCAGGCACAGTGGCTCACACCTGTAATCCCAGCGCTTTGGGAGGCTGAGGCAGGCAGATCACCTGAGGTCAGGAGTTCAAGACCAGCCTGGCCAACATGGTGAAACGCTGTCTGTACTAAAAATATAAAAATTAGCTGGGCGTGGTGGCGGGCACCTGTAATCTCAGCTACTCAGGAGGCTGAGGCATGAGAATCGCTTGAACCTGGGAGGCAGAAGTTGCAGTGAGCCAAGATCGCGCCACTGCACTCCATTCTGGATAACAGAGCAAGACTCCATCTCAAATACATACATACATACATACATACATAAAATAAAATAAACATATTTATTGAATGGACATCCACATACATACTTCCCATGTGCTAAGCATTGCTCTAATGCACTTGACGAACACTGACTTTTCTATTCCTACTGTTATTCTCAGCTTTCAAAGGAGGAAACTGAGGCACTTTTAAGTTAAGCAACTTGCAGAGCTGGGATTCAAACCCGCTCATTCTGGCTCCAAAATCCATGCTCCTCAGCTCATCCTATGACCAACAATAGTGCCTGCTTCATGGGATTGTGAGGAATACCCAAAGAGCCCTTACCCAAGGCCTGACAGAGCACATCTCAACAAACATGGATACTATGATGATTTCTTTTGAAACCCCCAACAGGCTGGGTGGTGGCTCACGCCTGTAATCTCAGACTTTGAGAGGCCAAGGCAGGCAGATCACTTGAGGCCAGGAGTTGGAGACCAGCCTAGCCAACATGGTGAAACCTTGTCTCTACTAAAAATACCAAAAAATAAAAAACAAAAAAAAAATCCGCCTGCCTCGGCCTCCCAAAGTGCTGGGATTACAGGCGTCAGCCACTGTGCCCGGCCCAATAAATACTTTTAGAAAAGGGGAAACTGAGTCATAAAACCAAGGTCTGCCTAACCCTAGGCCCTGAGCTCTTGCAATTTTGGTGGCATGCACCTGTAGTCCCAGCTACTCGGGAGGCAGAGGCAGGAGAATCGCTTGACCCTGGGAGGCGGAGGTTGCAGTGAGCCGAGATTGCACCACTGCACTCCAGCCTGGGCAGCAGAGTAACACTCTGTCTCCAAAAAAAAGAAAGAAAGAAAGAAACCCCAGCAATCTGGAGATCACTGGCATTTTTTTTTTTTTTGAGACGGAGTCTCGCTCTGTCTCCCAGGCTGGACTGTAGTGGCGTGATCTCAGCTCACTGCAAGCTCTGCCTCCCAGGTTCACGCCATTCTCCGGCCTCAGCCTCCCGAGTAGCAGGGACTATAGGCGCCCGCCACTACACCCGGCTAATTTTGTTTTTGTATTTTTAGTAAAGGCGGGGTTTCACCGTGTCAGCCAGGATGGTCTCGATATCCTGACCCTGTGATCTGCCTGCCTCAGCCTCCCAAAATGCTGGGATTACAGGCGTGAGCCACTGTGCCCAGCCAATCATTAACATTTTCTAACTGAGGAGATCAAGTCCAGGCACTGTGACTCATACCTATAATCCTAGTATAGGTATGATCCTGGGAAGAAAGAGAACAAGAGAGCTCTCTGGAGTTTCTTTTATAAGGACACTAATCCCATTCATGAGGGCCCCACCCTCGTGACCTAATTATGTCCCAGCAGGCCCCACTCCTAATACCATCATTGTAGGCATTAGGATTTTCTTTTTTGTTGTTGTTGTTGTTTTGTTTTGTTTTGTTATATAGAGTCTTCCTCTGTCACCTAAGCTGGAGTGTAGTGGTGTGATCATAGCTCACTGCAGCCTCAATCTCCCAGACGCAAGTGATCCTCCCACCTTGGCTTTCTGAGCATCTGGGACTCTAGGTGTGTGCCACCATGTCCAGTTAATTTCTAAACTTTTTGTAGAGAGGGGTCTTGCCATGTTGCTTAGGCTAGTCTTGAACTCCTGGGCTCAATAGATCCTCCTGCCTTGGCCTCCAAAAGTGCTGGGATTACAGGTGTGAGCCACCATGCCCTGCAGGCATTAGGATTTCAAGATAGGAATCTTGAGAGGACGTGAGCATTCAGTCCATTGCACAAGGCCATACAAGTAGTAACTTAGTGGCTGGCCAAGGATTCAAACTGAAAGCTTGCGTTCCTACCAGTATACCACACTACCCCTCTAGAGGTCAGATAGGCACCTGCTGAAGAAGAAGCAGCCGATTTCTCCCCCAGATTGCAACCATCTGACTTACTTGTAAAAATCCACAGACAAGCAGCCTTATACCCCTTTGTGATTGCTGGTGACCACTTCCCAGGATCAGGCTGGGGCCCACGCTGCTGAGATCTGAAAGGAAACACTCAAAATAGGGACTCTGAGCCCCTTTTCAGCTCAAGTACCTGGGAAGCACCACTTTCTCCAGAGACAGATGACAAGGGCTTTAAGAGTTAAACATACAGGCCAGGTCCATGGTGGCTCACATCTGTAATCCCAGCTCTTAGGGAGGCAGAGGCAGGAGGATAGCTTGAGCTCAAGAGTTTGAGACCTGCCTGGGCAATGTAGTGAGATCCCATTGTTAATAATAATAATAATAATAATAATTTTTAAATTAAAAAATAGTTAAAAATACAAACATCCCATTTCTAGATTCCCTCCCCATTCCTGCATGTTTGGAAGCCACCCAGAACCAAGTCAGTTCTTTCAGTTACCCCAAATCTGGTGGTCTCAAGGTTACTCCCTACCCTAAGAAAGAGTTGGGGCTGACCTTGGTCCATGTCCATGTGCAACTCAACCTCCTAGATTTTCCAGAGGTTGAGTTGCACATGGACATGGGCAACTGAAGGGACATGGAGAGCTAAAGGGACAGCTAGAAGGGCAGCTGATGGACCCAGTGATCCCTGTGCTGAAAAGACAGCTGGAAGGGCAGCTGATGGACCCAGTGATCCCTGTGCTGAAAAGACAGCTGGAAGGGCAGCTGATGGACCCAGTGAAACCACCGCAATAGGCCTTCTTTTTTCCTACTAGCCTCTCTTCTGTTCCTCAAACTCACCAAGTTCACTCTCGCCCCAGGGTCTTTGCATTTCCATTTCCTTCTACCTGGAAAGCTCTTTCCTGGACTCTTCATATAACTGGCTCCTTCTCTTTTTTCAGGTCTGAGCTCAAGTGTCCCTTCTGCAACAACCCTATCCAATGTTGCCCTCCACTTGCCCCCACCCAATGAAGAGTTGCTATCACATCATCCTGTTTTGTATCTTTCTTGGTTTTTTGTTTTTGTTTGTTTGTTTTTTGAGACAGAGTCTCGCTCTGTCACCCAGGCTGGAGTGCAGTGGCAAGATCTCGGCTCACTGCAACCTCTGCCTTCTGGGTTCAAGTTATTCTCCTGCCTCAGCCTCCCGAGTAGCTGGGATTATAGGCACGCACCATCATGCCCAGCTTATTTTTGTATTTTTTAGTAGAGACAGGGTTTTACCATGTTGGTCAGGATGGTCTCGAACCCTTGACCTCAAGTGATCTGCCTGCCTCGGCCTCCCAAAGTGCTGGGATTACAGGCATGAGCCACCATGCCCAGCCCCAGTGTTTTGTATCTTTCAAAGCTCGGTTATATTGTCTATAGTCTCTCTCCTCAGTGAGAATGCAAGTTCTGAGGATCAAGACCGTCTCTGTCTTGGGCATTAGGGAATCCCTAGGACCTAAAACCAGTCTTCACAACCCAGTTCTCACACTTACCTTCCCCGGTTCCCATCACCCCTCTCCTTTCACCTGTACCCACTGGATCTGTCCTCCAGACCGTTAATCCTCTAAACACCTTGAGCTACTTTGAGTTCCCAAATGAGTTTTTCTCTTGTTCATTCTCTCATCATCACACATGCTATTCCCTCTGCTTTGAGAAACACGCCTCCCTTCCTCTGATTAACTTCTCATTAACCTTCAGGTCTCAGCTTAGACATAATTTCACTCCACGTGCAGTTAACAAAAATTATTCTGCTGAGTTATCAGGTGAGAGAATTTTTGGTGGTGGGGAAAGCACTTTTAATCCCTCCATACTGTTTTAATTCTCTATGTACATCTATTCTTTTTAATTTAAAAGGGATTAACTGAATAAAGGGTAATGGACTGTTTCTTGTTTTCTTTGTATTATTTCTCTGTATTGAAAAAATATCATAGTAAATGTGATTTTAAAATGCCAGTACCACAATGACTTAATTATTACAGCTTTATTGTATGGCTTAATATCATGTAAGAAACCACCTCACTGAGCTCTTTCATTCATTCTACTGTGTTTTCTCAGCTAATTGCCTTCAGCTGCTTCTTCCTTTTTTTTTTTTTTCTGAGCTGGGGTCTTGCTGTCTCACTCAAGCTGGAGTGCAGTGGTGCCATCTCAGCTCACTGCAATCTACGCCTCCCAGGTTAGACAGATTCTCCTGCTTCGGCACCCTGAGTATCTGGGACTATAGGTGCCCGCCACCACGCCCAGCTAATTTTTGTATTTTTAGTAAAGACGGGGTTTCACCATGCTGGCCAGGCTGGCCTCGAACTCCAGACCTCAGGTGATCCACCGGCCTCAGCCTCCCAAAGTGCTAGAATTACAGGCGTGAGCCACTGCACCCGGCCTACTTTCAGCTACTTAAGTAGACTAATTCTATCACCTGGAAAAATTGTAATTTTACTCCATTTTTTTTCTGTTGCTTATAACTCTTAATTCTGTTTTATTCCTTCTTGTGCTAGAATTTGTCAAACCATAACAAATAATCGAGGCAATGATGGGCATTCTTATCTCAGTCCTGATTTCAGTAGGAAAATTTCAAGGGTTTGACCTTTAAGAAAAAGTGTCAGAAGTTACAGCTAGAAGGGAGGAATACATTCTAATATCCTATAACACTGTAGGGTGAATATGGTTAACAATAACTTAGTGTGGCCAGGTGTGGTGGTTCACACCTGTAATCCCAGCACTTTTGCAGGCCTAGGTGGGAAGATTGCTTGAGTCCAGCAGTTCAAGATCTGCCTGAGCAACATGGCAAGACCCCCATCTCTACAAAAAATATAAAAATTGGCTGGTTGTGGTGGTGCACACCTCTAGTCCCAGCTACATGGGAGGCTGAGGTGGGAGGATCGCTTGAACCCAGGAGTTCAAGATCGTGAACATGACGAGACCCCATCTCTACAAAAATATAAAAACTAGCCTAGGTGTGGCAGTGCATACCTGTAGTTCCAGCTATAGGAGGCTGAGGTAGGAGGATCACTTGAGCCCAAAACGTCGAGGCTTCAGTGAGCCATAAGCATGACACTGCTCTCCAGACTGGGCAACAGAGCGAGACCCCGTCTCAAAATAAATAAATAAAATAATTTAGTGTACCTTTTCCAAAAGCTAAAAGAGATAGATTTGCCAATTACCTTGATTTGATCATTATTCGTTATATACGTGTATCAAAGTATCACTCTGTATCCCATAAATATGTACGATTGTTACATGTCAACTAAAAAGGAACAGAAAAAGAAAAAAAGAGTATCCGCTTAAGGACAGCACCCCTCCTCATGTGAAGGAAGTACTTTTCCATTGTCTGAACCAGAGACGAACTATTAGTACAATCTTCTCTCCCCAGGATGAAGCTGTGGCCACCAAAAAGCCAGTCTCTACAACTGCACTTCAACACCTCCGGAAATCTCTTTTGGCTCTGTCTTTCTCTCCAAACCTCTTCCCGGGGTCCTGGGGTCTATGAATTCTCAGGGCCCGGCTCTCACACATGCCCTTCGCTGGGCTCCTGTCCTCCGTCACCTGGGCTCCTGTCCTCCCTCACCTGTAACCACCGGATCCGTCACCCAGACCAAACGCCATTGATCTTTTTCCTGCTTTAGCTTCTACCTCTCTCTGCTCCAATGCCTGAACTTAAAGCTGTGCTCTTCTCTGCATCCTGACTTCATCCTTGCAGTCTGCATGTTTTCACCATCTCTCTTGGTTCCATCTTCTACAGTGGGTGGGCAAGTCCAATCTCATTCTACTTTTCTAAGATTTACTGATATGGGAGGATACTCCTAAGAAAATATAAGTGAGAAGAACAGCACGATCCCAGTTTTGTAAAGCCATTTGTGTGCGAAAGCACAGGGGAAAAAAAGCCTGGAAGGAAATATACAAAAATGCTAAATAGTGGTTATTTCTGGGAGCCAGCAATATGCTACTTACATGAATGTCCAAGCTCACTTTGTGATGCATGTATGACATGGGTTGCCAGCAGATTCATTTTCAGTGTGGAGTCTTCCTTGGGGAAAATTCTTGATTCCTTTTCCTTCTATATTGCTTCTTAAAATCTCACCATGGCGCCAATGTGTCTCTTGTGATCCTAAAGTACCTACCAAAACCAACGGTAATAATAGCTGTAATATACTGAGTTCCTACCATACTCCAGGAACTGTACTAAGTGCTTTATGTCATTGCCTAATTAAAAGATTTATGTGTAAAGTGCTGAGAACAGCAACTGGCGTAATAACTGCTATTACTGCCTCAACTAATTCTCATGGCAACTCCATGAAGTTACTATTATTATCTTCATTCTGTAGAAGAAGGAACTGAGGTTTGGAGAGGTAATTTGCCATAGATACCACAACTAGTAAGTGGCTGAGTCAGGATTCATGCCTACGTGGGACACCAAAGACTGGGCTCTTACTAAATACATTTTGGTTCGGGGGTTGCAAACTCAAATATCTACAGGGCCAGGCAAGAATATAGAGCCAGGTGGGGACTTTGGCCAACTGGAGAGTTTACACCCAGTCTAAAGAGGGCTGCTGATGTCAGCTACGTCATCCAGGGATTCATTACTCCCGCATGGAAATGTGAGACAGAGGTCCCCATTTTTGAAGAGAAACTGCGAATCAGTTTTTAATGTGAAATATTCAGAATTTTAAATTGCAGCAGCATAGGCCAGGAGCGGTGGCTCACGCCTGTCATCCCAGCGCTTTGGGAGGCTGCAGCAGGCGGATCACCTGAGGTCAGGAGTTCAAGACCAGCCTGGCCAACATGGTGAAACCCTGTCTCTACTAAAAATACAAAAATCAGCCGGGCATGGTGGCACGCGCCTGTAATCCCAGCTACTCAGGAGGCTGAGGCAGGAGAATCACTTGAACCCAGGAGGTGGAGGTTGCAGTAAGCTAAGATTGCACCACTGCACTCCAGCCTGGGTGACAAAGCAAGACTCCATCTCAAAATAAAATAAAATAAAAATAAAATAAAATGCAGAAGCTTACTTAATTTTTAAAAATAAAATGTGCAAAAGAGTATTGCAGGTAAAACAAACACACACAGATTAAACCACAAAATGAAACAGTCTGCAACCCAGATTTGCGCCAGAAGCCAATATTATCTACTTTAGAAACACCAGCCTAGATTACATCTTCTATCCCAGGAAGGCCCAAACTCCCCTTTGCTTTCCATTTTTGCCTTCTTGGGACAGAAATCTTTAAACCGGGGACCAGCAAAATTGTTGTTAAACAGCCAGAGAGTAAATATTTTCAGCTTTGCTATCTCTGTGGCAAATACTGAACTCTGTTATAGTGGCATCAACATGTTTTATTTTCTTTTGTTCTCAAAATGGCTTCATGAGGAGCCTAATGTTATAATGAGGAAATTGAAGCAATATAAACAAATGGGCACGATTGTGTTTCAATAAAATTTTATTTTCCGACGCTGAAATCTGAATTTCACATTTTTTTGCAGGTCACAAATAATATTCTTTCGATTTTTTTTTCAACTATCTAAATATGCAAAAACCATTCTTGGCTCATGGGCTGTACAAACGTGGGTAGTAGTAAGCTGCTTTAGACCATTAAAAACTGGTGACTGCAGGCCAGGCGCAGTGGCTCACCCCTGTAATCCCAGCACTTCAGGAGGCTGAGGCAGGTGGATCAGCTGAGGCCAGGAGTTCAAGACCAGCCTGGACAATATGGCAAAACCCTTTCTCTACTAAAAATAAAAAATTAGCTGGGCATAGTGGTGCATGCCTGTAGTCCCAGCTACTTGGGAGGCTGAGGCAGGAGAATCGCTTGAACTGGGGAGGCGGAGGTTGCAGTGGGCTATGATTACACCATTGCACTCCAGCCTGGGTGACAAGAGCGAAACTCTGCCTAAAAAACAAACAAACAACAACAACAAAACTAGTGACTGCGTCTCCAGGAGCTACTGGCGTTTGCTGGTTCTAAGTCTTAGTTTCAAGCTGCCTGAAGTCACCATGAATAGGCCCATTTCACAAGCAGATGCCCACGTGTATGTAGTTCCGAATTCCCTCAGTAATTCTGACTGGTCTGTATTTAGTAAGGTTCCCATTCCATCTTCACCTGAACACTTTCTTCCTTTGAAATCTTTCGTGGAAAACAGCAAATAATGAGGAGTACGGAAATCAACTAACAATGGATGGTGTCACTACCAACACCCTTCCCCTGCCCAGGTGCCCCTGGGACATGCCATGGGGAAGCATAGTTAATGGAGAAGCCACTGGTCCAGTTCATTGCCAACATCAATAGTAGGGGGTAGGCTATAAAATGATCATGAAGCGACCAGGCAAAGAACTTAGTTCACAATACAGACTTGTTGAAGAGAGTGTAATTCATAATAGTAGTTAGGAACTTTGTCTTTGGGGTCAGCTGGTAAATGTCAAGCTGTGTCCTTGAGTAAATCGGTGACTTGGCTAAGCTTCAATTTCCTCCTCATATTAATAACATTGCCTCATTATAACATTAGGCATCTCAGGCCGGGCACAGTGGCTCACACCTGTAATCCCAGCACTTTGGGAGTCTGAGACGGGTAGATCAGGAGGTCAGGAGATCAAGACCATCCTGGCTAACACAGTGAAACCCCGTCTCTACTAGAAATACAAAAAATTAGCCAGGCATGGTGGCAGGCGCCTTTAATCCCAGCTACTCAGGCGGCTGAGGCAGGAGAATGGCGTGAGCAGAGCAAGCAGTGAGCCAAGATTGCGTCACTGCACTCCAGTCTGGGCGAGATTCCGTCTCAAAAAAATAATAAATAAATAACATTAGGCACCTCATAAAGTCATTTAGATAGCTAAAGAGGATAAAACACGTAAATGTGGCCAGGCGCAGTGGCTCACATCTGTAATCCCAGTGCTTTGGGAGGCTGAGGCGGGTGGTTCACCTGAGGTCAGGGGTTCAAGACCAGCCTGGCCAACATGGTGAAACCCTGTCTCTACTAAAAATACAAAAATTAGCCAGGCCTGGTGGTCGGGAGGCTGTGGCACAAGAATCGCTTGAACCTGGGAGGTGGAGGTTGCAGCGAGTTGAGATCGTGCCACTGCACTCCAACCTGGGCAATAGAGCAAGACTCAGTCTCAGAAAAAAAAAAAAAATGCATAAATGCTTAGAATGGTACCTGGTATATAGTAGGTGCACACGTGTGTTACTTATTATGATTTCTTATCCAGTCAACTGGAAGGGGATGGGGCTTAAAACCAAACAGGCATATATAAATGAAACTCTAAAATATGAACAAGCATGAATAAGGTCTTTTTTTCCCAATATCAGGGAAGAAATTATGGGTCTGTCTTTTTTCTAAGAATTTCCTTGAGTCTTCTCTCCTGAACCTCCTTCCTGGTTCTGAGTCTATTATTTGCCTGGTAAGCGGAGAATCAGAACCAAGGAGATGTTCTACATATCCCAAGGCATTTATTATGAAATGGCTCTGGCCTGGAGCCTACTTATAGTAGAAATTAAATATATGACACTCTTATTTTTATGAGATCATAATAGACATCATGATAGTAGCCATGGTAGCCATAATAATAACGGCTACTATTCATAGTGTAATGGTGAAACTACACAGCCTTTGAAACCTGGATCCAAAAATCAATTCCGTCACTCACCAGCTGTGACACCATCTCCTCTGTGATTTTCCATTGTCTCATTATCAAATGTTAATACTAATAGCCTCTACCTCCTGGGGTGGTAAACAAGGGTAAATGAGATAAGGGGTGTAAGGTTTCAGCTATGTGCCTGGCCAATTGGAAGCACTTAATAAGTGTCAGCCATTATTATGACATGCCTAGAGCTTTGCAAAAATTATCTCATGTTCATGTATAGCTTTATTTCATTCTTACAATAACAGTTCTGAAATACCAACGCAGCTCTGTCTGATTCCGAACCTTGTCCGTTTCCCACGACATCACAATGCCCGCCCCCCTGATTCCACTCCAGCTACACAGACAGGGAAAGGGACAAGAATGCATAATTTCTGGAAAATTTTTTGTCCTTTAAAAGAACTGGCAGAGCTATTAACTGCCCCCAGAGACTGGTTAACTGTCTAGTTAACTAACACCCAAAATGATGATTAAACATCCACACCTCAGCCGGGCAAGGTGGCTCACGCCTGTAATCCCAGCACATTGGGAGGCCGAGGCAGGTGGATCACCTGATGTCAGGAGTTCGAGATCAGCCTGGTCAACATGGTGAAACCCATCTCTCCTAAAAATACAAAAATTAGCCGGGCATGGTGGCAGGTGCCTGTAATCCCAGTTACTCGGGAGGCTGAGGCAGGATAATCTCTTGAACCCGGGAGGCAGAGGTTGCAGTGAGCCGAGATCGTGCCATTGCAATCCAAACTGGGCGACAAGAGAGAAACTCTGTCTCAAACAAAACAAAAAAGACAGCAAATGTGGACGGATGTTCAAGATGCATGTTCAGCAAATCTGAGGCTCCCAAAGGGGTGAACCTCATAGCGAGGGAGATGAGCTGTGATCCTTTGGGAGGGCAGAGAGGGAAAGGGAGTGTCCTGTGGTCAGATATGAACATCATTGGGGAGAGTGGACTATTCTGGAATGCCTGGACTCAGCTCTTGATTGGAATGCCGGTTCTATTTAGGTTGGTGCAAAAGTAATTGCACAACTGCACAATTACTTTTACATCAACCTAAATAGCTACTTACCTGAGTGATTTCAAGAAAAATTCTTAAGCCCTGTTTCCTCATTGGTAAAATGAGCGAAAAAAATGATGTACTTGAATTCTGCCTGCTTTTTCCTTCACTGACTGGAGGAGAGGGGAAAGATAAGATAGTCTTCATAATTAGTGTTTATGTTTCATGGTGTTTTTGCGCTTCTGAAGTGGATCCCAACATCATGCAAAATCTAAAAAGCAGCAAATTTCCATCTCCTGCTTTGTATTGTTTATCTTTTGCCTCTACTGGTCTCTTTTTTGTGCCCTAAAGAAACATGCTGTTGATGACTGATCCCGTTGGCTCATGCCTGTAATCCTAGCACTTTGGGAGGCTGAGGAAGGGAGGATCGCTTGTGGCCAGGAGTTTGAGGCCAGCCTGGGCAAGATAGTGAGACCTTTTGTTGTCACTATCAAAAAATGTTGAATTAGCCAGGCATAGTGGCACATGCCTATAGTCCCAGCTACTTGGGAGGCTGGGGTGAGAGGATCACTTGAGCCCAAGAGTTCAAGACTGCAGTGAGCCATGATTGCACCACTGCACTCCAGCCTGGGCCACAGAATGAGACCCTGTCTCTAATAAAAAATAAAGGTGCTCTTGGGCCTACCAGCCCAACAACCCTACAGCCCCCAACAACCAGAGAAAGGATCTGCACATAGCGGTGAGGACCCAGGCTGGCCCCCAGAGCTCTGTCTCCTCCCCCAGGCTCAGAACCCTTATCTGTTTCCACAGGGGCTTTCCGAGGCGTGTGCAAGAAAATCGATCACTTCCCTGAAGATGCTGACTACGAACAGGACACAGCCGAATATCTCCTGCGTAAGTTCCCCGGCTTCTCGGGTCTCTCTGGGAGGAAGGGATGGGCCTCTGCCATCACTCAGCTGCCTCTGAGTCGGAGCTTCCTCAGCATCTGTCCCTAGAAATAGATAAGTGCAAAGAAGCCCCATGTGCCAGTACACAGAGACACTCAAGTGGTTCTGAGAGCTAAGCCTCTTTAGTTTCAATGAATTAGAAACAGAAAGAAGAAGCAGGGGGTAGGGTGGGGGATGGTTCATGCCTGTAATCCCAGCACTCTGGGAGGCAGAGGCCAGAAAGGATCGCTTGAGCTCAGGAGGTCGAGATCAGCCTGGGCAATATAGCAAGAACCCATCTCTACAAAAAATTAAAAAATTAGCTGCATGTGGTGGCACACACCTGTAGTCCTAGCTACTCAGGAGGCTAAGGTGGGAGGATCATTTAAGCCCAGGGGATTGAGGCTGCAGTGAGCTATGATCATACCACTGCAGTCCAGCCTGGGTGACAGAGTGAGACCCTGTCTCTGAAAAGAAAGAGAAGGAGAAAGAAAAGGAGAATGAGAATGAGAAAGAGAAAGAGAAAGAGAAGGGAGGAAGGAAGGAAGGCAGGAAGGAAGACAGAAAAGTAGGTGAGTCAAAACTGAAAGGTTCTTTTTAGTCAGTTTAGGAGAAAAATCTAAGGAACTTTCTCTAACTTGAATGCAAGTTTTCACTTTCCCAGGAGGGTTGATTGGAGGTGCTAATGGCAGAGTGCTAATGGGTGATGTGAGGTGCTAATGGGTGAGGTCCCAAGGAGCAAGACCTAGGAGAATAAATACAAACCCAAGTTCACCTCTTCTTTGACTTCCCTCCAGTTTCAGTCCTACTGGGACAGAGCCAATGTCTCTGTAGGATTTTTCCAAAGTCAGTAACCTGGATATGACATGAACCGTCACAACTACAGCATGTAGGAGCCAAAAGAATGTGGTGGCTTTGAGCCAAGGCCTCTGGAATCTGGGCTTTGACCCTTGTTTGACTCTACTAGCTGGGTTGGACTTGAGGCAAGGGGCTTTACCTCTCTCTCTAGTTCCTACCTTTCTTCATTTTTTTCTGAAATGGAGATTATAATGTCATCCATCTGACAGGGTCACAAAAATTAGCCGGGGCCCAACACATAGTCAGGAGGCAATATGCATTAGCTCCCGTTTCTTGCATGGGATTAGCAATGCAAAATTCACTGCAGAGATGAGCCTTCCATTGGTCAAGGCACAGAGAGAACTTGATTTGGGATTTTAATGTAATTTCTTCAGCAAGAATTTGTGTTGGATTCACTCAAAATAGTGAGGCCAAGTGCAATGGCTCACACCTGTAATCTCAGCACTTTAGGAGGCCAAGGTGGGAGGATCACTTGAAGCCAGGAGTTCAAGACCAGTCTGGGCAACATATTAAGTCGCCAACTCTACAGAATTTTTTTTTTTTTAATTATCCAGGCATGGTAGTGCACACCCTTAGTCCCAGCTACTTGGGAGGCTGAGGTGGGAGGATTGCTTGAGCCCAGGAAGCTGAGGCTGCAGTGCCATTGCAGTGATCGTGCCATTGCATTGATTGTGCCATTGCGCTAATCAATAATATTGATTAGTGACTGGCTACACGGTGTGGAGGATAGTGTCAGATGCAGCATTATTAGGTTAATTTATGCTACTTGTGGCAAAAGCCAGCAATTTCAAGAGATGAGTACCCAGCTCAAAGAGGAGAGAAGGATGTGATCACTGTCTCATTGTAATGTCTCTCTGGGCCTGATAATTAAAAGGACTTGCGTTACTCAGATAAAAGTTGTTTTCTTTTCTCACCCCTCACATCAGCAGCTCAAAAAGATTCAGTGTGGAGAGCAAAATTAGCCACACTTAGAGATGTAGCTTAACCAAAATTTGGGAGATGACACAGATCACTTGCATCTTCTCAATAGAGAATGGCATTAGTCATCACCAGTGGGGTTTTACCAGAGTGCCCATAGATTTTCTTTGTTTTTCTTTTTCATGTTGATAAAACATGTTGACGTTTGCTCTGTCGGAGACTAAACAGAACTGTGACTTCTCTTCACAACTTGTATAGCTGATTTTAAGTTCTTCAGAGAGGCCCATAGCTTTTCTGACAAAGTATTTTTTTCTCGTCTGGGAAGATGTCCCTTCCTCTCTCCTCACCCCTAGCCCTCGGTCCACCTAAGCTTCACCAATAGCAGCAGAATTGGGCTAAGGTTAAGGAGAGGCCTTAATGAGAACACAGATTTCCTGCTGAGAGTTTTGGAATTCCTGATCCAGCCACGTAGGGCTGGGAGCACATTCCTGCAGGGTTCTCCCTGCCTGGCTGGTGTTCACTCTGCCTGCCGGTCCCTTTCCTGACCCACAACCCTGGTGGGAATGGGATTCTGCATATCGACTTTTCTGTTGTTTCTTCTTTTCTCCTATGCTCTTTGGGGTAGGCTACAGCATAAACCCATAGCAGTGTTACCGGAAAGGGGTCCAGATCCAGCCCCAAGACAGGGTTCTTGGATCTCACACAAGAAAGATTCAGGGTGAGTCCACAAAGTAGAGTGAAAGCAAGTTTATTAGAGAAGCAAAGAAACAAAAGAACGGCTACTGTATTGACAGAGCAGTGGCATGGACTGCTTGACCTAGTGTATTATAGTTACTTCTTGATTAATGGTAAACAGGAGGCGAATTATTCATAAGTTTTCCAGGAAAGGGGTAGGCGATTCCAGGAACTGAGGGTTCCTCCCACTTTAAGAACATAGGGTAACTTCTGACATTGCCATGGCATCTGTAAAGTGTCACGGCGCTGGCGAGAGTGTCTCTTCACATGCTAATGTATTATAATTAGCATATAATGAGCAGTGAGGACGACCAGAGGTCACTTTCATCACCATCTTGGTTTTGGCGGGTTTGGGCTGGCTTCTTCACTGCATCCTGTTTTACAGCAGAGTCTTTGTGACCTGTATCTTGTGTTGACCCCCTATCTCATCCTGTGCTTGGAAATGCAGCCCAGCAGGTCTCAGCTTCATTTCACCTATCCCCTATTCAAGATGGAGTCGCTCTGTTTCCAACGCCTCTGACAGCAGAAGGTTCAAAGCCCACAGGTTCTGTTGACTAGAGACTTCCACGACACAGCACTGGACTTAGAAAGTCCTATTCAGACTCCAATGGTGGGGCTACACTTGAACAAGCTTATGTCCCCACCCTTAAGACCTTAACTTAGCTCCATATAGTTTGGGGGGAGAAACAGGGAAGGAAGACAGTAAAAACCTCTTTGATCTGAAGCCACCATATGTCCACTGGGCTAAAACAAATGCAAGGTGGGCTTCCACTGACTTAGCAGAATATTTCCTGTCTGAGGCAGACACTTATAGCCAGAGTTGACAGAATCTGCTTGTATCTCATTTGAGGGGCAAAGAGTGGGGTCTCCCCACCAATGGTTCCCAAATGATGATTGCACCACTTGGGAAACAGTCACATTTACGTATCTCCTATCCACATGTTTCAAACATAAACTTTTTTTTTTTTTTTTGAGATGGGGTCTTACTCCATCATTCAGGCTGGAGTACAGTGGCATGATCATAGCTCACTGCACCCTCAAATTCCTAGGCTCAAGCCTCTTGAGCTGGGACTACAGGCACCCACCACCACCATGTCTGGCTAATTTCTTTTTACATTTTTTGTAGAGTTGGGGTCCCCCTGTGTTGCCCAGGCTGGTCTCAAACTCCTGTCCTCAAACAATCCACCTGCCTTTGCCTCCCAAAGTGCTGAGATTACAGGCGTGAGCCACTGTGCCAGGCCCAAATATCCATTTTTGTGTAACCAACACAGTTCAATAGCTTCAAACATTCAAATCATTTTCTTAGGGCACACATCAAAGGTTAATCATGCTTTGATTTTTTAAAAGGTATTCACTTTTTATTAATTACACTCATTACATTGAATACTCAAGCAATTCCTGTCAATATACAATGCAAATGATCCCTTTAAAGGTTAGTCCACAAGTCCCTAACAGGTGCTTGAAACCACTGGAGGAGACTTGCCCCTAATATTTGCAAGGGCCCAAGGCAAGAATCCAGCTGGAAACCCATAGGTCATATGTGTACATTTTTACAAATTATAAATAAGTTGTGCCCACAGATGGGCCCATTAAAAATAAGCTACACTCACTTACAGAACCCCAGAGCTCACTCGCTGGGATGGCCCCCTTGACTTGGGAGCTAAAGGAACCAGGGGCCAGCTCTGTCTCCTGAAAGCCTGCATAATAGAACTGCAGGACTTTGCAGCAGGCCAGAACTCAGCAACGACACTAATCATGCCTAACTAAAGTTAAGGGTTGATATAGCCAGGAAGGAAAACAGGAGGGGCAAGGAAGAGGATTTGGCCAACAGGCAGCAGGTGCATTTCATTTCATTGAAACTTACACATGTAAGTTTCTAAAGCTTCAGTTCATGGGCATCCAGCCTGTTAGAAAATTGGGCCAGTTTCAGCCAGGCATGGTGGCTCATGCCTGTAACCCCAGCACTTTTGGGAGGCCAAAGCGGGTGGATCACCTGAGGTCAGGAGTTCGAGACCAACCAGACCAATATGGTGAAACCCAGTCTCAACTAAAAATACAAAAATTAGGGTGGTATGGTGGCATGCGCCTGTAGTCCCAGCTACTCGGGAAGCTGAGACAGGAGAATTGCTTGAACTCGGGTGGTGGAGGTTGCAGTGAGCCGGATCGCACTATTGCACTCCAACCTGGGTGACAGAGCGAGACTCCATCAAAAAAGGGAAGGGAAGAGGAAGGGGAAGGGGAAGGGGAAGGGGAAGGGGAAGGAGGGGAAGGGGAAGGGGAAGGGGAGGGGGAAAGACAGACGAAAGAAAGAAAGAAAGAAAGAAGGAAAGAAAGAAAGAGAAAGAAAGAAAGAAAGGAGGGAGGGAGAGAGAGAGAAAGGAAGGAAGGAAGGAAGGAAGAGAGAGAGAGAAAGAAAGATTGGGCAGTTTCAAAACCAAAGCAAAATCCCTTCCATCTTCTCTCTCTCTCTCTTTTTTTTTTTTTTTTTTTTTGAGACAGAATCTCGCAGTGGCGCGATCTCGGCTCACTGCAAGCTCTGCCTCCTCCCGGGTTCACGCCATTCTCCTGCCTCAGCCTCCTGAGTAGCTGGGACTACAGGCGCCCACCACCACGCCCGGCTAATTTTTTGTATTTTTAGTAGAGACGGGGTTTACCGTGCTAGCCAGGATGGTCTCGATCTCCTGATCTCCTCACACCTGTGTGCCGTCAGCCCCCAACTTCAGGTCTCCCTCTTCATCCCTCCTAGGCCCACAGGTTAAATAAGTTACCAAATTTTCAGAAAACTGAAAACACAAACAAGCAAACGAATGAAAGTGCAGTACCAAATGAAAACGGCCGGAGCTAAACAGGCAGAAAAACACCTAGTGAATATGGAGGTTAAAGGCTTGAACACTGAGCAATGTGAACTAAGCTTTGAACCCCTGAGCCAAAATAAACTCGCATCCCTCCCCGGCCCCACCCCATTCCCTAGAGGCTCCTCCATTCACTCAGCACCTAAGACCAAACGCAACTCGCAGCCCACGGCCAATCCATCAGCGAATTCTGTTGGCTTTACTTTCAAAATATAAAGTACACACTGAATCTGCCAGCGTGTTACCACCTCAGGTCTACCCCCGCAGTCCAAGCTATGAAGGGCTTTTGCCTGGGTTATGGGGTTTTTTTTGTTGTTGTTGTTTGTTTGTTTGTTTGTTTGTTTGAAACAAGGTCTCACTCTATTGCCCAGGCTGGAGTGCAGTGGTACGATCTCAGCTCACTGTAGCCTCTGCCTCCTGGGCTTAAGTGATCCTCCTACCTCAGCACCCCCAAGCAGCTGAGAACACAAGCACACACCACCATGCCTGGCTAATTTTTTATTTTTTAGCAGAGATGGGGTTTTGCCATGTTGCCCAGGCTGATCTCAAATTCCTGACCTCAGGTGTTCCTCCCGCCTCAGCCTCCCAAACTGCTGGGATTACAGGCATGAGCCACTGCTCCCAGGCTTGCCTGGATTCTTGTGGTTCTACCCGTTACACGGGGCTCAGCCCTCAGAAGGGCCCCACCCTTGGTTCCATGTTCTGCTGTCACTATCTTGAAATTCTTAACAATTCTGGAACAAGAGGCCTCACTGTTTTTTGTTTTTGTTTGTTTGTTTTGAAACAGAGACTCGTTCTGTTGCCCAGGCTGGAGTGTAATGGCGCAATTTTCAACTCACTGCAACCTCCACTTCCTGAGTTCAAGCAATTCTCCTCCCTCAGCCTCTCAAGTAGCTGAGATTACAGGTGCCCTCCACCATGCCCAGCTGATTTTTGTATTTTTAGTAGAGACAGGTTTCACCATGTTGCCCAGGTTGGTCTTGAACTCCTGACCTCAGGTGATCCACCCACCTCTGCCTCCCAAAGTGTTGGGATTACAGGCTTGAGCCACCATGCCTGGCTAGGCCTCACATTTTTGTGTTGCACAAGGCCCTGTAAATTATGCCGCTGGTCCTGCCTGTCATTGCTACTAGAGTGTAAGCCCCTTGATGACAGGACCCCTGGCTCCTTGGTAAACCAATGAGCACAGAATTTATTCAGCTGATGTATTCTGGCCTGGACCCACCAGAAAATACTCTTATACTGGATGGGTAAATACTGGGACCCCAACCACATGGGGCCCCTCTCCCAGGACCTTAGGGCCTTCCATGATCCAGAAAATATTTAATAAGAAGCTGACACAGGGACCTCCAGGACTCTGCTTCGACTCCTCAGCCAGTGTCCCTTTTGAAGGGCAGTGCCTGCGCCCTTGTGGTGGTTAAACATGTCAGCTATGACTGCAGCACCCGCCACAACACCTAGCATCTATTAGGTGCTCAAGAAATATTTGTCAAATGAATAAGCAAATTCATTTGTTCATTCGTGACTAAATGGGTATTCAATGGGTGTTGTCATACTCTCTACTATGCAAATGTAGATGCGTGCAGGGAAAGATTCTGCATTTTAATGAGCAGCATGTGGTCTGATGGGAGTCCCTGTATACAGGGCTGGCTGCGTCATTTGCAGGGTCCAGTGTGAAATGAAAATCCTGGGCTCTTAGGCCGGGTGCAGTGGCTCATGCCTATAATCCCAGTACTTTGAGAGGTTGAGGCAGGAAGATTGCTTGAGGCCAGGAGTTCTAGACCAGCCTGGGTAACTTGGTGAGATCCCATCTCTACAAAAAATACAAAAATCAGCCAGGCATGGTGGCACATGCCTGTAGTTCCAGCTACTTGAGAGGCTGAGGCAGGAGGATTGCCTGAGCCTGGAAGGTGAGGCTACAGTGAGCCGTGATTGCACCACTGCACTCCAGCCAGAGTGACAGAACAAGCATCATCTCAAAAAAACCTCAAGCAAAAAACAAAACAGAACAAAAAACTTTTAATTTTTTCTGTGATCGCTCTCGATCTATCATGGTGTTTTCTATTTGCCGTTTAATATCACCCTCCTTGGGTGCAGGGACATTCTCCCAGTGAGCGCAAACCCTCCCAGGGACCTGAGGCTTGCACCCAACTCTGACTCTCCTTGTGTCCGTGCCTGGGCTCCCACCAAGGGCAAAATGGGGGCAGTAGTCGCTGGGCTGAGGAGGGAGAATGGGCGTTTGAGAGCCTTTTCCAGGGAGGCAGGGAGGTGGGAAGGTGTTGGTGATAGGTGAGGAGGTAGAGAGTGGAGTTCCACATAAGTCAAGTCTCCAAGCCCCAGTGCATGTGTCATTGTCCCATCAGACTTCACTTCACTTATAAAACACACATTCGATTATAAAATCGTTAAGACTCTCAGAATGGTGACTGCAGAGCATCAACCCCAAGTGCCAAGACTCCTTCTAAGCACAGGCCCTGAGCGCCTGGTCTCATGCCCGTGTTAGACATGGGCTCTGTTCTCTTCCTGTGCTGCCTTCCTCTCAGGCACTCCTGCGCTTGCAATGGGAGGACCCCAGGGGCTGGCTGGGCACAGGCAGAAGCCTCTCTCCTTCTCTCCGCAGGAGCTGTGAGGGCCTCCAGTGTCTTCCCCATCCTCAGTGTCACGCTGCTGTTCTTCGGCGGGCTCTGCGTGGCAGCCAGTGAGTTCCACCGCAGCAGACACAACGTCATTCTCAGCGCGGGCATCTTTTTTGTCTCTGCAGGTGAGTGTCTGGCCCCAGCCCTGAGATCTTCACAGATACCAAACTGAAGCCAGGGCCACATGGAGGAAGCAATGCTACTCAGGGCTCCCTCCAGGGAAGGAGCAAGAAAATGTTCCAGTTGTGCTAAGGATGAGAACTCCAAGAATTCCATTAGAACCAAAGATGCCAAAACTCTAGCTAAAGCCGGCATGAAGGAAAAACAGGGAGGAAACAGCATGGCACGATCAGCTGAGATTGAAAGAGAGAGAGGGAAGAAGAAAGGGGCAGGAGAGAGAAAGAGAAAAGGAGAGAGAGATTTATAAGAGTGTACATACATGCTTGCTGCTTGCATATGTGGTACGTGTGAACTGATTGACTGGGGAGGCTACAGCAGGAGGATTGTTTGAGCCCAGGAGTTCGAGACCAGCTGGGCAGCACAGTGAGACCCTCATCTCTACAAAAAACAATGTTAATTAAAAAATTAGCTGGGTGTGGTGGTGCACACCTGTGGTCCCAGCTACTCAGGAAGCTGAGGTGGGGGGATCACTTGAGCCCAGGACGTCAAGGCTGCAGTGAGCCAAGATCTTGCCACTCCACTCCAGCCTGGGTGACAAAGTGAAGTCTCATCTCTAAAAAATAAATAAGTAAATGTAAAAATATACAGCTGCATTTTTGTGTTCACTTGGGCATGTTAATATACGATCTCTGGCCCTTTGGGATTTGTATTTGACAGCTACTTATTGTTCAAGCCTCTCTTACTCACCATTTTATACCCTCCTCCACTCTTCCTATGCCAATCAATACTCTGCCATCACCCTGCAAAGTTTGAAAGTCATCACGAGAGTCCAGCCCCATCCAGCTTTTGAAGTGCTCAAATCCTCATATCATTCCAAGCATCTCTGGGAACAAGGTAAAGACCAGCAGCCCGAGATGCTCTGGGGGAAGACCTTATAGTCAATAGGAGCCCTGACCAGAAGAAGGCACAGGGTGGCAAGGATGCTGAGAGACAACTTTCAGAAAAGGGTCCTGTTAAAGGGTCCTGTTCTCTGCCTCTTTTACCTCCCTCCACCTCCATCCCTTCACTGGTGTCCTGTCTTCCTTGCTTCCCTCTGGGTTTTCATCCTTCATCCTTGCTTTCACCCCTTTACCATCTCTTCCTACCCCACTCCTCTTGGGGTGGATCAGTGCCATTTGGATGAAATGCTTTAGAGAAGCAAAGAACAGGGTAGGGATGGGGGAAGACGGGGCTGGACTCTGGTGATGACTTTCAAACTTTGCAAGGTGATGGTAGAGTACTGATTGGGATGGGGACAGCGGTGGAGAGTATAAAATGGTGAGGAAGAGTGGCTTGCAACCCCCCTGGATTTCAATCCTGGATCCACCAATCAGGCCTTGGGAAATGTGATCATCTCTTTGTAATTTGGTTTCCTTCACTATAACATGGCAAATGATAATAGTACCAACTGCAGCTGGGCTTGGTGGCTCATGCCTGTAATCCCAGCACTTTGGAAGGCCGAGGCAGAAGAATCACTTGAGCACAGGTCTTCAAGACTAGCCCTAGGCAACATTGCAAGACCCGATCTGCACAAAAGTTTAAAAATTAGCTAGGCCTGGTGGTGGGTGCCTATAGTTCCAGGTAGTCAGGAGGCTGAGGTGGGAGGATTGCTAGAGCCCGGGAGGTCAAGGCTGCAGTCAGTCATGATCACACCACTGCACTCCAGCCTGGGTGACAGAGCAAGACCCTGTCTCAAAATAGTCGTAATCATAATGATAATAGTACCAGCTGCATGGGGTTTGCTGGAAGGAGACTGTATTAGTTTGTTCTCACACTGCTAATAAAGACATACCCGAGACTCAGTAATTTATAAAGGAAAGAAGTTTAATTGACTCACAGTTCCACATGGTTGAGGAGGCCTCACAACAATGGTGGAAGGCGAAGGAGGAGCAAAGTCATGTCTTAACATGGCAGCAGGCAAGACAGCTTGTGCAAGAGAACTCCCCTTTATAAAATCATCAGATCATGCCTGTAATCCCAGCACTTTGGAAGGCTGAGGCGGGTGGATCATGAGGTCAGGAGTTTGAGACAATCCTGGCCAACGTGGTGAAACCTGTCTCTACTAAAAATACAAAAATTAGCTGGGTGTGGTGGTGCAGGCCTGTAGTCACAGTTACTTGGGAGGCTGAGGCAGGAGAATCGCTTGAACCCAGGAGGCAGAGGTTGCAGTGAGCCAAGGTCGCCCCACTGCACTCCAGCCTGGTGACTGAGTGACACTCCATCTTAAAAAAAAAAAAAAAAAAAAAGCCATCAGCTCTCATGAGACTCATTCATTACCACAAGAACAGTATGGGGAAAACTCCTGTCTTGATTCAATTATCTCCACCTGGCTCCACCCTTTACACATGGGGATTATTAAAATTCAAGGTGAGATTTGGGTGGGGACAGAGAGCCAAACCATATCAGAGACTGAACAGAGAAAGCACAATATTATTTTCTAGTATTAGAAAAACAGCAACCACACAGTTCCAAAATCTGGAGCCCCACAAGATCTTGCTCGAATTCCTTCCCCACTGCTTCGCCGGCTGTGAGATGAGAAAGGGAGACTATCTAAAGCTGAGTCTCTGAGAACCGACTCAAGCAACAGACCAGAAAGAGAACTGCCATCTTGCCCCAGGGGAGTGAGATCAGCCCACAGGTGGCGGTGGCCTCTACCTTGCTCTGTGTGGACAGATGTTAGCATCTGGCAAACCCAGGGACTTGTTTTGTCTTGAGGCACGCTCCTGTCACTGGTGGCCCCATCCAGATCTCCCGGGTGCTTGGCCGATCCAGAGGATCAGTACCAGTGTCATGCTGATGTGAGAGTTTCCTAAGAACAAGAGAAGATCATTATGTTGTCCCCCAAGGGGATTGTTAGGGAAGAGTGTGTCACCAGCAACTTTCTTCTCACAAGAGGTATTGTGAGGGATGGCAGGTAGACTAGACACGTAGGAACTAGAAAGTGTGTGAGTGTGTGGAGGAAGCCTGACGGGAAGGCAGAGGCTTGGGGTCTAATCCTAGACCCTTCCACTGATCTCCCCAAAGAACCCGAAGATCTTGTTTTTCCACCTCTAAAATGAAAGGATTGGAGGATTCACTACTCTCTAAGGCTGTTTTTTGCTCATCTACACTAAGGTTGATCATTTGAGGCAAGCAATTAACAACCCTTTAAATCGGTAAATAAGAGTGCTGGGGGGAAAAAAGAGAAAACAATTCTTAATTGAGCACCTACTACGTGTCAGATACTATGCAGAATGCCCAAGAGCGTAAGCTCTGAAGTCAGGCTGCCTGGCGCAAATGTAGCTCTACTACTTTCCTGCTGTGTGACTTTGGGCAAGTCACTTAACCTTTCTGTGCTTCCATTTATTTCTCCATCTGAAAAATGAGTATCATAACGGCCCCACCTTTTGAAGCTGTTAAGAGGATTAAATGAGTTGGTATTGATAAAGTGCCCAGAGTGGTGCCTATCATCCAGTATGTCTTCAACACATAGTAGCTGTTATCATGTACAATGTACCATTTAATTCTCATATCAACTCCACTTATTCACCCATTCAACAAATATGCACTGCCCTCTTGCTATGAATCAGACTCTGGGCTGGGAGTTACGGCCATAGCAATGAAGGAGATAAGCCTAGTCCCTGCCCTCAGGGAGTTTACAGTCTGAAAGTAGGAAAAAGCAATTGCCTACTCAGATCTTGTTTTCCCTAAGCCTTGTTACTGAAATCTAAATCCACCATGGCTAAGAGCTCTGGATTCAAATCTCACTTCAACCATTTTCTATTAGGTTGATGCAAAAATAATTGTGGTTTTTGCAATTAGTTTTAATTTAATGGCTGTGCTCGACATGGGAAGTTACTTACCTTCTCTGTGTCTGTTTCCCCATCTGTAAAAGAGAAATCATTTTTTAAGTGGGCCTGCTGCAATGATTACTAGGTATGATGCATATAAAGATTTTGCACAGTGTGTGGCACATGGTAAGCGCCCTGTAAATAATTGGCAATTCGCTTGGCTTCCTATCAGTTTAATCTGACATCTGAGCCTCTCTTTGAACTTCTTTCTTTCCTTCCCCACTCCCCGCCACCCACCGTGCTGCCCCCAGAAAGACCTTCTTTGGGGACTTTCCAAATTTTGCCATCAAAACATTCCTCATGGCAGAGGAGAGAAAAAACATGGCCCGGGGGAGTCAGGGGGCATCAATAGAAGCCACCTTCATTGAGCTGAGACGTCTTTGAAGTCTGACTCCCATTTAACTTAAAAATTCATGTGAAGTCTGCCTTCTCCTCCTTGTTATATCCATGTTCATTTTAATATAAAAGAATATGTCTTCCCTACTCATCTTCAAGCCAAATTGACACTCCAGGAAGAGGAGCTGTTTGTCACCCTGTGGTTTCTTGCAGGCTGACACAGAGCTGGATGTGTCAAACCCCATAATAAGAAATAGCTCAGTGATGAGAACTTGCTGCCTACCTGCTGAATGTCTGTGCTGGGTACAGCCAAGAGGAGGCAGGAGAGAAGCAGCAAATTTTAGCCCTGTACTCTGGAGAAAAATTTGAGATGAAATATAATGAGAAGTCCTATTCAAAATATTGAGGCTGGGCATGATGGCTCATGTCTGTAATCCCAACATTTTGAGAGGCCAGGGTGGGAGGATCACTTGAGGCCAGGAGTTCAAAACCAGACTGGGCAACATAGCAAGACCCCATTTCTAAAAAAAAAAAATTAACTTAGCTGTGCTTGGTAGCACATACCTGTAGTCCCAGCTATTCAGGAGGCTGAGGAGGGAAGATGCCTTTAGCCCAGGAGGTTGAGGTTACAATGAGCTATAATTGTTCCACTGCACTCCAGCCTGGGTAAGAGAGCAAGATCCTATCTCTAAAAACAAAACAAAACAAAACAAACAACAACTAATAATCCTAATGCATGTGCACCAGCTAAGCAGAAGGGTGGCACTGGAGCACAGTCCTGTGTCTCCTGCTCTACCAAGCTTTAACCCTTTGGTTGCTGGACTGTAGGGAGATCTTGGGGATGCCCACAAAGAGTACGGAACATTCAAGGAATGGAGAGAGAATTCAGGAGGCTCCTGGAAATGGTTACTCACCAACTGTTGTCGGAAACTATAATGAGGGACAACCTCCATTTAGCACCACCCTACAGGTAGCCTAAATTTGGAGGCAAAGAGATGCCAGCTGGTGTACCAACAACCTCCATGAGTCATTGTTGGCACCATGACCTGGATGAGGCCCTTGAAACAAAGGGACAAAAAAAAAGACATATCCCCTTCGGAGTAAGAACATGAGAAAGGTAGGCAGAGATGTGCACAGCCCTCCAAACCTCCTGCTCCTACTGACCACTACCTAGGAAACTGATTCCTCTCCAGTGGGCTAAGCAGCTATTTCCAACAATATTGGCACTTTGGGAAGCTAAGTCTGCAAGCCTCGCCCGTTGGAGGTAACAGCTTCCTGCTCCCCAAGTCCTGGTGCCCTGGTGCTCAAACAACAGCTGATCTGAAGCATTATCATATCCTGTGCAGATGAAAAGACTTGGTAAGCTCTCACCTCTTCCCCATGGGTTTATTTATTGTCCCAAATTGTAGCTCCAGACCCATACATTTCCACTGAGCAGCTCCATTTGGATTTTCCATAAGCACTTCCAACTTAATGTGTTCAAACCTCCTCTTTTATCTAAACCTGGATTCTCTGCTGCCTCTTATTTGAGCTCAAAATGCCACCAGCTTCCCAAGCATCCAAGTTAGAACCCTAGTAAGTCATTCTCAATGCCTTCTCTCACATGCCATCGTCAACAGTCTTTCATCTCCTGGCTCACCCCTATTTGATTTGCAGGATCCGGCTCAAATGTCACCTCATCTTCAGTGCCAGGTTCTTAGTCTTTCTCTCTCCTTCTCCTCCTGAACCATTTTTATGTGTCTCCTTAGCACCCTTACTGTATTTTCCTGTAATTGCATTTACATGTCAGTCTTTGCTACTAATGGTAAAGAATTCAAGGGCAGAGGCGTGTATCTTGTTCATTTTACAATCTTCATGACTTAGTGCCAAAGATTAAGTGTTGATGAGATGAATTGCTTCTAAGGGAAAAATAAGTGCATTCTGAGTTCTTCCGTACTTGCTGTAGGAGTAGGGTGTATTCTTCAGCTGAATACACATTGCCTGGAACTGAGCAGCAGAATTCTTCATTTCCTAAGTGACAGACCATGCAAGAAGAACTAGGTGGTTGGATTTCCCAGCTATAATCCATTCTCCTCTCTCCCCATTACCTCCACATTTTCTATAAATATTTTAAGATGGAAAGTGACAGTTCTCTCCGAGGTGTATAAAGGACGTGTTTTTCTTTTCCCCTTCTCTTAGGGTTAAGCAACATCATTGGCATCATAGTTTATATATCAGCCAACGCCGGAGACCCCGGGCAGCGTGACTCCAAAAAAAGTTACTCCTATGGTTGGTCCTTTTATTTCGGAGCCTTCTCTTTCATCATCGCAGAAATTGTAGGAGTGGTTGCCGTGCACATCTATATTGAAAAACATCAGCAGTTACGAGCCAAATCCCACTCGGAGTTCCTGAAGAAATCTACTTTTGCCCGCCTCCCACCCTACAGGTATCGATTCCGGAGGCGGTCAAGTTCTCGCTCCACCGAGCCCAGATCCCGAGACCTGTCCCCCATCAGCAAAGGCTTCCACACCATCCCTTCCACTGACATCTCGATGTTCACCCTCTCCCGGGACCCCTCAAAGATCACCATGGGGACCCTCCTCAACTCCGACCGGGACCACGCTTTTCTACAGTTCCACAATTCCACACCCAAAGAGTTCAAAGAGTCACTGCATAATAATCCGGCCAACAGGCGCACCACGCCCGTCTGAACTGACCTCTGACCTCTGCCCCACGCCCAGCACAGCCTTGGGGGAAGTGTACAGAGATGTCTCTGAGGTTGCATGGCATGGTCCTTGTGATGGTATTACTTTTTACAAAGAATGAAACCAAATGGACTCAGCCCTCTCCCACATTTTCCCCTCACCCTCCAAGTCCTAACCCCTCCATCCTCTCTAACTTTTCAAGCCAATCCCTTAATGTCATTCCTCTCTCTGTGTATCTGTGCCAGATGTTTTCCTTTCTTCCTTCTTTACTGGAAGGACCTCCACATTCTTCCCTCCTTGGAAGAGGACTTTACTAAAAGTCACAGGTGGTGGCCAGGGGGGATTTCCGAATCTCCATCAGGCGCGCTCATAGTTGTCCCCATTGTCTACCCACACAAATCCTCAGGAAACCAACCACCGCCCAGGTGGCCCTGAGGGAGGCATTCACCTTTATGTGTTAGAAAAACATGACCAGAAATCAAAGATGTCAGAGCCCCGAAGCAGCTAATGTAATAAGCACTCATGTTATTAAAGGTTTTGCCTTGTCGTAACCAACCGAGCCGGGGGTGTTTTGTTTCTTGTGGGTGTTTCCTACACAAACTCACTCCCCTGCCTCCAAACTGGCTCATGTCCATCTTGGAAGCTGAACTTTGCTCATCCACACTTGAGCCACTAGGAAGGATCTCCCTGCACCTTTGGAAGCTAGTAAGGCATTCCCACAAATGTCCAAATCAATGCATCCTTCTACTTGAATTCCTGGAGGCTACCTGGGGGTGGGTGAGTGAATGCTGGTTTTCAAGATCTAACTTTGGCATGCAATAGCTCTAGAACCTTGGGCAAGTCACCTAAGCCTCAAGCCTCAGTCTCCTCATCTGTAAAATGGAACATGATAATAGCACTCTCCTCCACAGAGTTATGAGGTTTAAATAAAACTGTGTGTAAAATGATTAGCACATTGTAAACAATTGATATATATTTTTCAATGTTTCAGGTGGATTTTAGGCAGAGTAAGCATTATGTTGATCTGCTTTTGCTGTGACAACAAAATATCAAAATGGGCCAGGAGAGGCGGCATGAGCTTGTAGTCCCAGCTCATGGAACTACAGACTTGGAGGCTGAAGCGGGAGGATCACTTGAGCCCAGGAGTTAAAGAGTTCAAGTCTAGCTGAGACCCCAGCTCTTAAAAATAAAAAAATCAAAGACTGGTTAAACAACAGACATTTATTTCTCAAAGTTCTGGAGGCTAAGGAGTCTAAGATTAAAATGTCAGTAATTCAGTTTCTGCTCAGGGCTCCTCTTCCTGACTTGTAAACAGCAGCCTTCTTGTTGTGTTCTCACATGATAGAAAGAAAGTAATCTCTTTCTCTCTCTCTCTCTCTCAATTTCTCTTTTCATAAAGCCACAGATCCCACAGTGAGGGTCCCACCGGTCCCACCCCCATGATCTCATCTAACCCTAATTATCTCTCAAAGATCCTATCTCCAAATATCATCACACTGGGGATTAGGGATTCAACATATGCATTTTGGGGGAATGGGAAGGTGGATGGAGACACAGTTCAGTCCACAGCAAGGGTTACTTTAGCAAGATAAAAGCCAAATGGAAGTTACTTTATATAAGGGAGAGAGAGAGAGTATACTTTGCACAGGCTCTGAGGGCTCTGGGAAGAGAGAATGGAAGGATTTGAATATTTTAAATATTTGATGTTGGAAAGCATGAGAAATATGTTGGCCAGGCATGGTGGCTGACTTCTGTAATCCCAACACTTTGGGAGGCCAATGTAGTTTGAGACAAATGTAGTTTGAGACCAGCCTGGGCAACACAATGAAACCCTGGCTCTACAAAAAAATACAAAAATTAGGTGAGCATGGTGGCACATGCCTGTAGTCCCAGCTACTTGAGAGGCTGAGATGGGAGGATCACCTGAACTCAGGGAGGTGGAGGCTGCAGTGAGCCGTGATCATGCCACTGCACTCCAACCTGGGTGACAGAGTGAGACCCTGTCTGAAAAAAGAAAAGAAAAAAGTATGAGAAATATGTCACCTATGCCCACAGTGACTTCCTTGAGCATTTTTGGCACACACCCAGGTCTTCGCACTTCTGAGGAGCCTTCCCACTTAGGGCCGCAGCATGCTAGGAGGCAGGGTTGCAGGCTTGAGAGCTCACACTTAGCTGATACTGTGGGTACCAGGCTGTGTTCTGCTGCCATACACACACAAAATCATTTCATCCTTCCAGTAATCCCATGAAGAAAATACCTCCCAAAATCTCCACTTTACCAATGAGGAAACTGAGGAAAGAGAAGTACCATGACTTGCCCAAATTGTATTCCCACTATGGGACAGAAGTACTGGGAAACTAGTACCTTGCCCACACTCACACAGTAAATTTCATTGTAAAGTGCACCTAGGGACAATTCATTTTGTTCAACACTTGAGTCATTGCATGCAAATGACACGCACATACATTAAATTATCTCATTTAGTCCTCCAAAGAACCACGTGTAGTAGGAATTATCATCTCCATTTTGGCAGGTAAGGAAATAGAGGCTCAAAGAAAGTAAGCGTCTTGGGTGCTAATGAGCAGAGCGACATTTGTATCTAAGCCTCTGCTTCCTACGTTGCGTGGCTTCCCCAGTATTCCAGCATTTTCCAAGCTCAGTCATTTGAGCGCCACTCCTAGGAAGTTTTTTATAGCCACATCCCACATCAACAACTATTTACCTAATGTCTTTCTTCAAGCCTACTTGCTTTTAATCCTTTAATAAATATATTTCGAAAAGGAATTTTATAACACTACTATAAAGAGAAAACTGAAATTCCTTGCCATAATCAAATGGTAACTGGGAAAATAAATACAATACAAACGAAAACAATCATGCTATACTTTAGCTGTTGCTAGCTTAGCTCACTGCAACCTCCACCTCCCTGAGTTCAGCTGAAGGCCGGCTGCCGGCTGCCTGTTCTTTGTGAAAAGGATATAACCGAAGTGTTAGAGAGGTGTTAAAGGATATTCTGGCACCAAAAGAAGATGCTTCCCTTGGTTTACTCAGAAGGAGCAAAGGAGAAGTCAAAAGGGAATACCCTTCTCACTGTGTGATTTGACGCTCTGTGATACTGCGGCCATGCACCATATCAAATCATCTACTCTTTTTATTATGGAAGTTTACAGAGCACTTTATTTTTTTAATTTTTTTTTTAAAGATGAAGGATGAGGTAGATTTTATTTTGAAGCATGTGAAAAATATTTGGGAATGGTAACTCAGGTAATTTTTTTTTATTATTATTTTACTTTAAGTTCTGGATACAAGGGCAGAACTTGTAGGTTTGTTACCTAGGTATACATGTTGCATGGTGGTTTGCTGCACCTAGCAACCCGTCATCTAGGTTTTAAGCCCTGAATGCATTAACTATTTGAAACTGTGGAATGCTTCACGAATTTGCATGTCATCTTTGCTCAGGGGCCATGCATCTCCTCCTACTCTTGGGGACAAGTGGTCCAGCCACCCTTGGAGAGGGAAGGATCTGAGAACTGGAGCAAATATGTGAAGAACACTGTGAAGGGGAAGCAGCAGCATCCAGGCACCCTGGGAACTGGGAGTGTGCAAAAACAGGGCATCGGGGAAGTGGATCTGGGATGGAGAGAAAGGCCCCAGCGCCTTAACTAGCGGGGTATCAGCCCTGGTAGTCAAGAATAAAGTCCTTCTGCAAAGGCCAGAGTGCTAGAGGAGAGAAATGGCCACGTGACCCCCGGAAGGACTCCCTCTGTACCCCACATGCCTCCCCACCGCACCATCTAGGTTTGCTCCCTGAAAAGCTTTGGCACAGGAGCCTCGGGATACCTTTGCTTGACAGCTGCTCAGTTGAACCCCGCTGGCTGGCATCAGATAGATATTAATATTACCACTTCTGGGTTGCAGCCAGGATTCAGGCCTATCCTTGCCATCCAAATCCACTGGAAGATTATTTCCATTCACTAAGCCGCCACCCTCTGTGTCAGACACTGTGCCATGAACTTCACTCATCTTGTCTCATTGAATTCTCATATTTGTGGCAGGTATGATTGTTAAATCCATTGTGAAGATGGTGAAACTTACAAGTAGACAGCAAAGTCGATACACAAACCCACGTCTGCCTGACTTGAAAGCCCATGCAGCAGCCCCTCACTAAGCATTCCTGGCCATGCTGCTTGAATCTCTTGCTCCATTGCTGAGTTCTCCATCTCCTTCTCCCTCAAATGCAGCTCCCTTTCCCAGCTGCATTTGAGGGACCAAATTTCTGGACCAGCAGATCCCTCCACCAATCTCAGGACCAGAACCCTTGAGTTTCTCTTTGCTGCTGCTTTAATGTGTAGTCCCTGGAACTGAGTTTTTGCCAAGTTATGCCTCTACCTTTTGAGAACAGAGAGGCAGCTTGCACAACATTCAAGCATGGAAACTCTGCAACTGGATCTGGACAGTTGCGGAGTTTGATTCCTTTGACTTTGAATCCAATGACTTTGAATCCCAGCTCTGTATTTATCAACCACAGACCTTTGACAAGATCGTCACCCTCTGTCTCAGCTTCTCTGTCCATAAAATGGGCACAAATATAGCACTTACTCCGTAAGTTCATCGTGAGGATTAAATGAGCTTACCTTCACAACGCACTTAGAAAAGAACTTGAAACACCATAAGCACCATATAGATGTTAGCTATTGTGATTTAATATAGTTCACAGATTTACATTTTTCCCATTTGGGTGCTTTTCTGCCTGGACAATCTTCTTTTCCAGATCTTGTCAGCACAGGCTTCTGCACTAATCAGGCTGGTGTCCACACTATACCCTGGGCTAGCTCAGGCTTTCTCCCGATTCTCTGCCTTTGCTGATAAAGGTTATCCCTACCTGAAATGTTTCCGCTTGCCCTCTCCAAATCCTATCCATCCTTCAAGGCCAAGGTCAAGCCTCATGCTTTCCATGAAGTCTTTTTTTTTTTTTTTTTGAGATAGAGTCTCACTCTGTTGCCCAGGCTGGAATGTGGCGGCACAATCTCAGCTCACTGCAACCTCCGCCTCCCAGGTTCAAGCAATTCCCATGCCTTACTCACCCAAGTAGCTGGGATTACAGGTGTACACTAAAACTCCCGGCTAATTTTTGTATTTTATTAGGGATGGGGTTTTGCCATGTTGGCTGGTCTCAAACTCCTGACCTCAAGTGATCTGCCCACCTCGGCCTTCCAAAGTATTGGGATTACAGGCATGACCCATTGCACCCAGCACCATGAAGTCTTTTGTGGCTCCTCGGGCCACACAATCTCTCACTTCTGCGCATTCATCCATTTATTCATTCATTTATTTATTCAGCACTTATCATTCAGCACTTATTGTGCGCTGGTGCTATCGTTTGGATGTTTGACCCCCTTCAAACCTCATGTTGAAATTTGATCCCCAATGCTGAAAGTGGAGCCTGATGAGAGGCAGATGGGTCAGAGAGGTGGATCCCTCATGAGTAGATTAATGCCCTCCCTTGGGAATGAGCGGATTCTTACTGTATTAGTTCACATGAGCTGGTTGTTTAAAACAGCCTGACACCTCCCCTCTGTCTCTCTCTTGCTTCCTCTCTTGCCATGTAATCTCTGCATATGCCGGCTCCCCTTGCCTTCTGCTGTGAGTAAAAGCTTCCTGAGCCCTCACCAGAACAGATGCTGGCACCATGTTTCTTGTACAGCCTGCAGAACCGTGAGCCAAATAAACCTCTGTTATATATAAATTACCCAGCCTCAGAGATTCCTTCACAGCAACACAAAACAGACTAAGACAGCCAGAAGGAGTAATAATCCCAAAAGATATGACCACTGTCCTCATGGAAGTCTCAGTCTAGTGGAGGAGACAAGCACTGAACAAATGAACATACACATCAACATCATTCAAAATTGTGATCTATGTCATGAAGGGAAAACGTAATGCAAAAAATACAAATATAAATGGGAATCTCTGGCTAGGTGCGGTGGCTCACACCTGTAATCCCAGCACTTTGGGAGGCCGAGGTGGGTGGATCACTTGAGGTCAGGAGTACGAGACCAGCCTGGCCAACATGGTGAAAATTCACCTCTACTGAAAATACAAAAATTAGCCGGATGTGGTGGCACACGCCTGTAATCTCAGCTACTCAGGAGGCTGAGGCAGGAGAATCACTTGAACCTGGGAGGCGGAGGTTGCAGTGAGCCGAGATCAAGCCACTGCCCTCCAGCCTGGGCGACACAGCCAGACGGTATCTCAAAAAATAAAATAAAATAACATAATAAATAAATAAACAGGGACCTCTAATTTAGCTGGTGGAGGGGAGATCAAAGAAGAGGAAATGACATTTAGGATCAGAGCAAAAGCAAGATTGGGAGTTATTCGAGGAAAGGGAATAAATAAAGTGTCTAGGGGAAAAAAACCAGCATGTGCAATGTCCTGAGACTGGAGAGACCAAAAACAAACAAACAAACAAAAAACAACCAACCAAGCAAACAACAACAGCAAAACAGGCCAGTAAGGTGTAGGAAGAGTAGCACTGATGAGAACAGGAAAGAAAGCTGGGTCCAGAGGATGCAGCATTAAGGGCATGCTAAGGATGTTGAGTTTTGACCCTAAGTGCATTTAGAAGCCATTTGACAGTTTTAATCAGGAATACATTAGACACTACCTAACATGTATTTTCAGAAGTTTAATAAGTTAGGCACCCAGTGAAATGCTAGTTTCCTAGATCTTATCTCTGGAGTATCATTGCCTGCTTTATCTACAGTCCCTGGTAGGAAGGCAGGACCTGTCCTTGGTCACAGCTGATTGGATCAAAGATTGCACCTGATATAAGGCCAGCCAATCCAGTCATAGGATGGCCAGTGGTCTAGGATTTGCAACTAGACTCCAAAAGGTCAGCTGGTCCAATCAGATGATCTCTAAGAGACTTAACTAAGAGACACAAAAGGCAATTACCAGTTGGCTACAAGGAGCAGAACAGAGAGGATATGAGGGACCCATGAGGCTAGGGCTGCAACAGTCAGCCAAATGCAGGTTAAAGTTATACCAAAAAAAACTGCTTGGTAAAGAGAAGACAACTCTGTAAAGGCTTCTCATTGTACGTAAATAAAATTCAAATTTTTGGCCGGGCATGGTGGCTCACGCTTGTAATCCCAGCACTTTGGGAGGCTGAGGCGGGTGGATCACCTGAAGTCAGGAGTTCAAGACCAGCCTGACCAATATGGTGAAACTTCGTCTCTACATAAAATACAAAAAAAAAATTAGCCAGTCATGGTGGTGGGCACCTGTAGTTCCAGCTACCCAAGAGGCTGAAACAGGGGAATTGCTTGAACCTGGGAGGTGGAGGTTGCAGTGAGCCGAGGCCACGCCACTGCACTCCAGCCTGGGTGCAGGGAGACTCCTTCTTCAAAAAAAAAAAAAAAAAAAAACAAAATTTGTCTAGGATCTCCAAGTTCTTGCATTATCAGGAGCATGCTGACCCATTCAACTTTATTCTGTGCCATTAAGTTGGTGCGAAAGTAACTTTATTCTGTGCCATTACTTTCAATGGCAAAAACTGCAATTATTTTTGCGCCAATCTAATACTTCCATCTTGCTACCTGCACTCCAGTCAGGCTGTCCTTTTTTCAGTTCCTTGCTCAAGCCTCAGGGCCTTTGCACCTGCCATTCCTACTGATTGAAATGTCTTCAATCTCTTTACATGGCTGGCCCCTTCTCATCCTTCAGATCTGAGCTGGACAAGTCACTCCTGAGAGAGGACTTTCCTCAACAACTCTCTAAAGTAGATCACCTCTTATTCTTTACTCGAGTTCATCCTTATTCCCTTGAGAGGTCAAAATTTTGTAATATTTTATTTTGTTTTTGTTTATTTATTTTTATAGATTTCTCTACAAGAACACACATTTTGTGAGAGCAAGGTCCTTGACCATATAATCCATGCCTAATATGGAGCCGTTCACGTGGTGGGTCGGAAGGAGAATGCATTAAGAACTGTTTAGAGGAAAGCAGAAACATCTCAAGGGAGAGGAAGGGAGCGGCTTCCTTGTCACTCAGGCTGGAGTGCGGAGATGCGATCACGGCTCACTGTAGCCTCAGCCTCCTGGGCTCAAGTGATCCTCTCACCTCAGCCTCCTGAGTAGCTGGAACTACAGGTGTGCTGCCACACCCAGCTAATTTTTTTTATTTTTTGTAGAGACAGGGTCTCACTGTGTTACCCAGGCTGGTATCAAACTCCTGGGCTCAAGTGATCTTCCCGCATCAGGCCCCCAAAGTGTTGGGATTTACAGGCATGAGCCACCATTCTTGGTCTCTTCTTTGTTTCTAATAGCTTCCCTGTCCCGTCTCCTCAAGGCCCATCTCAATTTGAGTTGCCATTCTCAGATCCCTGGGTCACTTTTTCTGCATTCCTTCAACAATCCTCCCTTTTCTTGAGCCAGCCTGAGTGGGCTACCAAATAAACACTAACCAGAAGCTGTGTCTCTAGAACAGAGGAACACTCGGTTACAGGTGTACAGCTGAGAGTCCCTTGTAGAGACAGAACAGCCATGCCAGAATGGTATTTAGTCAGGATGTTTGTTGAAGAGAGATCAGAACCTCAAAGCAAGTTCAGTTCAGAAACAGCCAAGACTGAGAGAGAACCAGTAACCAGAAAAAAAGTGGCCAGGTCTGAGGGTTTAGTAAAGCATCAGTCTAAGAAGACATCATAAAGGCAATGGCAAGGCCAAGTCACCAAGTTGAAAGCAAGAATCCCTGGATATTATATAAAATTCATGGTATGTTGATAGCTTTATTTTTGTAAATAATAAACAAGTCAAACAAACAAAAAACCAGTTTTGAGATGGTAATCTCGACTTACGGGTCCTTGTCTAATGCTTTAGGTAAGATGCTTTTGGCTGCAAGTAACACCTAACTCCAACTTAACTAGCTTGTATTAATCAGGTAGACTAGGCCATCTGTCATAACAAAATAAATCCTAAAATCTCAAGTACTTAACAGAAGAAAACTTTATTTCTTACTAAAGACTACTGCAGGCACTCCTGGCTGAGTAACACTCCTAGATGGCTCTACTCCACACAGTGACTCAGGGACCCAAGCTGCTTCTGTCTTGTAGTTCTACCATATTGTGGCTTCAGGGCTATCCTGGTGTCATCCACCTGGTAAAGGGAGGGAAGAGAAAAGAAGTGGTGGTGAGAATGTGAAGGATCATGCACCTAAACATAACAACCTTGGCCCACAAGTAACCCACTTTATGTCACATTCCACTGGTGAGAATGAATCACATAGTTCCATCTAAATTCCAGGAGAAGGAATGCTGAAAATGTCATCCATGTCCGGAGAATTGCTTCCAAATAATAATATGTTTATATTATATAAAGTGTGCACAAATCTTTGGCAGGTGTCTGCCATGTAACCTAAATACGAAAAATGTCTGCTCCATAAAAAGAAATCTCAAGGTAAAGGGGTCCCAGGGTTAGTTACTTCAGCAGCTCAAAGATAAACTCAAGAACCCAAAGTCTTTTTATTTTCCACACTTCCATGCTTAGGCCAATATACTATCATATCTAAATACAATATCCCATTGTATCAAGGTACAACATCCAGCAGAAAGGTGTCTTTAACAGTGGAAAAAGTAGGCCAGGCATGGTAGCTCACGCCTGTAATCCCAGCACTTTGGGAGGCCGAGGTGAGCGGATCACGAGGTCAGGAGATCAAGACCATCCTGGCTAACACTGTGAAACCCCGGCTCTACTAAAAATACAAAAAATTAGCCAAGCATGGTGGCAGGCGCCTGTAGTCCCAGCTACTTGGGAGGCTGAGGCAGGAGAATGGCATGAACCCGGGAGGCAGATCTTGCAGTGAGCCAAGATCGTACCACTGCACTCCAGCCCAGGCGACAGATTGAGACTCCGTCTCAAAAAAAAAGAGTGGAAAAAGCTTTCACAGGACAGTGTTGGGTCATGTGCTCATTCCTAAACCAGTCACCAATAAGGGGAATAAAATTACCATCGGGGACCGGCACCAGTGGTTCTCAGCCCTAGCTGTACATTAGCATCACCAAGAGGGAATTCTTTAAAAATACAAATGTCCAGTCTCCAACCCAGAGATTGTTAATTAGTCTGATGTAAGACTGGGCTTCAGAAGTCACCAATTGATAGCGTGAGGACTAAATTTCATTCACAACCAACGCATGGCTGTGTGCACCTGTAGTCCCAGCTACTCGGTAGGCTGGGGTGGGAGGATTGCTTGAACTCAAGAGTTTGAGACCAGCCTGAGTAACACAGCGAGACCTCACCTCTTTAAAAAAATATATATATATTTTGGCCAGGCTCAATGGCCCAGTGGCCCATGCCTGTAATCTCAGCACTTTGGGAGCCTGGGGTGGACAGATCACTTGAGCCGAGGAGTTCAAGACCAGCCTAGGCAACATGGCAAAACTCTGTCTCTACAAAACATTAGCCCGGCTTTGAGGCACGCACCTATAGGCCCAGTTACTGGGGAGGCTGAGGTGGGAGGATTGCTTGAGCCCAGGAAGTCAAGGCTGCAGTGAGCTATGATTGCACCACTGTACTTCAGCCTGGATGACAGAGTGAGACCTTGTCTTAAGGGAAAAAAAAATCCTTCTTTTTCATTTTTAGCTTGATCTGTAGTGTGATTTTAAAATTTAGGAACTTACAATGATGCAGAAAATGGGGCAAAATGTTAACAATTGGTGAATCTGGGTAAATGGTATATGGAAGCTGTTTATAACTTCCTTGCAGTTTTTTCTATAGATTCAAATTATATCAAAATTAAAAGAGACCAAAAATGAGGGAAAATGGGAACATACACATAAAAGCCAGGATTTGTGGCTTCTCTTCAAAAATCAGGAAATCTGTAAAAGCTGGCTCTGCATTCCCACAGGAAATTAAAAGCAGGCCTGAGAAGTAATGCACAGACTCCTGACCAAGTATCTCCAGGGCAAGAGCTTGTGCACCTGTACCGTTAGCTGGAGCTCAGGTGAGTCTTATAATCAGGTAGTCTTGGGGATCACTCTGGAGTTCTTTTAATTTTTATTCATTTTCTTCTATCCTGTTCCATCCTCTTCGAACCTCTATGTATAGCTTGGATTATTTTTGCCAAGCGCGGCACCTTACACTTGCCCACACTGAAGCTCATCCTTGGCAACTCCTCTGCCCACTCACACAGCCTGGTGAGATCTTCCTGCAGCTTATCACCAGCGGCTTGGCATTTCACTACCTGGCACAGTGAAGTGTCATCAGCAAATGTGGAGCTCTCACCACTTACACCTCCAGATCAGTTAGGCAAATGTCAAATAAGACCAGTCCCAGCACTGACACCCCACCACTCTCAATTAATCAATTAACTAACTCATAATAACCCAACAGACTGTCTGGTAGCAAGCAAAAGAAATCAACTGCAGCTAACTTAAGCAACAGAGGAATTTATTGTAAGTCGGGGCCTCTCAACAGCAGCATTATTGGCATTTGAAGCTGGATAATTCTTTGTTTTGGTGGAGGGTGGTCTGTTCCATTCATGGTGGGATGTGTATCAGCCTCTCTGGCTTCTATCCATGAGATAGCAGCAGGACGACTCCCCTCCCCTCCAAGTTATGACAACCAAAAATGTCTCCCAGACATTGCCAAATGTCTCCTTGAAGTGGGAGAGGCTAAAGTCACTTCCAACTGAGAACCACTGGTACAGGGGTGGGGAAGTTGAAGCCCAGGCCTTAGAAAATTGGAAACCTGAGTTGTTTTAAGGTTCTAGAGAGCATGGATTAATACATGAATGAGTAAATCCTGGCTTCACCATCTACTAGTTGTGCGACTTGACAAGTGACTTAACCTCTCTGTGCCTCAGTTTCCTCACCCATAAAATGGGATTATCAGGATAGGTTGGGCTACACAGTGGGAACAAACGACCCTCCAAAATCAGTAGCTTGAAACACATGCAGCCAGGTGCGGTGGCTCACGCCTGTAATCCCAGCATTTTGGGAGGCCCAGGTGGGTGGATCACGTGAGGTCAGAGTTCAAGACCAGCCTGGTCAGCATGGCGAAACACCGTCTCTACTGAAAATACAAAAATTAGCCAGACATGGTGGCACGTGCCTGTAATCCCAGGTACTCAGGAGGCTGAGGCAGGAGAATCGCTTGAACCTCAGAGGCGGAGGTTGCAGAGAGGCAAGATCATGTCACTGCACTCCAGCCTGGGGGACAGAGCAAGATTCCAGCCTGGGGGACAAAGCGGGACTCCATCTTAAAAAAAAAAAAAAAAAGAGAGAAACACATGCTATGTATCCAACGTGATCAGCTGGGGTTCTGCACATGTTGCCCACTCCAGAAGACAAAAGCTGAGAAGAGGCTCTACCATATGAACATCGTTGGTCAAAATGAAAAGGAGAAAAGAAAAATAAACTGGCTCTTAAATGTTTCCACCTGCAAGTGATACACATCACTCACATAATTATTGATCAAAACAAGTCCCATGGCTATACCAAATGTGAAGAATACTGCAAAGTGAAAACCTACCACATGCTGTGCAGGGACCAGCCCCACAAGGTCAGTGGGTCTCTCCCCGTGTGCAGCGACGAGAGAGTGTAGAAATAAAGACACAAGACAAAGAGATAAAAGAAAAGACACCTGGGCCTGGGGGACCACTACCACCAATGTGTGGAGACCGGTAGTGGCCCCTAATGTCTGGCTGCGCTGTTATTTATTGGATACAAAGCAAAAGGGGCAGGGTAAAGAGTGTGAGTCATCTCCAATGATAGGTAAGGTCACGTGGGTCACGTGTCCACTGGACGGGGGCCCTTTCCTGCCTGGCAGCCGAGGCAGAGAGAGAGAGGAGACAAAGAGAAAGACAGCTTACACCATTATTTTTGCATATCAGAGACTTTTAGTATTTTCACTAATTTACTACTGCTATCTAGAAGGCAGAGCCAGGTGTACAGGATGGAACATGAAGGCGGACTAGGAGCATGACCACTGAAGCACAGCATCACAGGGAGACGGTTAGGCCCCTGGATAACTGCGGGCAAGCCTGACAATGTCAGGCCCTCCATAAGAGGTAGAGGAGTAGAGTCGTCTCTAAACTCACCCCAGGGAAAGGGAGACTCCCTTTCCCGGTCCGCTAAGTAGCAGGTGTTTTTCCTTGACACCGACGCTACCGCTAGACCACCGTCCGCTCAGCAACGGGCGTCTTCCCAGACGCTGGCGTTACCGCTAGACCAAGGAGCCGTTCTGGTGGCCCTGTCTGGGCATAACAGAAGGCTCGCACTCTTGTCTTCTGGTCACACCTCACTATGTCCCCTCAGCTCCTATCTCTGTATGGCCTGGTTTTTCTTAGGTTATGATTATAGAGCGAAGATTATTATAATATTGGGATAAAGAGTAATTACTACCAACTAATGATTAATGATATTCATATATAATCATCTCTAAGATCTATATCTGGTATAACTATTCTTGTTTTATATTTTATTATACTGGAACAGCTCGTGTCCTCTGTCTCTTGCCTCGGCGCCTGGGTGGCTTGCCGCCCATAATACTGCAAAAAGGGAGAAGAGGAAATAATGATTGATAAACAGCACTAATGTCTAACAAAAGTAATAATGCTGGCTTCATATATTTGTTGGGAAGGGCAAACAAATTAATATATACAAAGTTCTTAGAACAGTGTGTGGCGTATATTAACTCCCAAATAAACATTAGCAGGGCCGGGCGCAGTAACTCATGCCTATAATCCCAGCACTTTGGGAGGCCGAGGCAGGTGGATCACTTGAGGCCAGGAGTTCGAGACCAGCCTGGGCAAAATGGAGAAACCCCGTTTCCAATAAAAATACAAAAATTAGCCAGGTGTGGTGGTGCATGCCTGTAATCCCAGCTACTCTGGAGGCTGAGGCAGGAGAATCGCTTAAACCTGGAAGGCAGAGTTTGCAGTGAGTTGAGAATGTACCACCGCACTCTAGCCTGGGCAACAGAGTGAGTGAGACTCTGTCTCAAAACAAAGCACACTAGCTTATTATTATTATTATTATTACTATTACTGAGACAGGGCTTCACTCTGTCTCCAAGGCTGGAGTGTAATGGTGTATTCACGGCTCACTGCAATCTCAGCTTCCTGGACTCAAGCGATCCCCTTACTTGAGTCTCCTCAGTAGCTGGGCATCATGCCTGGGTATTTATTTTTATTTTTTATTTTTGTAAAGATGGAGTCTCACTATGTTGCCCAGGCTGGTCTTGAACTCCTGGACTCAAGCAATCCTCCCACCTTGGTCTCCTAAAGTGCTGGGATTACAAGCATAAGCCACCATGCCTGGCCTAGTTTATTATTTATTAATTCAGCAACTGTTTATTGGGCACTGTGATAATCACTTTTATGTGTCAATTTGGCTAACCTATAGTATGGAATTATTCAATCAAACCTAATCCTAATCCAGATGTTGCTATGAAGAAATTTTGTAGGCATGATTAACATGTACAGTCAGTTAACTTTAAGTAAAGGGGATTACTCTCAATCTTCTGGGTGGGCCCGATACAGTCAGTTAAAGGGCCTTAAGAGTAAAACTGAGGCTTCCCTACAGAAGAAGAAATCCCACCTGTGGACAGCAACACCAGCTCTTACCCAAGAGTTTTCAGCCTGCCCTTCCTAACAGCCTGCTCTATGGATTTTGGATTTACCCAGCCAGCCTCCACAATCACATAAGCCCATTCCTTGCAATAAATCCTTTCACAGCCTTAACTCTCAATATCCTCTTCCTTCCCTGCCTTCTTCCCTCTCCCCACCATGACTTTTTTTTTTTTTTTTTTGAGATGGAGTCTTGCTCTTTCGTCCAGGCTGGAGTGCGGTGGCACTATCTAGGCTTACTGCAACCTCTACCTCCTGGGTTCAAGCTATTCTCCTGCCTCAGCCTCCTGAGTAGCTGGGATTGTGGGCATGCACCACCACACCCAGCTAATTTTTTTTTTTTTTTTTTTTTTTTGAGACGGAGTCTTGCTCTGTTGCCCAGGCTGGAGAGCAGTGGCACGATTTCAGCTCACTGCAACATCCGCCTCCCAGGTTCAAGCAATTCTCCTGCCTCAGCCTCCCGAGTAGCTAAGATTACAGACTCCACCCCACACCCAGCCGATTTTTGTATTTTTAGTAGAGACGAGGTTTCACCATGTTGGCCAGACTGCTCTTGAACTCCTGACCTCATGATCTGCCCGCCTCAGCCTCCCAAAGTGCTGGGATTATAGGTGTGAGCCACCATGCCTAGCTCCCACCACCATTTTTAAAGACATGAAACCTGAATCTTATTCCCCACTTCCAGTCTTGACTCCTCTCTGACCTCTGACCCTCTGGTCCTGACTCTCATAAGAGAAGTCTAGAATGGCTGACTCCATCTTGCTACTAGCTTCACAGACTGTCTGTCCTCACTCATTCTTGGGCATAGGCCAAGCTAACCAAAGGAAGAATTTCATTTATAGTTTAACTTTGAAGCAAGGATAATAATAGCTGCTCCCTAAAACTGATCCCTTCCTTGTTTGGGGACTGAAACCGATTTTGTAAGAATAACGAAAGGTCACAAGATTAGGATTATGGGAGGGGCCTAAATTCTGCCAAGATGTAGGCATAGAAAAAGGATAATCAGCCAATGTCCCCTAGCTTGCTTTTCTATAATCTGTTTGCTTGACAGTTATATGTCCAGAGGTCACAAGATTTATGACTTCTTTAATTGCTCCTGTTGATAGCATCACTATTGTAGAACCCGAAATTGGTCTTTTGAGATGTTTTTCAGACTTTTGCATTCTGGCAGCCAACTGCCTCCACCTGGACCTCATGATTCCTGACTCAGCCCCCAGAGGCTGACTGAGCATACAAGGACTGTTTCCCATACCCCGATGATTTCATCCCCAACCAATCAGTAGCACCCACTCCTTAGCCTCCTGCCCACCAAATTACTTATAAAAACCCTAGCCTCAGCCAGACGTGGTGGCTCACACCTGTAATCCCAGCACTTTGGCCGGGTAGATCACCTGAGGTCAGGAGTTCAAGACCAGCCTTGCCAACATGGTGAAACCCCATCTCTGCTAAAAATACAAAAATTAGCCAGGTGTGATGGTGGGTGCCTGTAATCCCAACTATTTGGGAGGCTGAGGCAGGAGAATTACCTGAATCCAGGAGGTGGAGGTTGCAATGAGTGGAGATTGCGCCATTGCACTCCAGCCTGGGAGACAAGAGTGAAACTCCATCTCAAAAAAATAAAAAACAAAACTCTAGCCTCTGAGTTCTTCGGGAGGCTGATTTGAGTACTTACTCCCATCCTTCCATTCAGCTAGCCCTGTGATTATCAGACTCTTTCTCTCTCTTTTTTTTTATTCTTCTTTGAGATGGAGTCTCACTCTGTCACCAGGCTGGACTGCAGCAGCATGATCTCAGCTCACTGCAACCTCTGCCTCCCAGGTTCAAGCGATTCTCCTGCCTCAGCCTCCTAAGTAGCTGGGACTATAGGCATGAGCTACCACGCCCAGCTAATTTTTGTGTTTTTAGTAGAGACAGGGTTTTACCATATTGGCCAGGCTGGTCTCAATCTCTTGACCTTGTGATCCATCCTCCTCGGCCTCCCAAAGTGCTGGGATTACAGGTGTGAGCCACTGTGCCTGCCTAAAGTCTTTGTCTACAGCAATATGGCTGTCTCTGTTAATTGGTTTTATCTGTGCAGCAGGCAAGATGAACCTGTTACACTCACTCCTACTAGTGCTCACCTGCTTAGAGATCAAGCAGCTTCTTTTCCTGTGCCAGGTGTCCCAAGGGCTAAAGGACCTCAGAGAGCAGAAACTTTGAGCTATGTGACCATGACTGACTTGCCACACAAAGCTCCCCTACTACCCCAGGCTTATCCTCCCTATCTTTAAAATAGGCCCAGTTCTAGTCCCTGCTCTGTGGCTTTAGGCAAGGTGCTTTCTGTGCTTCAGTTTACTCAGCTGCTGAAGGGCATCAGAGCATGCCACCCCAAAATATGACACTTTGGCATAAGAATTATTTTGAGCTGAAGGCAATTGAGAAAAAAACAGCAGATGCAGAAAAGTTCTCTACCCTCTACTTTCTATATAAAGGCAGAGCATAAAAAGGTGTCCGGGCTCCCTTCTGTCATACCAGGAAAAGGAGATGACTCTTATCACTGGAGATTGCACCAGCTTGAATCTGCATAAACAAACCTTACTGAAATAACCATTATCTTCTCTTTATTTCCCCCTTTTCTAGGTATTTATCTTCCCACAATTTACCACCCCCAGAAGCATAAAACCTTTTCCTTTGTCTTGTCACTTTGTCTTGTCACTTATCCACACATTTATTGCTCTTTGTTAAAATGGTATATAACCTCTCAGGCCTAACCACTTCTTTGAGTTTTCATTTCCTTTTCTGTGAGATCCATGTATACACGTACAAAATTAAATATTAGCAACAAATACAATCTGTATGCCTTTATCCTTTTGTCAGTTCAATTTATAGGGTCCTAGTTACGAAATCTAAGAGGGTAGAGGGAAAAAAATGTCTCTCTACACTGCAAAATGGGGATAACAATAGAATCCTACTCACTGAGTGCAGTGAAAGTTTAACAAGATGATGCCTACATGGCACTTAACACATGACTGGCTTATAGTCAATACTTAATAAATTATAACTTGTTCAATCATTAGAAATACAAGCCCTATCCACCCCCAGCCTCAGTATCTTTATCCTTTAAGGTTCCAGGACAATTTAGAGAAGGCAGAACAATTCAGTCACAGAAACTTATCTGGTTATAATAACCTCAAAGAAGCAGGCAATCCCCACTCCAAGCCTACCTTAGGAAGGGGAACTTCTATGAACATTTTAGGAACCCAACTCCTACAACCTTTTCTCCAAACCCAGCCCCTCTCATTCCATAATAAAACACTTTGGTTAAGAAGGAAGCCAAGGGGAGCTGGCTTCTCTCTCCTCTACCCTGATCCACTCTCTGGCACCCAGGATCAATATTGCCATTCTGGATGTGGGGGAGTTACACAAAGTCTTGTGCCTTTGAAGTGCTTGAATTTTCATTTCACATTTTATGTATCAAGAGGGAAGAGGACCATAAATCATTATTGGCAAGAAAGACAGGAGAAACAGCAGAGGTCAGTATTCTAAAGCAATTAGTTGGGACAACAGAGGGAACAAAAGGAAAGACATTATGCAAATGGAAGGCCATTCCACCTTGAGAAGATAATGTCTGCTTTGAACATAAAGGAAGCGGTTTAAATCAGCCCAGTTCATTCCAATTCTGTTTAAATATTAAGCTTCCTCATGAGTAATATTAGGCCGGGGTAGCATCAGGCCTCTGAAACATTAACACTTTCCTATTCCTCCATAATTATGTTGGTAATATTCACTGTATTAGATTTTAAATAATTCACAACACTGAACAGGAGTGAGTACAGCAATAAATCTTACATTTCTCCAAAATAACTTAAACCTGATTGGAGCCTATACCTATCTCTTTTCTTGCAGGTTTCTCCTGTATAGCTTTTTAAATGTCCCCTTAATGGGGAGATGGTCTTTGATAAGAAGTTAATCTCAGGAAGTGAGTAGAGTCTGACTTCAGTTACATTAGGAGACAGTGAGCCACAATTGAATGGGAAAGATCCCCCTAAAACTATTCGCACAGTGTTGACAAGAACTACATGCCGGTTTCTGGACAGAAATATAGTTATAATTAAGCCCTAATCAGGCTGCACTCTGCCCCACTTCCTTGTTGCTAAAGTCACATAGCACTGGACACTGACCATTGCATCCTCATGATTCCTATAGATAAGATTTTGGACAGTAGGGTCCTAAGACTGTTTAAGAATTGACTTTTAGCTAGGCATGGTGGCTCACGCCTGTAATCCCAGCAATTTGGGAGGCCATGGTGGGCAGATCACGAGGTCAGGAGTTCAAGACCAGCCTGGCCAACACAGTGAAACCCCGTCTGTACTAAAAAATACAAAAATTAGCCAGGCATGGTGGCACACGCCTGTAGTCTCAGCTACTCAGGAGGCTGAGGCAGGGGAATCACTTGACCCTGGGAGGCAGAAGTTGCGGTGAGCCAAGATTGTGCCACTGCACTCCAGCCTGGGTGACAGAGTGAGACTCTGTCCCAAAAAAAAAAAAAAAAATTGACTTTTGGCTGGGCGCAGTGGCTCACGTCTGTAATCCCAGCACTTTGGGAGGTTGAGGCGGGTGGATCATGAGATCAGGAGACCGAGACCATCCTGGGCAACATGGTGAAACCCCATCTCTACTAAAAATACAAAAATTAGCTGGGTATGGTGGCACACGCCTGTAATCCCAGCTACCCGGGAGGCTGAGGCACAATAATCGTTTGAACTCAGGAGGCAGAGGTTGCAGTGAGTTGAGATCCCGCCACTGCACTCCAGCCTGGCAACAAAGTAAGACTCCATCTCTCAAAAAAAAAAAAAAAAAAAAATTGAGTATCATCCCCATTGTTCCTGACATTAGAATCATAAGGCTTTTGTTTAAGAATTACTTAAGATGTTTTTCAGATCTCAAATTCCAGTGAAACAGCTGATGCCAATCAGTTTGAAGATCCCCAGAGGAACAGGATCAGCATGAGAACACAGCTTCTTCATCCCCCTGTCCCATAACTTTACTCTGCACTCTTCAACCAATCAACAATCTCCACACTCCAGCTTACTCCAAAACCCTTAAAAACCCTATCCCCAAATTCCTTGTTGGGAAAAAGAGCTCGGAGTCACAAAGAAAACAAGCACTTAGAGAACATCTCAGCAAGGCAAATTTACTTCTGCAGAAGGGTGCATCTTGCATATGGAGCAATGGCAAGAGAACACAGAACAGAGGAAAGCAGGGGTTTTTATTAACTCTACTGCAGCTTCTGCTTCTGTGTCTTTCCCCAATTGGCTAGGGTTGGACTGCACAGTCTAAACTAGTCCCAACTGACTAAACATTTTAACTTTCTTAGATAAGGTAGGCATGTAAGGGAGGTGACAAGAGAGAGAAGGGGGGTTATTTATGGAGGGACTAGGAAGGTAACCTATTCCCTAATAAGGAAAGGAATGTGGACTGGGGTTGTGGCAAGTTCAGGCATGCCTAGGCATATTCAGACAAGATGGGGCACAGCAAAGGCAAGGGGGTATTTGGAATTATAGGATAGAGAACGGGGAAACTGGATAAGTTGTTTGAAGAGGGGACCTAACTGTATCTAACATTCCTCAAGAAGTTGGAGATGGGATTTCCCTCCCATCTCCTCATTTGGTGGCCCTCTGCTGCAACCTGATGTCTTGGCATATCAACTTGCTGTGTGCATCAGGCAACAAATCTATTATGGTTGCAACCCCTTTCCTTGTACCCCCCATCCATGGGACCAGGACTCTTTCTTTCTTCCCTCCCCCTCCTCCTTCTCCACCAGGAGAAACAGAGATCAGAGCATATTCCTCTCCACCAGCAGAAGAGGGCAGAAGACAGTAGACACCTGAGATGGTAAATTTTTGGCAACAGACCGGGCGTGGTGGCTCATGCCTGTAATCCCAGCATTTTGGGAGGCTGAGGTGGGCAGATCACTTGAAGTCAGGAGCTCGAGACCAGCCTGGCCAACATGGTGAAACCCTGTCTCTACTGAAAATACAAAAATTAGCCAGGTGTGGTGGTGGGCACCTGTAGTCCCAGCTACTTGGGAGGCTGAGGCAAGAGAATCACATGGACCCGGGAGGTGGAGGCTGCAGTGAGCTGAGATAGTCCCACTGCACTGCAGCCTGGGTGACAGAGCAAGACTGTCTCAAAAAAAAAAAAAAAAGGCAGCTTAGATGGTTGGAGCTTTATTGTCTGTTGAAGAGGGATAGCAGATTTTGAGGAAGGGACATTTGGGGACATTTGCAGGCTTCAGAGTGGGGAGGAAAATATTATAGGCCAGCTTCCATGCCTTGAGGGTCCACTCACCCATTGTTAACACCCTCCTTGATGTCACACATGGTTTCTGTTTCATGTGCCAGTGCTCACACTATCCTTCAACTGACCGCAGCTGTTGCAATGCATGGCAGTTCTAAGGGAGAATCTCACTCCACAGAGTTGAGCATTTGCTTAGCGTTTCCACTTAGAGCTGTCACCATTACCCCCAATTAGCCACCCAGGAAGTTCTGCCTTTTTATCTTTCCCAGGGACACGTGCAAGAGCTATTCATCTCCTTTAAGCTCTTAAAAAGCTCTATTTCATTCTTCCAAGACAATGGGGCTACTCACCCTTTAAAAGTAGTTCATGGATTGTTCCCAGGAGGCCCACAGTTACCTGAGAGCTTCTCTTATTTGTTCCTTAAAGACTGACTATTATTACTTCCCCTTTCCTAGAGAATAGAGCCTGATTTCCTCCAGAGGGGCCCAGAGCATCACAATAAAAAGGCCTTTTGTTGCTCTGAGGAAATTCATCTTCCCAAGAATGATAACATGACCTTCCATTACCTCTCCCGCTAGGACAGAGGAAATAACTCTAATTCTGACATGGCGTCTGCTATGTAAACCAAAGCTGGGTTATCTTTAGAGACAGTCTTTGGTGTGTTAGGATTTCAGCTGCCTGGCGGGGACTTTGCTCCACAGAGTCCACCTCTGCCATCCCCTAATCATAGGATAGAAACTAAATCTTTCATTCGCCAGTGGGAAATAAACAGCTAGTGTTGAAACTGGACTGGGGCAGGGAATACAGGTGTATGTTTCCTTCAGTCCAAGAACAAACGCTTAAGTCTTTTTAATTTTTAGAGACAGGGTCTTGCTGGAGTGCAGTGGTGCAATCATAGCTCACTGCAGCCTTGAGCTCCTGGGCTCAAGTGATCTTCTCATCTCTCAGCTTCCCAAGTTGCTGGAACTGCAGGCACACACCACCATGCCCTGCTATTTTTCAAAATTTTTTTGTAGATATGTGGTTTCACTATGTCTCCCAGATTGGTCTCAAACTCCTGGCCTCAAGCGATTCTCCTGTCTCTGCCCCCAAAAGTGCTGGGATTACAGAACACTTAAGTCTTAAGAAAGTGTTTCTTTCCTTAGTCCATTTATTTTATTATGTATTATTATATATTAACTACATTTATATTCATTATATAGTTATTTATTAATTGCAATATTGTATGTTATTATTTTCCTCTCCCTCTAAAGTCTGTTCAGTGCTCCACATGCCCTGTCCTCAAGCTGAGCTCTACCTGCCACCCCCAGAAAAGTAAGACCCCAATTCCCCAGGCTGGCCTCATGTGTTGCAGAATCTGCCATCTCAGGCGTCTCTTGAATATGAAGAGACTTCTCCTCTGCTCTTTTTGCTGGTGGGGAGGGTAAGCTTTGATACATTCTTCTGGTTTCTCCAGATAGTGAGGAAGAATCCTTGTCCCATGAATGAAGGTGCAGGGTAAGATAGGGAAGTAGACATACCCACTCTAGGCTATGGCTTGTTTTCTCTCAAGGCAACTGAAATCAAACACAATGCTAACGTCCCTTTAAAAACCCCCACCACAAATAAATGTTTTTGTCTCTCATGACTTGACTTTGACCTATTCATCGACAAGTAATTAATCTGGCTTTATTATGCTAAAGACACAGCTACTCCTTTTTTTGACTTGGGTTTTGTTGTTTTTTGTTTGTTTGGGGGACAAGTTCTCACTCTGTTGCCCAGGCTGGAGTGCAGTGGTGCAGTCTTGGTTCACTGCAACCTCCGCCTCCCGGGTTCAAGCAATTCTCCTGCCTCAGCCTCCTGAGTAGCTGAGACTACAGGCGCATGCCACTGTGCTCAGCTAATTTTTGTATTTTTAGAAGAGACAGGGTTTTGCCATGTTGGCCAAGCTAGTCTCGAACTCCTGGCCTCAAGTGATCCATACACCTTGGTCTCCCAAAGTGCTGGGATTACAGGCGTGAACCACTGCACCCAGCCTTAACTTGGGTTTTATTACAATGCAGCCCCAAATTACCTCCTCTACTTAACTTGCAGGTCAGATTTTTTTTTTTTTTTTTTTTTTTTTGAGACTGGGTCTTGCTCTGTCACCCAGACTGGAGTGCAGTGGCACAATCTCAGCTCACTGCAACCTCTGCCTCCTGGGTTCAAGCAATTCTCCCACTTCAGCCTCCCAAGTAGCTGAGATTACAGGCATGTGCTATCATGTCTGGCTAATTTTTTGTATTTTTAGTAGAGACAAGGTTTCACCATGTTGGCCATCCTTGTCTTGAACTCTTGACCTCAGGCGATCCGCTGCCTCAGCCTCCCAAAGTGCTGGGAGGCCCGCCACTGCGGGCCACCCACCTGTGCCCAACCACCGCACCCGGCCACGTCAGATGTTTTCAACTATGGCTAAACATTAGAACCACCTTGGGAACTTAGAAACAGACAAACAAAACCCTATGCCCTATCCACTGTGATCTGAGAGACCAAAATAGACTCCCCTTTATCAACTAAGATGGGCCCTATGGTTAGGGAAACAGAAGTTACCCACAGGTTGAGGGTTCAGAGTGATTGGCATGCGAACTCCGTAAATTGCTACAAGAAAAGCCACACCCTTTCTAAACTGCCTAACACAATAGGAGGTACCAGGCAAAGTACCAGGCCTCTCCTAACTCTGATTTACAACTCAGACCACTACAACTCTGTCGGACAGAGGACCGGTCTTTTTTTTTCTGATAAGCAACTGCAGACCTTAAGCCAGTTTTGGCAGTTTATAGAGGCTGTGCACAAACTGTTTCTGTGTCCTATAGTTCACTTTTTATGTAAAGATCAAAATTCCACATCATTTTAATGCTAGAACACTACCCCAAAGTGAGCATGAGATGTATGTTACATATATGTTTACCCAATTCACATGCACTCAGCGCCTCTCATAAATATGTACAGCCGTTCCCCCAGACTTGCTGAATATGTACAATACCAGTCCTGTGAGGCAAAAAACCCAACCTGCTCTTTCCCTCTTTGAAAAGAGAGCACCTTTGGTCCAGGCTGGAGACTGTCTCTTCCCAGTTTACAAACTGATATCACCAATAAAGCTCTCCTTTCTACTCTTTGGCCATATTGGTGGCCTTTTGGACAACGCTATAAACGGTAAACATACTCCTGCCCTATGTCCCAACAATCCCGTCCTCAAGTGTATGCCTAACAAAAACAAGTTCATCAAAAAATAAAAGTGAGGCTGCGCGCAGTGGCTTACGCCTGTAATCCCAGCACTTTGGGAGGCTGAGGCAGGAGGATCACTTGAAGTTAGGAGTTTGAGACCAGCCTGGCCAACATAGTGAAACCTCGTCTCTACTAAAAATACAAAAATTAGCTGGGCATGGTGGCACACGCCCATAAACCCAGCTACTCGGGAGGCTGAGGCAGGAGAATCGCTTGAACCTGGGAGGCAGAGGTTGCAGTGAGCCGAGACTGTGCCATTACACTCCAGCCTGGGTGATAGAGTGAGACTCTGTTTCAAAAAAAAAAAAAAAAAAAAGATAAGTGTACAGGCAGGGCACAGTGGCTCACACCTGTAATCCCAGCACTTTGGGAGGCCAAGGCAGGCAGATCACGTGAGGTGAGGCGTTCTAGACCAGCCTGGCCAACATGGAGAAACCCTGTCTCTACTAAAAATACAAAAATTAGCTGGGTGTTTTGGTGAGAGCCTGTAATCCCAGCTACTCAGGAGGCTGAGGCAGGAGAATCACTTGAGGTGGAGGTTGCAGTAAGCTGCGATCTTGCCACTACACTCCAGCCTGAGCAACAGAGTGAGACTCCATGTCAAAAAAAAAAAAAGTGTACAACATGTTCATAGGAGCTTTTGTTACGATAGCCAAATAATTGAAAACAACCACATTTTCATCATCAATAGGATGGATCAATAATTTGTGATATATTCGTCAGTGGAATGAATGACTGCTGTCCCCACAAAGTGGATGAATCTCACATACTATACAGCTTCATTTATATGATGTCAAGAACAGGCAAAACCAATCTAGAGGTACAGAGGTCAGAATAGTGGTGCCCTGTTCTGGTGGGGTGGCAGGAGTTACTGCCTATGAGTGAGACAGGATAATTCCCTTCACCCACTTTGTGGGAGGGAACTGGAGTGGCTCATTTATCTCAGCCCACTACTGGCCACTCCTCACAAGAGGGAGCATGCAAGCAAGTGAGGGTGGGAACTGGAGCGAATGAATATTGGAACTGGCCAGTTGCTCCTCTATGGCAGGAGCAGGCTCTGTGCGGCCCCACAGCAGCATCCAAGTATATTACAACCAGTGTTCTTTCAGCTCTGCCACCCAGGGACAGCAAAGTGCCAACTAGCTCACTGGAGGGTCAGGGTGGTAGCCCCTGCCCTCTTGGCACCCGGGATCTTGTCGAGAGTCCAGGAACAATCAGGTCACAGGAACGGATTGAAAAGGTAATGAATGTGGAGGATTTTACTGGGCAATGGAAGTGGCTCTCAGTGGGATGGGGAGTTGGAAAGGGGATGGTGTGAGAAGAAAGCGATCATTCCCTGAAACCGGGACATCTCCGGCTGGGCCTCTCTCTAAAGCTGCACAGTCTGAAGTCAGCTGTGTCTATCCATAGTCTCTGATGCTCAGTTGCTTCTCTGTGTACCACTCAGCCACTTGTGTTGCTCTTCCAGCTGTAGTCTTTTTATGGACACAGGATAGGGGCATGGCAGGCCAAAAAGGCAACATTTGGGAGGAAAAATGGGGTCAGCTGTTTTCGCTTAGGGCCACCGTTCCAGGCTTGGGGGGGGTTTAGCCAGGATCCCAGCCATTCTGAATCAGGAGAGACTTAAGGAACTTCCTAGAGGGTGCTAGAAAAGTTCTAAAGCTTCATCTGGGTGGTGGTACATAGGCATAAACTTATGTAAAAATTCATTGAGCTGGCTGTGCATGGTGACTCACACCTGTAATCCCAGCACTTTGGGAGGCCAAGATGGCAGGATTGCTTGAGGCCAGGAATCCCAGCCTAAACAACATAGCAAGACCCCATCTCTATAAAAAATTTAAAAATTAGCTGGGCGTGATGGCTTGCACCTGTAGTCTTAGCTACTCCAGAGGCTGAGGTGGGAGGATCACCTGAGCCTAGGAGGGTGAGGCTGCAATGAGTGGTGATCATGCCACTGCACTTCAGCCTCGGTGACCTTCTTTCAAAACAAATTAACTAAAAAAAAAATTTTGTTGAGCTGTACAGTCAAGATTCAAGATTAATGTATCCTAGTGTAATATGTAACTCAATAAAAATTTTTGTAAAATAAGCAAAATTATATAAAATACAAAACACCTCTCCCTGAGAGTCTGATTTAATTGGTCCTCAGTGGGGCCCAGACAAGAGGATTTTTTAAGACTCTCAGGCTGGGAGCGGTGGCTCATGTCTGTAATCCCAGCACTTTGGGAGACTGAGGCAGGCAGATCACAGCCTGACCAAAGTGGTGAAACCCCACCTCTACTAAAAATACAAACATTAGCGTGGTGGTGCACACCTCTAACCTCAGCTACTCACAGCTTGAGGACATGACCCTATTAGTCACATTTAGTGAGGCACTAGAATTGCTTGAATCCAGAAGTTTGCAGTAAGCTGCGCTCCAGCCTGGGTGACTGAGCAAGACTGTCAAAAAAAAAAAGAAGGAAAAATTAAAGAATCTCAGAGGATTTTGAGATAGCCTCTCTCTGACCCCGTGGATCACCCCTCACAGCTGTGTGGAGAAGAGGAGCGAGTGTCAGTACATGCAGGAATCTCTGGTCAACTGGGCTGAAGCTGATGACTTGACCTTCGGACCTAAGGGGAACCTCTTGTTCCCCATTGGTCCACATCTTATCATCAGTGGGTCATTGAGACAAAAGCAAAGAGTGTTGAGGAAAGAAAAAGTGATCATGAGACAAAGCAGGGACTCCTCTTGGGGCCTTCTGGGCAACCCTCGACCATGAAAGCAAGGAAATAAAGGAAAAGCTTGAGTTCCTTCTGAAACCACCACTGCAAAATTGTAACTGAGATCTGACCTGACCAACTCCATCTTGCTTCTAACCTCCAGGCTGCCCTGGGCCTAGGCTGAACTAACTTTGGGAGGAACTTAGTTTATAGTGTAAAGCAAAGACAATAACAGCCCTTTCCCAAAACAAACCTCATTGCCTGGGGACTAGACTGCTTTTGCAGGACTAACAAATTAGCCACAAGATTAGAAATTATGGTTTAGGAGTCATGCAGCTAGAGGCTACAGGATTCTGACCCTCCCTATACTGCTCCTAAGATCAGTGCTTGAGATATTTTGCAGACCTTGCACTTGATGGATCGTCACCCAGACCCACTAACTGGCTTATCTGATCTTGTGACCTCCATCCAGGAACTGACCCCACGCAAGAGGACAGCTTCAATTCCCTATGATTTCATCTCCTACTTAACCACTCAGCAGTCCTGGCTCACTGGCTTCCCTACCACGCACCAAGTAGTCCTTAAAAACTGTGACCCCGAATGCTTGGGGAGACTGATTTGAGCAATAATAAAACTCCGGTCTCCCGCACAGCTGGCTTTCCGTGAATTACTCTTTCTCTGTTGCAATTCTCCTGTCTTGAGAAATTGGCTCTGTCTAGGCAGCAGGCAAGGTGAACCCACTGGGCAGTTACATTTCCAGGGAAATTCCAGGCACCTAGCTAGGACTGAGAAGTAAATGAGCAATTTGATAAGCAAGATGGTAATGGTGCTTAAAACAAAAGCCAAGGATGTTAGAGTCATGAGAATGTTTGGTTCCCCATAAAAACTAAAGACAAAAATCTTAACAAATGTGCCTGACTTATTTTTCAGAAATCTGGACCCCCACCAAATGGATCCACTGGGAGGCAGCCCTCAGAAAAGGGAGAACTGAGGATGGAACTCTGACTGCCATTTTTCTTTTTTTTTTTTTTTGTGATGGAGTCTCCCTCTGTTGCCCAGGATGGAATGCAGTGACACAATCTCAGCTCACTCTAACCTCCACCTCCTGGGGTCATGTGATTCTCCTGCCTCAGCCTCCCAAGTAGCTGGGATTACAGGCAGGTGCCACCACGCCCAACTAATTTTTGTATTTTTAGTAGAGACAGGGTTTCACACCCGGCCCCATTTTTCATCCTAAATTTCTTCCTGAGGGACCTGAAAGGGGTCACATCCACAAGCCAGAGCTAACAGTCTTTTCAGCTGATCCCAAATCTTTAAACAAATCTTCAAACAAATCTTCATCTCCTTAACCAATCACAAATCAGAAAATCTTTGAACCCACCTGTGACCTGTGGGCCCCTACTTCAAGAAGTCCCACCTTTTTTGGTCAAACCAAAGTACAGCCTTCACGTATTGATTTATGACTTTGTCTGTAACCTCTCCCCCTGTGACTTTAAAATCCCTTACTTGCGCTGGGTGCAGTGGCTCATACCTGTAATCCCAGCACTTTGGGAGGCCGAGGTGGGTGGATCACGAGGTCAGGAGATCGAGACCATCCTGGCCAACATGGTGAAACCCCATCTCTACTAAAAATACAAAAATTAGCTGGGTGTGGTGGTGCGTGTCTGTAGTCCCAGCTACTTGGGAGGCTGAGGCAGGAGAATTGCTTGAACCTGGAAGGTGGAGGTTGCAGTAAGCTGAGATCGCACCCCTGCCCTCCATCCTGGTGACAGAGCAAGACCCCATCTAAAAAAAAAAAAAAAAATCCCTTACTTGTAAGCCATCAGGGAGTTCAGGTCTGAGGCATTAGCTGCCCGATTCTCCTTGCTTGGCACCCTTAGTAAAGGCCACACTTTCTCTTATTGCAATCCTAATGTCAGGATTTGGCTTTGCTTCACCAGTGAGTAGACCCCCATTCTGTTCTGTAACACCCAGACCTACCCCAAGAAGGCCAGCTAGCTTCAGTTTCATTTAACTTTTTAGCTGCATGGGAAAGAAGAAAGCCTGGAAGAGGAGGAGCCTACCAAGCTTCAGGTCTTGACCCTCCAGTTATCCCCAACTTTGGCTGCCCATTAGAATCACCTGGGGTAGGCTGGACATAGTGGCTACCCATTCTCCTCAGTCCTAGGTTGGGTAATCTCAGCACTTTGGGAGGCTGAGGCGGGAGGATTGCTTGAGCCTTAGAGTTTGAGACCAGCGTATGCAACATAGTGAGACCCCCATCTCTACATATAAAAATAATAATAATACATGGCTGGGCGTGGTGGCTCACGCCTGTAATCTCAGCACTTTGGGAGGCCAAGGCAGGCAGATCACGAGGTCAGGAGATTGAGACCATCCTGGCTAACACGGTGAAACCCCGTCTCTACTAAAAATACAAAAAATTATCCAGGCGTGGTCGTGGGTGCCTGTAGTCCCAGGTACTAGGGAGGCTGAGGCAGAATGGTATGAACCTGGGAGGCAGAGCTTGCAGTGAGCCAAGATCGTGCTACTGCACTCCAGCCTGGACAACAGAGCGAGATTCCATCTCAAAATAATAATAATAATAATACAAAAATTAGCCAGGCATGGTGGTAGGCACCTGTAGTCCCAACTTCTCAGGAGGCTAAGGTGGGAGGACGACTTGAGCCCAGGAGTTTGAGGCAGCAGTAAGCTGTATTGTGCTACAGCACTGCAGCCTGGGGGACAGAGCAAGACCCCGTGTCTTAAAAAAAAAGAAAAGGAAAGAAAAAAAAAAGAATCATTTGGGGAGATTTTTAAAAATCTCGATGCCAGACTGTTACTCCAGATCAATTGTATCAGAATCTCCTGGGGTAGAGGGACAATGCGTGAGTATTTTGTAAAGCTCCCCAGATGACCCCATTGTGGAGCCAAGGTTGAGAACCACTGCTCTTACCTCTGCAGCCAAAGATGGCCACAAATATCATGTCAATGCACTGTGACCTTGGCCACTGGTAAATGTGGCCCCTTGTTCTGGAATCTGACCCAATTCTCTTAAAGGGAGATGGGAACAGGAAAGAGGAGCGGTGGCCACCTCCTCCCCTTGCCAGCTCTGGGAAAGGTGCTGTACTTGTGTCGTGTGTTGAAATATAAAGCCTCTCTCTCGAGGGCCCTACAATCTCACAGCTTGAGGAGGACATGACGCTATTAGCCACATTTGGTGAACAAAAACATCGTTGCATAGGCACTGCATTATTCTACAGTCAGTTTGGTTCCAATGGGAGTCATGCTTCTTGGAATCCCCTTCCCTATCAGGCTCCTGGTGAGAGCTGCCAAAAGTGAAGGTGTATGAGATGTGGGAGGCAGGAGGGAAGCAGCACCAGGGCACTCTGAAGGTTCAAGGTGGTGAGGACAGTCCAGAGGTGTTGGTGGGTTCCAGCTTATCTTTGCTCTCCCTACACTGTGTCCAGCTCTTCTTCCACAACACAGGACCAGCTCACCAGCAGTAACTCCCATCCATCACCAGATGTGACTGAACCAAACTGGGGCTTGCTTGCCCAGTGCAATAAAGCCAGATGCTGATGCTGAGATTTGCAGTGGGAGAAAAGGGCATTAACTGCATGGTACCAAGCAAGGACAATGAATAGCTAACACTCAAGACCTGAACTCCCCAGTGACTTACAAGCAAGGGTTTTTAAAGACAAGGGTACATTTCAGGAAAGCAGCAATTGCAGGCAAAATCATAAACCAATACATGAAAGTCTGGCCCATGTGTGTGACTCTCTCCACAACCCCAGGAAATTTTAGAACAAAGAATGGCTGTCAGAGTTCCGTCCTCAGTTTCCCCCACCTGGTGTCTATGTGATGGTGGTAGCATTTTCTAACTGGTGGGGGTTTCTGAAAAGCAACTCAAGAACTTGTGTTAAGATGTTATTTTTGCCCGGGCGCAGTGGCTCACACTTGTAATCCCAGCACTTTGGAAGGCCGAGGTGGGCGGATAACGAGGTCAGGAGTTCAAGACCACCCTGGCCAACATGGTAAAACCCTGTCTCTACTAAAAATACAAAAATTAGCCGGGCATGGTGGTAGGTGCCTATAATCCCAGCTTCTCGGGAGGCTGAGGTAGGAGAACTGCTTGAACCCGGAAGGCAGAGGTTGCAGTGAGCTGAGATCCTGCCACTGTACTCCAGCTTGGGCGAGAGAGTGAGACTCCATCACAAGAAAAAAAAAAATGTTATCTTTTAGGTTCTATAGAGAACCAAAACACCTGTGACTCCGGCTTGCTTGGGAGACTACTTTGTTACTATCTCCTCGTGTATCAGGCTGCTCATTTACTTTTTTTCTCGTTCTTTCTTTCTTTCTTTTTTTTTTTTTGAGACAGTGTCTCTCTCGTTCGCTCAGGCTGGAGTGCAGCGGCGTGATCTTGGCTCACTGCAAACTCCGCCTCCCAGGTTCAAGTGATTCTCCTGCCTCAGCCTCCTGAGTAGCTGGGACTGCAGGTGTGTGTCACTACGCCGGGCTAATTTTTATATTTTCAGTAGAGATGGGGTTTCACCATGTTGGCCAGGCTGGCCTCGAACTCCTGACCTCAGGTGATCCACCCGCCTTGACCTCCCAAAGTGCTGGGATTACAGGTGTGAGCCACTGTGCCCGGCCTCATTTACTATTTTTTTATTTAATTTTACTTTATTTTAGGTTCCAGGATACATGTGCAGGTTCATTACATAGATAAACATGTGCTATGCTGTTTTGCTGCACCATCATGCTCATTTACTTTTTATAAGGCTAGCTAGGCGCCTGGAATTTTCCTGGAAGTCCCTTAAGAGGGGTCCCTGCTCCATCTTAATGTGGCTTCACAGAGGCAGCAGCTAATGAAGACCCAAGAGCCTTCCATGGGCTTCTCCCCCAGCCCCTTTGGGGTCTCACATCTGCCACTGAATGTGACCAGTTTCTGGGCTGCCCTGCAAACTCTGACTCATTCATCTGCATATCAGTGTTGCAGGACAGCTGGCAAGCTCCTTTTCTTGGATCCCCTCACTCCCTTTCTTTGGACTTATATTTCCACAGTTCCTCCCACAGTTGTGTAAGGTCAAATTCTTATCCCTGATTCCCTAACACTCACTGTCGTTCTGCTTTCTGATTCGACCTTGACGGATACACCATAGAAGGGAATGGGAGCCTTCCAGAATGCTGGAATTGTTCTACATCTTCATCTCTCTAATGGTTACATGAGGTCTGTACATATTTAAAAATTCATCACATTTTACACTTGAGATTAGTGCACTTTACCATTCATGTGCTACATTTCCGATAACTTTTTTTTTTGAGATGGAATCTTGCTCTTGTCGCCCAGGCTGGAGTGCAATGGCACGATCTTGGCTCACTGCAACCTCTGCCTCCAGGTTCAAGGGATTCTCCTGCCTCAGCCGCCTGAGTAGCTGGGATTACAGATGCCTGCCACCACGCCTGGCTAATTTTTGTATCTTTAGTAAAGACAGGGTTTTGCCATGTTGGCCAGGGTGGTCTCGAACTCCTGACCTCATGATCCACCCACCTCGGCCTCCCAAAGTGCTGGGATTACAGGCGTGAGCCACCGCACCCACCCGATAACTTTTTTAATAGAATAGCTCAAGAGACTTTATCAGACAAATACATTAAAGTATAACAACAACAATAGGTTGAATGCAAGCCCCATTTGTTGCTCGCCTGGACCACAGACTCCTGGCCGCAGAGCATCTTTCCCTGCTGCTGCTGAATATGCAGCAGTCCTTCAAAGGACTCCTCTGCCTGCTGTCTTCGACAATAAGCGATCATGATTACAAACGGCTTTAGACTGGAGAAAGATCTTTGGTCTTCATTAAGGTTTATTTGTGACTGTTCCGATGGTGGTTTCTGGGAGAAGAGAAAGAATGCCGATGGTAATTAGGCCCTCCTAATTGCAGTAGTCACTGATTGCCTGTATTAAAAACATTGGAGGAAGTGTAGCAATTAGAGCTTCGGGAAATATTTAAAAAACAAAGTGAAAAGAGGCCTCTGAGTGCAAGGACATGGAGAGACAGCCAGGAGCCCCTGCCCAGCTGCAATGGACCCTTAGCAACCCTAGACATCTGGGCGGCTCACCCCTGGGACAGTGGCCATGACAGTCTCAGGAGGAAGAAGTGAGTTTCCTCCCAGTCATTTTCCAGACACGACTGTGAATCCACCCATGGAGAAGCAACATAGGAGGAAGACATTTTGCAAACAATCCATAAGAATAACAATAATCTCAGATATGTAATAATTATATTAACATGTTAAATCCATACAACAAGCCATAGCATTGTTCCCATTTTAAAGAAGAAGAAACAAAAGTCTTCATTTGCAGAGAAAGTTGAAGACTTTCTCAAGGTCACACACACAGCAGGTGGCACACCCCAACTCAAACCCAGATCTGTTTGATTTCAAAGCACATGCCTGGAACCATTCTGTTATTCTGTGTCATCCTCAGCTCCAGAGCCCTGGATCTGTCTAGCCACCAGCACCCCGAAAAGTGAGCTTGCAAGCTTTCCCCACTCCCTCATACCAGCCCTTCAGCATTCCTCCCTCAAGAACCTGCTTCCAGTCAACAAACCAGCTAATGACTCCTTTGCCCATCCTCATCCTTCCCCAGCTCCTGCTGGGGAGAGCCTCTCAGCCCCTCCAACCAAGCTCTATGAGAATGAGGTGAAGGCATTTCTTCACTCCCTTTCCCAGATGAGATCTGAGATCCAAGGTCCATCATCTGTTCCTGTAATTCTACTTTGAAGAATTCTAATCATTTTCATTGCTCATCTCCAAACTTCTTCAACTATCAACCAAACTCATTTGGCTTCTTGGTCCCCACCTACCCTTAATCCAGAATGTAAGCTCCATGAGAGAAGACACTGAGGTCTGTTTTATTTCCTGCTGTAAACCTGGCACATAGAAGAGTGACCAACACATAGTAGGTGCTCAATACATATCTGCCAAATAAATAAGAGCTTTCTGTTATCCAAACAGAAATACATTGTCTCCATTTCTGGGCATCTCTTCATACATGATGCTTTCTCAATTGCCAGAAATGCATCCTCTATATTTCTTTTTATCAAACACTTTCTATAGAAACATACTCCACAACTTCATAGGCTGGATAGGTCAATTTGTCCCTTCTTAGAGCACAAGATGCATTTACATTTCTAAAGCCTGGCCAGGGCCACTAGCTCATGCCTGTAATCCCAATGCTCTGGGGGCCCAAGGCGGGAGAGTTGCTTGAGGCCAGGAGTTCAAGACCAGCCCAGGCAAAATAGTGAGACTCTGTCTCTCTATTTTTTTTTTTCTTTGAGACAGGATCTCACTCTGTCACCCAGGATGGAGTGCAGTGGCATGATCTTGGCTGACTGCAACCTCCACCTCCCAGATTCAAGTGATTCTCCTGCCTCAGCCTCTCAAGTAGCTGCAATTATAGGCATATGCCACTTCACCTGGCTAATTTTTATATTTTTGATAGAGATGGGTTTTACCATGTTGGCCAGGCTGGTCTCTAACTCCTGGCCTCAAGTGATCCACCCGTTTTGGCCTCCCAAAGTGCTGGGATTACAGGCATGAGCCACCACGCCCGGCCTTTTTTTTTTTTTTTTTTTTTTTAATTTCTAAAGCCTGACTTAGGATTGCCTCTATGTCACTGTGCAGTGCCCCTCTAGATAAAGATGTTTTCAAATTCACCTGTGTGGTGCCCTGGAAAGAGAGCGTTCAACCACACATGTACTATGTTCAGGAGGAAACAAGATTAAAATTTTATTTCCATCTCTTAATTGGTACTGACGTCCCAAGAGAAATACTGGTCCATTAAGTAAGGAATGCTAATTGCTTACTCACCTCCTACTGACAGTGATGACAGGCTTGGTTAAGGGTTTTTATTAAGGCCCATTAAAGGGAAGACTGTGTGGCAAGTTGCTGGGTTGCTTGGGAGGCAGAGACTTGAACAGAGAAGCTGAGGGGGTGCTGGTGGGAGTGCAAAGTGTAGGAAGGTGCAGGTGAATGAGGAAACAGATTCTGGGGAAGGGAGGACAGCTGGGAAGAGTGTAAGTCACATAGATCACATGCCTCGAAAATGGTTTTGGATCTGAAATAGTTTGTTGTAATTTAAAACAAATTTAATCCTTACTGATTGTGTTAGTTCATTTTGTGCTGCTAGATGGGAATACTTGAGGCTGGGTAATTTTTTTTTTTTTAAAGGTCTAGTTGGCACACAATTCTGATGTCTGGAAAAAGTTCATGATTGGGCATCTGCATCTGATGAGGTCTTCAGGCTGTTTCTACTCCTAGTGGAAGGTGAAAGGGAGCTGGTGTATGCCGATCACATGGTGAGAGAGGAAGCAAGAGAGAGAGGGGAGGTGCCAGGCTATTTTTAACAACTGCGCTTGGCCAGGTGCAGGGCTTGTAATCTCAGCACTCTGGGAGGCCAAGATGGCAGGATCGCTTGAGCCCAGGAGTTTGAGACCTTTTTGGGCAACTTAGTGATACTCTTATCTCTATAAAAGAAATAAACAAAATTAGCCTGTCATGGTGGTGCTCTCACCTTCAGTCCCAGCTACTTGGGAGACTGAGGTGGGACAATCATCTGAGGCCATGAGACCGAGGCTGCAGTGAGCCAAGATTGTGCCACTGCGCTCCAGCCTGGGCAACAGAGCCAGAACTTGTCTAAAACAAAACAAAACTAAACAAAAACAGAAACAAAAACAAAGCAAGCTCTCACAGGAGCTAACAGAGTGAGAACTCACTCACTCCCAAGGGAGTGCATTAATCTCTTCATGAAGAATCTGCCTTCATGATCCAAACACCTCCCACTGGACCCCCTACATCCCAATGCTGCCACACTGAGGATCAAATGTCAACATGAGCTTTGGTGGAACAAATATTCAAGCCAGGGCACTGATATATGCACCAGGTGCATATCTCCTATATGGCTCAGCAATTTCATGCCTAGGTATTTTATCTACATCAAATGAAAATATACATCTGCAAAAAGACCTGTGCACAAATGTTCATAGCAACCTTATTCACAATAGTCCCAAACTGGAAATAATCCAAATGTCCATCAAGAGGAAGATGGATAAACAAATTGTAGTATGTCCATACAAGTTCAATATTCCTTATCCAAAATGCTTCAGGCCAGAAGCATTTTGGATTTTGGATTTTTTCAGACTCACATTATACTTACCAGCTCAGCATTCCTAATTCAAAAACCCCCAATCCAAAATGTTTCAATGAGTAATTCCTTTGATTATCATGTCGGCACTCAAACAGTTTTGTATCTTAGAGTATTTCAGATTTTGGATATTTGGATTAGAGATGCTCAACCTGTTCTACTCAACAATACAAAGTAATAAACCACTGACACCTACAACACGATGAATGAACCTCCAAAACATTATGTTTGACAAAAGAAGTTGGTCACAAAAGGGAACATACTGTATGACGGCACTTATACAGTCTAGGCTTAGCCTAGGCTAATTGAATCTATGGCGATAGAAGAATTAGATTGAACAGAAAGGGGCATGGGATGATGGAGATGCTTCATATCTTACTTTAGAATGGTTACTACACAGATGTGTACAATAGTCAAAACTCATCGAACTGAACATTTAAGGTCTGTACATTTTATTCCATGTAAATTATACATTGATTTTTTAAAATGTTTTAAAAAATTCTGCAAGTTGTGTTTTTCATTTTTACAGGTGAATATCAAAGTTCAAAGTGAGTGAAGTGGTGGAGCCAGAATTTATGACCAGCTTTGACTGATTCCAAAGCCCATGCTATATCTTATGACCACTATATTAAAACATTCAAAAGTTCCTCTGCTAGGAAAATTAGGCAAGAAAAAAAAACGGCATTCAGATTGGAAAGGAAGAAGTAAAACGATCTCTATTTGCAGATGACATAATCTCATTTATAGAAAATTCTTGTTTTTTTCTTTTTTTTTTTTTTTGTTGTTTTTTTTGAGACGGAGTTTTGCTCAGTCGCCCAGGTTGGAGTGCCATGGTGCAATCTCAGCTCACTGCAACCTCTGTCTCTCGGGTTCAAGTGATTCTCTTGCCTAAGCCTCCCAAGTAGCTGGGATTACAGGGATGCACCACCACACCCAGCTAATTTTTTTTGTAATTAGTAGAGGCAAGATTTCACCATGTTGGTCAGGCTGGTCTCAAATTCCTGACCTCAAATAGTCCACCCACCTCAGCCTCCCAAAGTGCTGGGATTACAGGTGTGAGCCACCATGCCCAGTGGTATATAGAAAATTCTAAGGAATACACACACACAAAAAACTAGTAGACCTAATAAACAAATTCACCAAGCTTGCAAAATATAAGAGCAATATACAAAAATATTTTATACAGTAGCAATGACCAATCCAAAAACGAAAATTAAGAAAACAATTACACTTACAATAAGATAAAAAATAATCAAGTATTTAGGAATAAAATCAATGAGAAGTGCAAGACTTGTTCACTGACTACTGCAAAATATTGAAAGACTTAAGACTTAAATAAATGGAAAGGCATCCTGTATTCATAGATCAGAAAGCTTCATATTGTTAAGATGGCAGTATTCCTTAAACTGGTCTATAGATTCAGCACAATCCCTATCAAAATCCCCACAGCATTTTTTGCAGAAATTGATAAACTGGCTCTGAAATTCATACAGAAATCCAAGAAATCCAGAACAGCCAAAACAATACTGAAAAAGAACAGAGCTGAATAATTCCCCATTTCTAACCTAGAGTTCACCATTCCCCATTTCTAACCTAGAGTTTCAAACACAGAGTAACAGTATGAAGATAGTGTGGAACTGGCATAAGGATAAACACATAGATCAGTGGAATAGTATTGAGAGGTCAGATATTTATAGTGAACTGATTTTCAACAAGAATGCCAAGACAATTCAATTAGGAAAAAATAGTCTTTCAACAAATGGTGCTGGGACAACTGGATATTCCTATGTAAAAGAATAAAGTCAGATCCCTACCTCACATCATAAACAAAAATAATATCAAAATGAATCATATCTAAATGTAAGAGTTAAAACTATAAAACAGCTAGAAGGAAATTCAGGAGTAAATCTTTATGACCTTGAGTTAAGCAGCAGTTTCTTAGGTACGACACCAAAAGCACAAATGAAAAGAAAAAATACATAGATAAATGGGACATTATCAAAATAAAAAAAAAAATTTGTGCTTCATATGACACCATCAAGAGAGTGAAAAAACAACTCACAGAATGGGAGACAATATTTGAAAATCAAATATCTGATAAGGGCCTTGTATCTAAACTATATAAAGAACTATTGCAGCTTTTTTTTTCTTTTACTTTTGGCTGGGGAGGGGTTCCGGGTAAAAATCAGAAAACCTGCTAGACAAATTCTAAAAGAGCTGTAACACTAATGCAACTCCGTAATAAAATGACAACCTAATTTTAAAATGAGCAAGAGATTTGAAAAGAATTTCTCCAAAGACATATAAATGGCTTATAAGCATATGAAAAGATATTCAACACCATTAGTCATTAGGGAAATGCAAATCAAAACCACAATGAGATACCACTTCACACTCACGAGAATGACAAAAATATGAAAGACAGACAATTACAAGTATTAGCAAAAATGTGAAGAAATTGGAACCCCTATACATTGCCAGGAGGAGCATAAAATGGTGTTTCTCCAAAGTTACCATATGACCTAGCAATTTAATGGTAACTCAGTTATCATTTTGAGTTACCACATGACCTAGCAGTTGCACTCTTACAGATATACCCAACAGGATTGGAAAGTATGTCCACACCCAAACTTGTACAAAATGTGCGTAGCACCATTATTCATAATAGCCCAGAATTGAAAACAACCCAATTGTCCATCAGCTGATGAATGGAAAAATCAAAGACATATCCATACAATGGAATATTATTCTGCCATAAAAAGGAATAAAGTACTGGTATCTGCTACAACACGAATGAACCTTGAAAATACCATGCTAAGTGAGGGAAGCCACACCCAAAGACCACAGGTTGTATGATTCTATTTATAGGAAAAGTCCAGGATAGGCAAATCCCATTTTGAGACAGTAAGTAGAAAAAGTAGATTTGTGGTTGCCAGGAGATGTGGAGAGGAGGAAATGAGCAGTAATTGCTAACGAGTATGGAGCTTCTTTGGGGAGTGATAAAAATGTTCTAAAATTAGATCATGGTGATGGTTGTACAGCTTTGCCTATGTAGTAAAAATCACTTAATCATTTAATGGTACACTTTAAAGGGGGTAGGTTTATGGTATATGAATTCTATCTCAATAAAGCTGTTATTTAAAAAAAAAAATTCATCTCCTGGAAAGGAGAGAGAGTGGGGTACTAAACTAAGTACTAAAGGGCTTGAAATGAGTAATGAGGTTTAAAATCGATGGCAGTGGGTGTGTAATAGGATTGCTAAGTGGTGATGAGTCCCTGTCTGAGATATAGTACCACAAAATTATAATGGCACCCATCTGCATGGTTGGGAGCATTTCACACCTGTGCCTTCCAGTTTATAGGTCACAAGCTCAGAGATCCCAGGCATTAGAGAAGGACCCCCCCCATCATGGGTACCATACCTGGCAGTCTTTAACAGAAAGAGCTGAGGAATACCTGCTTCTCCTTCCTGCCCACATCCAAAACACCCTGGTCTTCACGCCCAACCAGAAGAAAACTGAAGACTTGGCTCACTATTTCTCAAGTAGAATTTCTGGAACAAAAATATCTACTAAACCTGCTGCCTAAGCGTCAGGCAGGGGAAAGAATAAAAAGAAAAAAGAAAAGGAAGGCATTTTTCCTAGTAATTAAATCTGAATTATTCACAACCTGTTAGACACTTTTTTTCCCTCTGCTACAGAAGCATGCATTCTCATTTCTCCCCTAAGTCCTAAATGCCTTTGCAATCGAAGTTGAATTTTTGGCTGACAGCCTTCACTTTATAAGTAGAGCCAGGGTCCCAGGCCACACCTTCACCTGAGTCATCGACAGACCCATTCTCCAGCTCAACCCCTGAGCTGTTCAAAGGGGCTAGCTTTACCTAATGCTTTCATCATTACCCCTCGATTAATTCCCCCAAGTCTTGTGTATTATGAAAGTTCCTTCAAGTGTTGCAGGTGGCCTAGTTTCAACTAACAGAGGCAAAGTGGGGAATTTATTGACCAAGGTAACTAAAATTTGGGAAGCCTAGGATGCAGCTGCTTTTAGGGACAATAAAACGAGGAACCAAGGTGCTCTTGCTTAGTAAAAGACACCTCCATCCCTCCCCCTTCTCCTCAACACATGCCACTCCCTGTTGGGTGATACTTTTCTTTTTCTCAGACCTGTTTTCTCCATGAAGCTGCAAGCATGGCAACAAATGGTGGCCAAGCTCACATCTCCTCCCATAGTTCTAATCCAGAAAGTCCCCAGGAAAGCTCTGATTTTCTTAGCTCAGGTCATATGCCCTGTAGCCAAAGAAACAGGGCATGTTGTGGTTGGCAATCCCCATTAAAATAATATTATTGGAATGGGAGCAGTAGTGCCCCTAATGAAGGGAGTTGATGTTTCCAGTCAGAAGGGAGGCCAGGGCAAGCAAGGGTGCAGATGGTCATATCCATGGGAGCCAAATTTCTGCAGCCTGGTGGGAAAAGCTTAGGATCTGGACCCAGAACTCCCAGGTTTGGACACATCTATATCAGCAAGCAACGTGATCTTGGGCTCAGTTTCTTTGTCTATAAAATGGGCATAATCATTCAAGGGAGTAGAGAAAAATCTCCATCTCTTGATAGAAAGAGCTGCAAAGTATCATGGCTGATTTTGAAATCTACCATAGTCAGAAACAGCCAGAAGGGTGTGCATCAGGTTATTGGTGGACAAACTGCGTAGGAGGGCAAAGAAGAGTATTCCATGAGAGTTAGGGCTGAGACTGGGAGTGGGAAGAGGTGACCAGGGAGATCTGGAGTAACTGACCTCTAAGGTGCATGGGAGAATGAATAGGAATTGACCAGATGAAAGAAGAGAGGAGAATGTTCTAGGCAGAGGTAACAGCATACAGAGCAATGTAAAATTGAGGGAAGCAGAGGGGACTCAGGAGCTAAAAGTACTTTAATGTGGCCATTGCATGGAATGCAAAAGGGGCACAGGATGGCAACACCTGGGCTTGGGAGACAAGTGGTAATTCACCCAGCAAGTGGCTCTTTCAAGTCATGCTAAACAATTAGGGGTCAACCCTAAAAGCAACAGGGAGTTGCAGACAGTTGTATGCAGGGAAGGAGCATGACCAAATGTGCAATTTATGCAAATGGGATACTACTGTACACCCATTGGAATACCTAGAATTATAAACACAGACGATAGTGAGTTTTGGCAAGGATGTGGAGCAACTGGAACTCTCTCTCATACGCTGCTGGTAGAGATGCAAAATAGCAGCGCCATTTTGCAAAACAATTTGGCAGTTCTTTATAAAGTTAAACATACACTTATCACATGACCCAGCAATCCCACTGCTATATATTTACCAAAGGGAATGAAAATGTGTGTTCACACAAAAACCTGTACACAAATATTTGTAGTAGATCTGTTTATAATAACCAAAAACTAGAAATGACCCAAATGTCCTTCAACTGGCAAAAATGGCTAAATGAGCTGTGGATTATCCACACAATGGAATACTAATCAGCAGCAAGAAGGACCAAATGACTGATACACAAAATAACTTGAATGAATACCAAATGCAATATGCTAAGTGCAAGAAGCCAGAGAGTCTACATACTGTATATGATTCCATTTATAGGACAATCTGGAAAAGGCAAACCAATAGGGACAGAAAATACATCAGTGGTTGCCAGGAATTATGAGTGGGAATAGAAGTTGATGAAAACCTGATGGCATGATTGAATTTGGTTGGGGTGAGGGGGTGATGAATGGCTCTGTATCCTGATTTTGGTCATGGTTTCATGACTAGATGCATTTGTCAAAATTCATAGACCTGTACAACCAGAAGAGTAAATATTGTTGCATGTCATTTTCCTTTTTCTTTTTTGTTTTTGAGACGGAGTCTTGCTCTGTCGCCCAGTCTGCAGTGCAGTGGCGTGATCTCGGCTCACTGCAAGCTCTGCCTCCCAGGTTCACGCCATTCTCCTGCCTCAGCCTCCTGAGTAGCTGGGACCACAGGCGCCCGCCACCACGCCTGGCTAGTTTTTTGTATTTTTAGGAGAGATGGGGTTTCATCGTGTTAGCCAGGATGGTCTCGATCTCCTGACCTTGTGATCCACCCGCCTCAGCCTCCCAAAGTGCTAGGATTACAGGCATGAGCCACCGCGCCCGGCCTGTTGCATGTCATTTTCAAAAAGTGAAATTTTAATAATTGCATATTGAGCGGGTCACTCTAGTTGCAGCAAACAGACTAGAGAGGGTCATGGCCAGACTGAGAGAAGCCATTTGGGAGATTGCAGTAGGCATCTAAGTTCATGGTGGTGTACTGAAATAGAAAAGTGGCAGTAGGAATGGAGAGAAATGGACTCATCCAAGCAATATTTAGAACGAGGGGGATCCATAGGATTTGGTAACTGAATAAGGATAATAAGGGGAGTGTGGGCTAGAGGGACAGAAAGCCAAGGAGACAAAAGATTTGGGGGACTAGTGAGGGTGTCATGGGAGGGATAGGCTATGGAATCCAGTTAGGAAGGAAGTCACTTGGGAAAGACTGATGGACAGGAAAGGCAAACAGGTCAAACAGCACTATTGGGATGAGTTTGGTAGAAGAGTCAGCAGGACGGAGGATGTCATCAAAATAGGCCATTAGAGTTTGAGCTTTCAGAGCTAGGACAAGGCACAAGAGAGAAGATGGCCATAGCTAACATTTTTAATGGTGCCTTCCATGATGTAGTGAGATCCTTGAGTGGGGAGGATGATTTCTAGTACTGCTTTGTAATCTTCTCCTAGGTGTTCAGCACCTAGCTTGGAGGTTCTCTACCTTGGTTACATCCCCTGACCCAGCTCCACCCAGAACAAATATGTCCAAATCTCTGTGGATGGGAACTAGGTGGCAATACTTCTTAAAGTTCCCTAGGTGATTCCAACAGGATTGGAAACCCAGTTGGCAACCCAAAGTTGCAGCCAAGGTTGAGAATCACCAATATAAACCATTGCTGATCACAGTGGTTCTCCACCTTACCTGCTTATTAGAATCGTGGGGAGATTTTAAAACATACTAATGCCTGGGCCTCACCCCTGGAGATTTGCATCAATTGGTCTGCAGTGGGGCCCTTAAATTGATATTTTTGAAAGCTCTCTAGGCAGTATTAATATGCAGCCAGGGTTGACAATCACCAGCCTAGCCGACAGAAGGCATTTCAACAAATGCTAGTGGTGATTTCAATCAGTCTTTCCATCCCCGCTCTCCCTTCTGAGTCACAGACCTATCAACTTAATGACCTGCTGTACACATCCTTCTATGTGTTAGGAGACCCCCCAAGAGGTCTCAAACTCAATATATCTAAGGTTAAACTCAATCTCCGTAAGGCCCTGGCAGGCCAAGGAGGGATTTGGGCCTCCCAATGGGACAGAGGTTCCAGGAGCTGGACCCCTGTTTTGAAACTAAAGTATGCAGTCTAAAGCAACTCCATCTTGGATGCTAATTTGCCAGGTTGACTTGTGATTAGCCCCACTTCTGGGAATGCCTCTGTATTAGTCTGCTTTGCATTGCTATAAAGGAATACTTGAGACTGGGTAACTTATAAAGAAAAGAGATTTATTTTGGCTCACATTTCTGCAGGCTGTGTAGGAAGCATGGTATTAACATCTGCTTCTGGCAAGGGTCTCAGGAAGCTTACAATTATGGCGGAAGGTAAAGGGGAAGCAGGCTTGTAACGTGGTGAGAGAGGAATTAAGAGAAAGAGGAGAGCCTTCTTAAAGAGGCTTCTTTAAACAAACAGCTCTTACATGAACTAATAGAGCAAAAACTCACTCATTACCAAGGCCAACACCAAATCATTTATGAGGAATCCACCTCCATAACCTAAACACCTCCCACCAGGACCATCTCCAACACTGGAGGTCACATTTCAACATGAGATTTGGAGGGGACACATATCCAAACCATATCAGCCCCTAAGATCTCTACTTTATCTACTGTTAGCATGTACTTACAGCAAACCCTGCCCTTAGGTCAAAACAACCTTAATGTTATGATAAACATATGCTTGCCATAAATCCTGCCTTTTGGCAAATTTCCTGTGGTATATAAGCTCTGGGTCTGAGTGTAATGGTACAGGATCCACCAACTCATCTCACAGCCATCCAAGACATGGCTCCTGTTTATTAAAAGTCCCTATTAAATGTTTCTTTCTCAAAAACTAGATTTGTCATCCTCTTTCTTTGGCCTTTCAGCTTCCTCAGCTTTTATGGGTAGGTTTGTACAGACCTACTCACCGTGAAACATAAAGCTATCCTGTGGCCATAAGCAGAGAACAAGGGATAGCTAAAGTAAGTTTTGGAGGTGGTGGTGGACTCATAACTCAAGATTCAAAGAACCAAAGAATGAAACCCAGTAGGAGTCAGAGGATCTTGGGCTGACAGGCAAAGAAGCAGGAACATGGTCTCAAGTCAAAAATTTTCAGCCTCATCACATTGACACAGAACGGCTCTTGGCTAAACCCCACCCTCGAGCCTGGAAACTTGGCCCTAAGTGAAAACAGCCCACTCCATTTTTTTGCTCAAATGATTGCCTTTTTGGCCTACCATGCCCCTATCCTGTGCCCATAAAAAGGCTTCAGTTGGCAGAGCAACAGAAGCAACCAATGCAAGCGGTCAGGGATGCAAGCCACTGAATGTCAGGGATACATGCAGCTGAGTGTCGGCGGCTACGGATAGACTCAGCTAACTTCAGCCAGTGCAGTTCCAGGGAAAGATTTTCTTCCCACACCATCCCCTTTCTAATTCCCCATCCTACTGAGAGCCATTTTAATTGCCCAATAAAATCCTCTGCATACACTACCCTTCAAATAGATCATGTGACCTGATTCTTCCTGGACACTGAACAACTTGGGTGCCAAGAAGAGCAGGTGCAGGAGGCTGTCACCCTGACCCTTCACTGAGCCGTTAACACTTAGCCATCCATGGACTGCAGGCTGAGTGAAACGAGCCCCTCCAGTTTCTGCCCACAAGGGGGTCAAGGTCAAGGGAACAATCCCGTCTCAGTATCACAGACGCTTCATAAGAGCTCAATAAACACTTACCGAAAGACATGGATGAACCTGGTTCCAGGATCCAGAAGGGCCTGAAAGCATCAGCGTGCAGAGGATAATAGACTACATGAAAAAGTTAGTGGCATTTGCTCACCTGGAGGTCTCAATTTTTTTTTTTTTTTTGAGTCAGAACCTCGCTCTGTGGCCCAGGCTGGAGTGCAGTGGTGCGATCTTCAGCTCACTGCAACCTCCGCCTCCCAGGTTCAAGCAATTCTCCCACCTCCTCCTCCTGAGTAGCTGGGATTACAGGTGCCCACCACCATACCCAGCTAATTTTTGTATTTTTAGTAGAGACAAGATTTCACCATATTGGCCAGGTTGGTCTCTTGGCCAGGCTGGTCTCGAACTCCTGACCTCATGATCCGCCCACCTTGGCCTCCCAAACTGCTGGGATTACAGGCGTAAGCCACTGTGCCTGGCCTGGGTTCTCGATTTTTGTGTGCAAAAGAATCTTCTGAGGATTCTTCAGCCATACTGGCTTCCTTCTCTTCCCAGGTCAGGGCTGCTGTATTTGCTGTTCCATCTGCCAGGAGCACTTTTCCCCACAATATTCAGCAAGGCTGACTCTAAGTCACCTCACTCTAAAGACTTCCTTTAGGTCTTTACATGTATGCTCAAATGTCATATTCATACCTCTTTCCCCCATTTTTGGCTTTATTTTTCTGCCTAGTGCTTATTACTAGCTAATATACTATATATTTTTACTTAAATATTTTGTCTATTAGGGGTTTCCTTACTGGCTATAATCTTGGCTCCCTGCAACCTCAGCCTCCCAAGTTTAAGAGATTCTTGTGCCTCAGTCTCCTGAGTAGCTAGGATTACAGCTGCATGCCACCAGGCATGGCTATTTTTTTTTTTTTTTTGAGACAGAGTCTCGCTGTGTCACCCAGGCTGGAGTGCAGTGGCGCAATCTTGGCTCACTGCAAGCTCCACCTCGCAGGTTCACGCCATTCTCCTGCCTCACCCTCCCAAGTAGCTGGGACTACAGGCGCCCACCACCAAGCCTGGCTAATTTTTATTTTATTATTTTTTTTTGTAGTAGAGACAGGGTTTCACCATGTTAGCCAGAATGGTCTCAATCTCCTGACCTCATGATCCGCCCGCTTTGGCCTCCCAAAGTGCTGGGATTACAGGCGTAAACCACCGCGCCTGGCCTAGGCATGGCTATTTTTAGCAGAGATGGAGTTTCACCATGTTGGCCAGGCTGGTCTCAAACTCCTGACCTCAGATGATCCACCCACCTCGGCCTCCCAAAGTGCTGGGATTACAGGCATGAGCCACCGCGCCTGGCCATCATTAACTATAATCTCCGTGCAAACAGAGATTGTATTAGATCATTCTCGCACTGCTATGAAGAACTACCTGAGAGTGGGTAACTTAAAAAGGAAAGAGATTTCAGTGGCTCACAGTTCTGCAGGCTGTACAGGAAGCATAGCGGCTTCTGGGGAGGCCTCAGGAAACTTTCCTTTTTTTTTTTTTTTTTGAGACAGAGTCTCGCTCTGTCGCCCAGACTGGAGTGCAGTGGCACAATCTCGGCTCACTGCAAGCCCTGCCTCCTGAGTTCACGCCATTCTTCTGCCTCAGCCTCCCAAGTAGCTGGGACTACAGGCGCCCACGAGCACACCTGGCTAATTTTTTGTATTTTTAGTAGAGATGGGGTTTCACCGTGTTAGCCAGGATGGTCTCAATCTCCTGACCTCGTGATCCGCCCGCCTCGGCCTCCCAAAGTGCTGAGATTACAGGCATGAGCCACCGCGCCTGGCAGGAAACTTTCAATCATGGCAGAAGGCAAAGGGGAAGCAGGCATGTCTCATATGACTGGAGCAGGAGAAAGAGGAGAGAGGAGGGAGGTGCTACACACTTTTAAACAACCAGATCTCGTGATAACTTAATCACTCACTATTTGCCACAACAATGCCAAAGCAGGGTGGCAACGATGATCCATCACTTTCCACCAGGCCCCAATTCCAACATTGGGGATTACAATTTGACATGAGATTTGGGCAGGGACACAGATCCAAACCATATCAGGGATCATTGTCTGTTTTGTTCCCTGGCACATCCAGAGCCTAGAACAGTGCCTGACAAACAGCAGGCACTCAATAAGTGAATGAATGGGGCAGTTAAAATTGCAGACTCTCCCTGGGTAAGGTCCAGTAATGTACATGTTGCCTGGGTGGTTCTAAAGGAGATCGTTGGAGGCCCGACGTAATGAAACATTTCTTAGAGAATGCTTTGCTTGGAGTGAACATCTCTCTAATGCAATTCTCTTGACATCCAGCAGAGAGCAGGAGGCTGAGGACTCAGGGGCGCAGGATGCCAGTCATCATTACCTGTTTCTTTCCTGCACCAAGATGCATCTCACATTGGGTGATTTGGCACAGAGAAATGAGTGTGCACAGGAGGCAGGAATTCTGGGTGGCCAGCTCCTGGGAGGATGTCTCTCTATAACAAACTATTAATAACTGCACTTTGGGGCAAAGTCCCAGGTGGAAGAAGCACAGTTCCCGCCATAGGAGAGGACCTTCGCAAAGTGGGAATCTCAGCTTGACAGGAAGTTGAGGTGGCATTACTGCGCAGCACTCCTTTTGGCCAAAGCCTTCTTGGGCAGCCAGAGTCAGTGGTGCTAGAAAATGTTTAACAGGTGTCTCTGAGGGGGAAAAAGGCACGCATGTAGTTACATATGTATGTTTATTACGAACTGTATTGATATCAAGAATGTGTAGCAAGGCAGGCACAGTGGCTCATGCCTGTAATCACAGAACTTTGGGAGGCTGAAGCAGGAAGATTACTTGAGGCCAGGAGTTTAAGACAAGCCTCGGCAACATAGGGAGAACCCATCCCCACCAAAAATTTAAAAATTGGCCAAGTGTCATGTTGCATGCCTGTACTCCCAGCTACTTGGGAGGCTGAGGTGGGAGGATCCCTTGAGCCAGGGGTTGGAGTCTTCAGTGAGCCGTAATGGTGCCACCGCATGCCAGCCTGGGCAACAGAGCAAGACCCTGTCTCAAAAAAAAAAAAAAAGAAAAGAATGTGTATCACACACTTTAAAAATAACTATAAAGCATGAAAATGCTCTTCATCTTAAATTACGCATAGCCGCTGAATTCTTACAGAATGCTTTTGTTGAATTTTGCTGAACTCTTGTATATGTAGTTAATATGATTACAATTCAGTCATGATTTGACAATGCTTTCTGCCATTCACAACATAACCACTACAGACAAAACACACATTGACATTTCTTCTGCATTATTAAAGTTTTCTCTATCACTTTCTAAAGTCTAGACATCTAATAAAAAAAGAGAGAAATGGTCAATCAGTTCTTGCTTTGATTGAGACTCAAAGTGTTATCTGATTACCATGGTGTAAATATTCAACTGTGGCTGATTTTAAGCTACACCAATATGTTGTCACTGAATGGTGACCTGCAAGTTGGGAACAGATGCTCAGTAGCACCCCATTATATAGTATTGCCACAAAATTTATGTAGATATATACTAAATATATCATATATGTTATAGAGAGAGATACATAGACATCTTTATATGTATGTATTTATGGACTTCAAGAGTATAGTTAATAGGCTGGGTGTGGTGGCTTACACCTGTAATCCCAGCATTTTGGGAGGCTGAGCAGGTGGATCACCTGAGGTTGAGAGTTCAAGACCAGCCTGACCAACATGGATAAACCCTTTCTCTACTAAAAACACAAAGTTAGCTGGGAGTGATGGTGCATGCCTGTAATCCCAGCTACTCAGGAGGCTGAGGCAAGAGAATCGCTTGAACCCGGGAGGCAGAGGTTGAGGTGAGCTGAGATAGTGCCACTGCACTCCAGTCTGGGCAATAGGAACAAAACTCCATCTCAAAAAAAAAAAAAGTATAGATAATAGTACAACAAAATTATTAGGAAGCAATTCAATTATTTATTACCTTTCAAAATATAATTTAGTTAATTATAAGTTTATAAAATTTGATTTTTAATAATGGCTGTGTTTAATAGCCAGCTTTCAAAAACCCTGGAAATTTAACAATCATCCCTATAAGCCAGCCCCAGCACACCACTGGACAGATCCCAGCACTGGGAAGGAACTCAGTCACACACTGGGAGGCTTCAAGTTTCGCTTAACTGTAGGACTGAGGCAGGCTCACCCGGAAGCAGATGAGGAGCCAGGGTGCGGGTCTGGGGGTGGGCAAATGGTATTAGTCTTCAATACCCATGCTCCTCCTTACATGCCACTTCTCACCCAGATTGGGATGTTTCTAAAGCCTAGGTGATGGCCATGAAGTTAGGGACCCCAAGAGTGTGTTTAACATCAATAAACAGGCAAAGGAGGGGGATTTTACTCTACAAGCGATATAGAGTAAAATCTCCAGGTGACGTGGAAGGAACACTCACTAAAATTATTCCATACCCAAGAGACCCCAGGCCAATGAAACCTGAATCTTTAGGGATAGAGCCTGGTGATTTTTTTTTTCCAAGCCCCCAGGTGGCTTTTTTGGGTTTTTTTGTTTGTTTGTTTGTTTGTTTTTGTTTGTTTGTTTTTTGAAATGGAGTTTCGCTCTTGTTGCCCAGGCTGGAGTGCAATGGTGCGATCTCGGCTCACCGCAACCTCTGCCTCCCGGGTTCAAGTAATTCTCCTGCCTCAGCCTCCCGAGTAGCTGAGATTACAGGCATGCGCCACCACGCCCAGCTAATTTTGTGTTTTTAGTAGAGATGGGGCTTCTCCATGTTGGTCAGGTTGGTCTCAAACTCCCAAGCTTAGGTGATCACCCTCCTCGGCCTCCCAGAGAGCTGGGATTACAGGCGGGAGCCACGGCGCCCAGCCTTCTAGGTGGTTTTAATGTGCAGTCTGGGCTGAGAATCTCTGCTCTGAGGATGGAAGAAAGAACCCAAGTTCCAGCCAGTGAATACACCTGGAGGGTTGCCCCACCTCACCCCCACCTCCCATTGTATTTAAAATACAAAAGTAAAAAGAGAGCTTTAATTGCTCTGGAGGAACAAAGGATTAAACTGATAAAAGAAATTCATAGTGTAAAAGTGAGTAGTGCCATGTCTAAGGAATTTTATGTCTCAAGTGTTGTGTGGTTTGAACCTCCATTATTATATTAAACCCTCTCTGTAGGGCCTAAGTGGACACTGTAACTGAGCACCATTGAGATGGTTATGAATTCAGGGAGGATCCTGGGTCCAGGAAGACTGTGGCCTTGGAGTTAATTTATACACATCCTTTTGACTTTTTCAGCAGCTTTTGGGGCTAGTGTCAAGGAAACATTCTTTTTTTTTTTTTTAAAGACAGAGTCTCGGCCCGGGCTCCGTGGCTCATGCCCGTAATCCCAGCACTTTGGGAGGCCGAGGCAGGTGGATCACCTGAGGTCGAGAGTTTGAGACCAGCCTGACCAACATGGAGAAACCCCATCTCTACTGAAAATACAAAATTAGCCAGGCATGGTGGTGCATGCCTATAATCCCAGCTACTCGGGAGGCTGAGGCAGGAGAATCGCTTGAACCCAGGAGGCAGAGGTTGCGGTGAGCTGAGATCGCACCATTGCACTCCAGCCTGGGCAACAAGAGGGAAACTCTGTCTCAAAAAAAAAAAAAAAAAAAAAAAGACAGAGTCTCGCTGTGTCACTCAGGCTGGAGTGCAGTGGTACAATCATAGCTCACTGCAGCCTTGAACTCCTGGGTTCCAGTGATCCTTCCACCTCAGCCTCTCCAGTAGCTGGGACCACAGGCGCTTGCCATCATGCCCAGCTAATTTTTAAATTTTTTGTAGAGCTGGGATCTCACCATGTTGCCCAGGTTGATCTTGAACTCCTAGGCTCAAGCAATCCTCCAACCATGGCCTCCCAAAGTGCTGGGATTATAAGCATGAGCCACCGCATCCAGCCAAGACATTTTTAAAGCCTCCATGTTCAGGATGATGGCCATGGCCATAGAAGTTGAAATCTGCTAAGGAGTGTGTCACAGTTCATCTGCTGAATCAAAAAATATTTTTTAATTTAGAAAATGAAAATCAAAGGCTCCACGTTAAAACCAGTGATCACTTTTCATTGTCCATAGACAATGAAAATAGTGGGACTAAACTGTAATGACTAAAGCCACAGGTAGGATTTTCTTTCCTGATGGTGACTACAACACCACTGTCATTAGTTGGCCACATCACATTTGTGAAACCAAATTCAGTTTAAAGGAGAACAAACTATGGAGGGGATGTTTGTATTGTAAGTGCCACCAACCAACACCCTCACCCAGTCCCATCTCCAGGGCACAGACATACACATGCACACAGACACACACAGCCTAAGAGGAACAGTTTTGTGCACCAAGGTAGTACACAAGGTGCATCAGGGTAGTACAGCTCTTGCGTGTTGTGGGGTGGTGTTTTTGCATGAAGAAGAAAAAGGCAAGAAGTTCCCGCAGCATTCTCTTGGTATTTGTCTTTTCTCTTAGGATTCTTATTTATGGAGCCCAATCTTGGTTTAGTTCTCTCTGATCCCAGACCACTGGCAGGGTAGGAACGGGTCCAAGCCTTCTCCTAAGTAGAGGACCAAGGGGGATCCAGAGTAGGATATACAAGAAGGAGGCCTGAGGTGGGTTATGTAGGTTTTACCAACTTGAGGCAAGTGACGTGCTCTGCATTCACATGAACATCAGCTGACTCAACAAGGGGGTGACATTGGAGTCTGCTGTCAGCAATAAAGGATTCCCCTGGTGGCCGGGTGCAGTGGCTCACGCCTGTGATCCCAACACTTCGGGAGGCCGAGGCAGGCGGATCATCTGAGCTCAGGAGTTTGAGACCAGCCTGGGCAACATGGTGAAACTCCATCTCTACTAAAAATACAAAATAATTAGCTGGGCATGCACCTGTAATCCCAGCTACTCAGGAGGCTAAGGCAGGAGAATCGCTTGAACCCGGGAGGAAGAGGTTGCAGTCAGCTAAGATTGTGCCATGCACTCCAGCCTGCGTGACAGAGCAAGAATCTGTCTAAAAAAAAAAAAAAGAATTCCTCTGGCATTTTCATTTTCCTCTGAACCTAGAGGGACTGAGTGAGGCTAATCAAGCAGGATATTCAAGAATTTAGGTGGAGGTTCATTGCTCAGCTTTTTCTTAATCTCCTCCCTATATATAAGACCAACAGAGTTATGGAATTGAACTGGGGTCCGCTCGCCTGGTGCAGTCACATCCACACCCAGGTTTGCAGCAGGAGAAAGGAGGATGTTTATTTGCAGGGCCCCAAGCAAGAAGAATCAAGCAGCTCTCAAAGTCCTGACCTCCCTACTGGCTTGCAAGTAAGGGTTTCGTTTCTGTTTTTGTTTTTGTTTTTGAGACAGAGTCTTGCTCTGTCACCCAGGTTAGAGTGCAGTGGCGTGCCCTCGGCTCACTGCAGCATCTGCCTCCTGGGTTCAAGTGATTCTCCTGCCTCAGCCTCCTGAGTAGCTGGGATTACAGGTGTGCACCACCATACGTGGCTAATTTTTGTATTTTTAGTAGAGATGAAGTTTCACCATGTTGGCCAGGCTGATCTCGAACTCCTGACCTTAGGTGATCTGCCCGCCTTGGCCTCCCAAAGTGCTGGGATTATAGGTGTGAGCCACTGTGCCCAGCCAAGTAAGGGTTTTTAAAGGCAGGGGTACATTTCAGGAAAGCAGAAATTGTAGGCAAATCATAAATTAACATATGAAGGTTACGCATAGGTTTGGCCTAAAAGGGTGGGATATCTTGGCTTACACGTCATAGGCAGATTCAAAGATTTTCTGATTAGTAATTGGTTAAGGAAGAGAGGCTTGGTTTAAATTCTGAAGTCAGCGAAAGAGAATGTTGGCTCTGGCTCATAGGCATGACCTCCTCCAGGCCCCTCAGGAAGAACTTTAGAATAAAGAATGATGATCAGAGTTCAGTCCTTGCTTCTCCCTTCTCTGAGGTCTATGTGCCAGCAGATCCATTCAGTGGGGGTCTGGGTTTTTGAAAAACAATCCAGGAATTCAGGACTTGATGTTATATTTAGTGAAACCAAACATCCTGTGATTCTAAATTCCTTGGCTATTGTTTTAAGCTACTATTGCAATTGCCTGATGAGTTCTTCCTGCCTGCTGCACAGACAAAACCAATTCACTGAGACCATGACATTACAGACAAAAATAAAAATAAAAAATAAAAAAGGAGTTTAATTGACACACAGCTGGCCCACACAGGAGAGCTGGAGTTATCACTCAAACCAGTCTCACCAAAAATTCAGAGGCTAGGGTTTTTTAAAGACAGTTTGGCAGGTGGGGGCTAGGGAATGGGTGCTACTGATTGGTTGGGGATGCAATCATACGCCTGTGGAAAACAGTTCTCTTATGCAGAGTCTGCTTCTGGGCTGGGGCCACAGGACCGGTTGAATCATGAATAGCGGGTCTGGATGGAGTCAGCCAGTAGTCAGAAATGCAAAACTCTGAAAAGATGTCTCAAAAGGCCAATCTTAGGTTCTAAGTTTCACTAAAAGTCATGGCAAAAAACTGCAATTACTTTTGCACCAACCTAATACAATAGTAATGTCATTTACAAGAGTAACTGGGAAGTTACAAATCTTGTGACCTCCAGAATGGCTGGTTACTATTTAACTATGCCTACATCTTAGCAGAATTTAGGCCCCTCTCATAATCCTAACCTTGTGGGCTTTCATTAGTTTGGTGGTTTAGTTTGGGGAAGGGCCATTACCATCCTTGCTTGAAGGTTAAACTATAAACTAAATTTCCTCCAAAGTTAACTTAACCCATGCCCAGGAATGATCAAGGGCAGTTTGGAGGTGAAAGGCAAGATAGAATTAATAGGTCATATCTCTTTCACTGTCATAATTTTCTCACTGTTATAATGTTGGCAAAAACGGCTTCACTATTACCTTCTTGCTTCTCAAGTTGGTTGCTTTTTTTTGTTTTTGCTTTTGTTTTGAGACAGAGTTTTGCTCTTGTTGCCCAGGCTGGAGTGCAATGGCGTGATCTCAGCTCACCACAACCTCTGACTCCTGGGTTCAAGCGATTCTCCTGCCTCAGCCTCCCAAGTAGCTGGGATTACAGGCATGCGCCACCACACCCTGCTAATTTGTATTTTTAGTAGGGAGGGGGTTTCTCCATGTTGGTCAGGCTGGTCTTGAACTCCCAACCTCAGGTGATCTGCCCACCTCAGCCTCTCAAAGTGCTAGGATTACAGGCATGAGCCACCGCACCTGGCCTATCAAGTTGTTTATTTCGTTCTCAGGGCAAGCTGGGCTCTTAGAATTTCCGCTGATGGAACTCAAGATTTTCCTTTATTTCCATGCTTGGCAGGGAGCAGGGTGGGTGTGTCTGCAGGCATCCAAGAGGGACCCCTGCTTCATCTCAACAGGTATCAGTGGCCTTATATGCCTTTAGCATGGAGATGTAACCACAGAAGCATCCCAAACTGGCCCTACTCTGTTGATAACAGAACATTCACTGTCAGGTTACCTTTTATGTCTAAGAGAACCAAAATTCAAGTCATGTAGCCCAGGCATGCAATAGAAAATGTATTGACCTCTAACAATACCCAAAACCAATGTTTCCTCCCTGCAGAACCAAGAAGATAGACATGTCCAGAGCCCAGGAGAAGAACCTGAATGCTGGAACCCTTTCAGAAGAAAAGGTTCCTCTGAGCCCTTCTCAGAAGGGGTCTGTTGGCCAGGAAAATCCAGTGCTGAAATTTGCTTGAACATACCTTACTGTAAATGGTCAAATTTGAAGACCTCCAATCAGACTCTGCCAAGCCAACATTCCCGACACTATAACAGTACTGACTCCATGTTAGAGCAAAGCTTGTTTAAGTGAATATAATTATTATTTTGCCTGAGTTTGTAGATTGTTCATTAAAAACAGCCTCAGGAAAACAGGATCTGAGATAAAAAAGAAACAGAGATAAAAGATAATATGCTGACCAACAACTCTGGGAACTGGCTGATCGGCCTGATAAGAACGGCCTGATAAGAACACCAGCAGAAGGCCACAAGACATTGACCAAGAAAGCAGTGATCAGCTGCACACCTGAGACTGTACACATTTCACAAGAATGTTTTAATCACCATTTGCACTCTCCTAATTTCCCTTAAAAACCCCTGATCCAGGACAGGCCTGGTGGCTCACACCTGTAATCCCAGCACTTTGGGAGGACGAGGCAGGCAGATGACTTGAGGTCAGGAGTTTAAGACCAGCCTGGCCAACATGGCGAAATCCCATCTATTCCAAAAATACAAAAATTAGCTGGGCGTGGTGATGGGTGCCTGTAATCCCAGCTACTTGGGAGGCTGAGGCACGAGAATCACTTGAACCCAGGAGGCGGAGGTTGCAGTGAGCTGAGATGGCACCATTGGACTCCAGCCTGGGTGACACAGTGAGACTCCATCTAATTAAAAAAATCCTTGATCCAGAGACACAACTTAGGGAGAGGTGGTCTTTGAACATGAGTTCATTAGCCTCCCCCCAACCTCAACCTCATTGCTGGCTTCTCAGATAAAGCTAATTTTCTTTCTCACCAAAAGCTTGTCTCTTCAATTTCAGCTTTCAAGCAGTGAGTGGCGCAAAACTAAGTTCAGTTACAATCCTTTCCCTTGCTCTCCCACCCCTTTAAAACTTGCCCAGACTCCAAACTGGGGAGACAGATTTGAGTCACACCTCCTGCCTCCTTCCTGACTTTTCTCAAAAGTCAGTGCCATCTTATTGGCTTTTATGTGCATCCGGCAGCAAGCCCATTACTCAGTAACAGACGGAGTTGTTAAGAGCTAAGAGTTTGGGCTGTGCGTAGTGGCTCATGCCTGTAATCCCTGCACTTTGGGAGGCTGAGGCAGGAGGATCACCTCAAGCCAGGAGTTCGAGACCACCCTGGCCAACATGGTGAAACCCCCATCTCCACTAAAAATACAAAAATTAGCCGGTCGTGGGGGTGGGTGCCTATAATCCCAGCTACTCAGGAGGCTGAGGCAGGAGAATCACTTGAACCCACAGGGTGGACAATGCAGTGAGCCAAGATCGCGCCACTGCCCTCCAGCCTGGGACAGACTGAAACTCCATCCCCCAACCCCCCAAAAAAAACAAGAGCTAAGAGTTTGGACATTTACCCTTCTCCCTTTTAGCTCCCCCAAAATTTGTTTTCCCTTCTGTGTTCTCTAATGTTGGGGTCCAGAAACCAATACCCCAAAACACAGCACTTTGACATGCTGAACTGAATAAGTCTCAAGGTTTTTCTGACCTTCCCTGACCCCCAACCCCATCGTCTCTTCCAAAACACAGGAGGAAGTTGAAATTCCCTTATCTACCTAAAATCTGGGTTTACTGAGGAGAATAATTATTTTTTTCTTCCCCTCCCTGTAAGATCAAAAACGTAAGCATACCAGAACAGACCTTTCACAAAATAATGTCTGTCCAAGAGAACTATTTACAAGTTAATCTCTGTTCCTGGATCCATTCATTCTCCCTAGTAATCCTTTATTGCTCCCCAACAGAATTCCTCTTCTTTCTCTCATAACCTGATTTTCCAGGATCCAAGCCCCACTCTTTCTGTAACCTTAAGATGGAATCGAAGATTCTGAACTCCTTTGGGGATAGGTAATCACCTGTGGCTCTCCCCAGTGTACACATTAATACATTTTATATGTCTTTTCTCCAATTAATCTGCCTTTTGTGAGTTGGTTTTTCAGTGAACCTTCAGAGGGTGAAAGTGTTAGAGTTGGTAGACAGACATGAGCAAGGCAGGATAGAGCCCCAAGGAATGTCAGGTGAAGTCAGGTGACTGTCGTGTACCTCTTCAGGAGGCATCAGGGAGGGGAAAATTTCCTAACAAACAGGAAACATCTTGAGCTTGTAGGTAACAACTTCCCAATACGATCTTAGGAAATGAGCAGACACATCCAGGTATGCACAGCAGAGAACAAAACGGTGGAGTTTGACCAGTATCTGACCTTCCTCTGGGAGTGCTAGACTGCTAAGGGAGAATTGCCCTAAGAGAGCATGCACATAATTTCAACCACCAAATGGCATATGCATTCCTCCTAGATACTGACAAGACACTGTGCATGCAGTGATTAGCCAACAGCCTGCCCAAGGGGAAGCTACTGGAAAAAACAAACAAACAAAACAAACAAACAAACTAAAAACAGGAAATAGTAAGTCTATAAAAGCCCTAAACCAAAGATCAGGTGGGGCACTCAATCTTTCAAGTTGCCCACTTGCTCCCTTCCAAGTGTACTTTTCGTTGCTTCAATAATCTCTCATTTCTATCTTAAATTTTTTTCTGTCTCTTGGAAAATTCTTTCCTCCAAGAAGACAAGAACCAAGGACCATGGACCCCACCCAGACTTGCTGCTCTAATAAGAGGGAAGCTTTCTCTTGGCCCCGACACTAATGGAATGAGAATTCCACCCAGTCACCTAAGCTCAAAGCCCTAAAGTCCTCTTAGACTCCTCCCCGTCTATCAGATACTTGAAAATCTCTTGGTTTTTACCTCCTAAATACCTTGCCCTTCTATCTCATTTTCCTACATCTCCTTTGCTGACACCTTATTTATGGCTACCATCATCTCTCTTATGCAGTCACAATAGTCTGTTTTATTTATTCTTTGAAAATTATTTTTAATTGCAGAAAATATGAATATATTATCATTTTTTAAACATTCAAACAATATAGATAATCAAAAATTCAATAGTTAACCATGGTAATCAGCTGGGAGTGTTCCAGATATTTTCTATGCATATCTATACAGAAATTGTTTTTGGATGAATTTTTTTTAACATAAATGGTCCCATAAATGATTTTGTCTCTTTTTTTTCTCTACAATACGTCTTGAAGATTTTCCGTGTCAGTATATAGAGAACCACCTAATTTGGGCTGCTAGATAGTATTCTCTGGTGTGACAGGCACCCTCTAAGATGAGTCCTGCTTCCTGTTTTCTGGTATTTACAGCCTTGTGTAATCCCCTCTGGGTGTGTCTGTGAGGGTATTTCCGGAAGAAATTAACATTTGAATCAGTAGACTAAAAAAGATCCACCCTCTTCCATGTGGATGGGCATCATCCAATCTGTTGAAGGCCCAAATAGAAAAAAAAGGCAGAAGAAGGGTGAATTTTCTCTCACTCTGCTCAGGCTGACATGTCCATGGCTTTTAAATTTCAAGTGAAAACAAAAGTAAGTAGCTGAAAACAGTCAAGAAAATAAGGTATACAAAAATTAGCTGGGTGTGGTGGTCCCAGCTACTCGGGAAGCTGAGGTGGGAGGATCACTGGAATCATGGGAGTCAAGGCTGCCATGAGCCATGATCATGAGACTGCACTCCAGCCTGGATGACAGAGCAAGACTCTGTCTCAAAAAAAAAAAAAAAAAAAGAAAGGAAAAGAAAAAAAAAAAGAAAAAGTATGGAGTGGTGAGACTTGCCTTACCAGATATTAAAATTTACAATAACAGGCTGGGCAAGGTGGCTCACACCTGTAATCCCAGCATTTTGGGAGGCCGAGATGGGTGGATCACTTTAGGTCAGGAGTTCAAGATCAGCCTGGCCAACATGGTGAAACCCCGTCTCTACTGAAAATACAAAAATTAGACAAACAGGGTGGTACACACTTGTAATCCCAGCTACTTGGGAGGCTGAGGCAGGAGAATCACTTTAGCCCAAGAGACAGAGGTTATAGTGAGCCGAGATTGCGCCACTGCACTCCAGCCTGGGTGACAGAGGGAGACTCCATCTCAAAAAAAAAAATTTGCAATAACATATTGTAATCAAAACAATACCATAAACTACATCAAAAGACAAATGAATGTGAAGTGCAGTGGTACATGCCTATAGTCCCAGCTACACAGGAGGCTGAGGCAGGAAAATCTGCTTGAACCCAGGAGTTCAAAAGTTTGTGGCTGTAGTGCACTATGATTGCACCTGTGAATCGCCACTGCTCTCCATCCTGAACATAGCAAGGCTCTGTCTCAAAAAAGAAATAAAAATAAAAAGACAAACAACGTTCTGATACTGACCTAGAGCTATGTAAGATGTTACCTGGTATAGTTTGGATATGTGTCCTCACCCAAATCTCATATTGAAATGTAATCCCCAGTGTTGGAGGTGGGGCCTGGGGTGGTGACAGGCTTATGGTGCAGGTGTCTCATCAATGGTTTAACACCATCTGCCTTGGTTCTGTCCTTGTGATAGTGAGTGAGTACTCATGAGACTGGTCATTTAAAAGTGTGTGGCAACTCCAGCCTCGCTCTCTTGCTTCTGTCCTGGCCATGTGATGTGCCTGTGTCCCCTTTGCATTTCACCATGATTATAAGTTTCCTGAGGCCACCTCAGAAGCTGAGTAAATGCCAGCACCATGCTTCCTGTATAGACTGCAGAGCCATGAGCTAATTAAACCTCTTTTCTTTTTTTCTTTTTTTTTTTTTTTTTTTTTTTTGAGACAGAGCCTCCATCTGTCACCTAGGCTGGAGTACAGTGGTACAATCTTGGCTCACTGCAACCTCCGCCTCCCGGGTTCAAGTGATTCTCCTGCCTCAGCCTCCTGAGTAGCTGGGATTACAGGCACACACCAGCACGCCCAGCTAATTTTTGTATTTTTAGTAGAGATGGGGTTTCACCATGCTGGTCAGGCTTGTCTCGAACTCCTGACCTCATGATCTGCCCACGTCGGCCTCCCAAAGTGCTGGGATTACAGGCGTGAAGCACCACAACTGGCCCTCTTTTCTTTATAAATTACCCAGGCTCAGGTATTTCTTTACAGCAAAGCAAGCACATACTAATACATTACCCTTGAGGGAAGCTGGGTTAAGGGCACCTGGGTCTCTCTGTACCAGTTTCACAACTTCCTATTCTATTAACCTCTAATTATTTCTAAATAAAAAGGGTTTTATAAAAGACATGATAATCTGGTGAGACGAGAGAACTTCTGCAAAATGGATGCATAAATATTAACAATTACTAATATTCAAAGAACTTTTACTAGTTGAAAAGAAAAAGACAACTGAATAGCAGGCAATTCACATAAGGGTATCTGCAAATTGTCACTAGACAGAATAAGATACTCAACATAGGTAGTAGTCAAGGAAAGGTAAATTAAATCAGCCTTTTTTTCACCCATTATATTTGCCAAATTTTACAAACAAAAGATCAATAATGTCCAGCTCTGGCTGACAGTGTTGAGAAATAGGAATTGCTACAATCTGTTAGAAACGTAACTGAAAAACACCTATTAAAACTAGAACTGCAAACATCCATTGACCCAGAGTTTCTACCTTTCTAAATCTGTTTTAGTGAAAGTCTCGATATACCCAGGAATATTCTCAAGGAGCCTTACTATAGTAATTGTATTATTGTCAAAAACAAAAAGCAATCTGAAGTCCACCAATGGGAGAATGGTTGAATAAACAAAAGAGTTAATCTAATTCGTTTAGAGGGAAAAGGGCAAGTTGCAGAGCAATAAGTATATAATGCCATTTTTGTAATCCACGCCAGATCAAATAAGCAAACCAATCAACCCTGCATAAAAGAAAGGTGTTACTCCTCACTACTAGCTCTGGTTACCTCCAGGATAGGAGAAGACAGGAATTATTACCTTTCCATTCTTTTTAAATCACTTTTTTAATTCTTTAAAATAAACATGGGCCGGGCACAGTGGCTCACGCCTGTAATCCCAGCACTTTGGGAGGCTGAGGCGGGTGGAGCACCTGAGGTCAGGAGTTGGAGACCAGCTTGGCCAGCATGGTGAAACACAAAAATTAGCCAGGTATGGTGGTGGGCGCCTATAATCTCAGCTACCTGGGAGGCTGAGGCAGGAGAATCTCTTGAACCCAGGAGGTGGAGGTTGTGGTGAACTGAGATAGCGCCACTGTACTCCAGCCTGGGTGACAGAGAGAGACCCTGTCTCAATAATGATAATAATACAAGAGAACAATTATAACAATATATTATAAAAAAAGTTATGTAAATATGTCATCTCTCTCTCTCTAAATATCTTTTTGTTTGTTTGTTTATATTTTGAGACAGGATCTCGCTCTGTTGCCCAGGCTGGAGCGCAGTGATTCAATCACAGCCATAGCTCACTGTAGCCTTGAACTCCCTGGCTCAAGAGATCCTCCCACCTCAGCCTCTCAAGTAGCTGAGACTACAGGCACGTGTCACTATGCCTAGCTAAATTGTTTTACTATTTTTAGCAGAGACAAGGTCACCATGTTGCCCAGGCTGGTTTCGAACTCCTGAGCTCAAGTGATCCTCCCACCTCAGCCTCCCAAGTGCTGGGATTACAGGCATAAACCACCATTCCCAGCCTCAAAATAACTTATTGTACTGTACTTACCCTTCTTGTAATAATATAAGATAAATACAATGCCTACTTGATGAGATGAAGTGATGTGAATGACGTTAAGTATTGTGAAGTAGCTTTAGCTTCTATTGGCTTTCTGGAGATATGTCAGAAGGAGGGTCATCTGCTTCAGGAGATCCTGAATCATTGAGCCATGATGATGTCTATGGTTGAGTGTCTGGAGCAGACCGTGTCGATGACTAGTGGGTGGATAGCATACAGAGTGTGGATACGCTGGACAAAGGGATGACTCATGTTCCAAGTAAGATGGAATAGGACAACAAGAGATTTCATCAAGCTACCTAGAACAGCATGCAATTTTAAACTTATAAATTGTTTCCTTCTAGAATTTTCCATTTAATATTTTCAGACCACAGTTGACTGACCATAGGTAACTGAGATCACAGAAAGTGAAATCTCAGATAAGGGAGACTACTTGATGGAGATAAATACTGTGATGAGTATTGATCTCAGATAGAGTAACTCCATCTGAGTTCTTTTTGTCTGTGCTACAAAACAAAAAATAAGCCCTATGAAAGTTAAAGCTGTTAAATAAAATTCACGGCAGGCCATTGTTTTGGACTGAGTTCCAACAGACCAGACCAAACCAGAATGGAGTCAGTCATGCTAGGCGCCACATAATCAAGATGAACTTACAAAGGGGCCAGTCTTCTGCAAAAACAGGACGTTCACTGCAACCAGTCCAAAGGGGCCCAGTAAACCTGAGCCTACATTCTAAGGAAGTCCCCACTGCTTTAACCCTACAAGGGAAGTAACTTCAAGTAACCTGATGTTAACCAATCCACTTTTTGCACTATACTGATTTCCTGTTCCTGCTCAAGCTACTTTACAAAAGCCAACCGCCCTGTCATGCCTGGCAAAGCATCTTTCTATTTCATTGATGGGACGCTGCCCAATTCATGATTCTGTTCTTTGACAAAGCCTTACGTATAGTCTCACCACTGTATCTCCATCGCCTGACAAAAGACCAGCACACAGTAACTGAAGAATACATATTTATTGAATAAGAATAAAAGATGTGTACATGATGCTAACTGAGATGCAGATGAGAAGGAATTCTGAAAACAGGGAAAAGCTTTACAAAAATAGGTGATTTCTAAAATTTAGACTGAGAAACAGTTGTCAAATTTTGGCAGGCAGAGAAGGGGACTGAAGGGAAAACCAAAGGTCCAGCATGAGCAACACAGAAGAGTGTTGAAGTGTGGGTTAACTTCCCTGAGTTGATGAAGCTGCTCTTCTGGAGTCATCCTGGTATAATCATTACGCATATGTTTTTCTGAGCCCATCTCACTGAATATTCAGAAAGTGATTTGAGGCCTAAGCAGCTCATAGTTGGCAAAGAACAACTGCATTAATCTTCAGCTGCTGTGAAAAGTGCCCCCCAATAAAGCCGGGTGCAATGTGAGTTTGGACAATTTCTCCTTGGGGTTTGGGTGTTTTTGAATGCATGCCCGGAGGCTACTAAAGTAAATCCCTTTTTAGAATCTAAACAAACACACAGGAAGGCGAGGGGAGTCAGAGGCAATGGCAATGGCTCTCAGGGGATTTTGGTTGACGGAAAAGATATCTGGATCGGGGAGGAGAGGGACGCTGGTGACAGTCAGAGGACTTAGCTCAAAGTCCTTTACCGAACCTCCTGCCTGCTTCTCCAGGAGACAATTAAGCAAAACCTCCCTTTCTTCTGTCTGGGACCCCACAGAAGATCCAAATAAGGCTCCACATGGGACAGCATAATTCAACTGGGAGAACCTGCAGCCCTCTCCTCCTGCAAGGAGTAAACCAGATAGGACAAGAGATCATTTAGAAGAGAAACTATACTTGTTCTTGATATTATACGGTGCTTCAAGTTCAAGGTGATTCAGAGTCTTAAATTCTCAACCCTGAGTCTTAAATCTCAGAGTAATGCTCAACTTTTCTTCTCCCCCCCACTGCCAAACCCTACTGACTCTTGATTCGATTTTTTTTTCTTTCTTTCTTTTTGAGACAGTCTTGCTCTGTCGCCCAGGCTGGAGTGCAGTGGCATGATCTTGGTTCACCGCAAACTCCACCTCATGGGTTCAAGCGATTCTCCTGCCTCAGCCTCCTGAGTAGCTGGGATTATAGGCGCCCGCCAACATGCTCAGCTCATTTTTGTATTTTAGTAGAGACGAAGTTTCGCCATGTTGGCCAGGCTGGTCTCCAACTCCCAAACTCAGGTGCCTGCCTCGGCCTCTGAAAGTGCTGGAATTGTAGGCTTGAGCCACCACACCTTGCCTCTTCTTTTCAATTATTTTATTGTAGTAAAATATACATAACATAAAACTTACCATCCTATAAGTTTTTAAGTGTACAGTTGAGTCATATTAAATACATTCATAATGTGCAACCATCACCACCATCCATCTCCGTAACTCTTTTCATCTTGCAAAACTGAAACTCTATACCCATTAAACAATAACTCCTATTTCTGCCATGCCCCAACCCCCGCCCCAGTCCCTGGCAACCACCATTCTACTTTTTTAAATTTTTTAAATTTTTAATTTTTGTGGCTACATAGTAGGTGTATATATTTATGGGGTATGTGAGATGTTTGGTACAGGCATGCAATGCATAGTAATCTCATCATGGAAAATGGTGTATCCACCCTTCAAGCATTTATCCTTTGCATTACAAACAATCCAATTATATTCTTTTAATTATTTTTAAACGTACAATTAAATTATTATTGACTATAGTCACCCAGTTGTGCTATGAAATACTAGGCCTTATTTAATTCTTTGTAAGTATACTTTTTTTGCCCATTAACTACCCCCACCCCTCACTACCTTTCCCAGTCTCTGGTAACCATACTTCTACTCTCTATCTCCATGAGTTCAATTGTTTTGATTTTTGGATACCACATGTAAGTGGGAACATGCAATGTTTGTCTTTCTGTGCTGGCTTATTTCACTTAGCATAAGGACCTCCAGTTCTATCCATGTTTTTGTAAGTGACAGGATCTCATTCTTTTTTGTAGCTGAATAGTACTCCATTGTGTACATTTTCTTTATCCATTCATCTGCTGATGGACACTTAGGTTGCTTCCAAATCTTAGCTATTGTGAACAGTGCTGCAAAAAAACATGGGACTGCAGATATCTCTTTCACACAGCGATTTCCTTTCTTTTGGTTATATACCCAGCAGTGGGATTACTGGATCATATGGTAGCTCTATTTTTAGATTTTTGAGGAATCTCCAAACTGTTCTTCATAGCGGTTGTATTATTTAACATTTCCATCAACAGTGTACAAGGATTTCCTTTTCTCCACAACCTCCTGTCTTTTGGATATAAGCCATTTTAACTGGGGTGAGATGATATCTTGTTGTAGTTTTGATTTGCATTTCTTTGATGACCAATGGTGTTGAGCATCTTTTCATATGCCTGTTTGTTATTTGTATGTCTTCTTTTGAGAAATGTCTATTTTAATCTTTTCCCATTTTTTAATTGGATACTTAGATTTTTTCATATAGATCGTTTGTGCTCTTTATATATTCTGGTTATTAATCCCTTGTCAGATGGGTAGTTTGTAAACATTTCCTCCCATTCCATGGGTTGTCTCTTCACTTTGATTGCATCCTTTGCTGCGCAGAGGCTTTCTAACTTGATGATCCCATTTGTCCATTTTTGCTCTGGTTGCCTGTGCTTGTGGAGTATTACTCAGGAATTTTTTGCCCAGACCAGTTTCCTGGAGAGTTCCTCCAATGTTTCCTTGTAGTAGTTTCATAGTGTGAGGTCTTACATTTAAGTCTTTAATCTATTTTGATTTGATTTTTGTATATGGTGAGAGATAGGGGTCTAGTTCCACTCTTTTGCATACGAATATCCAGTTTTCCCAGCACCATTTATTAAAAAGACTATATTTTCCCCATTGTATCTTCTTTGTACCCTTGTTGAAAATGAGCTCACTGTAGGTGTGTGGATTTGTTTCTGGATTCTCTATTCTGTTCCACTGGACTTTGTGTCTGTTTTTAGACCAGTACCTGGTCTGGTTTTAGACCAGTGCTGTTTTTGTTACTATTGCTCTGTAGTACAATTTGAAGTCTGGTAATATGATTCCTTCAGTTTTGTTCTTTTTGCTTAGGATAGCTTTGGCTATTCTGCATCTTTTGTGGTTCTATATAAGTTTTAGGATTGTTTTTTCTATTTTTGTAAAGAATGACATTGGTATTTTGATAGGGATTACATTGAACATTGAATCTGTAGATTGCTTTGCGTAGTATGGACATTTATACGATATTGATTCTTTCAATCCATGAACATGGAATATCTTTCCATTTTTGGTGTCCTCTTCAATTTCTTTCATCAATGTTTCCATTATAGAGATTTTTCACTTCTTTGGTTAATTCCTAGATAATTATTTTTTGTGGCTATTGTAAATGGTATTGGTATTACTTTACAAATTTCTTTCTCAGATTGTTCACTGTTGGCATATAAAATGCTACTGATTTTTGTTGTTGGTTCTAATAGTTTTTTTGGTGGAGTCTTTAGGTTTTTCCAAATATAATATCAAATCATCTGCAAACAAGGATAATTTGACTTCTTCCTTTCCAATTTGGATACCGTTTATTTCTTCCTCTTTTCTGATTGCCCTAATCAGGACTTCTATACTATGTTGAATAACAGTACTGAAAGTGGGCATCCTTGTCATGTTCTAGGTCTTAGAAGAAATGCTTTCAGTTTTCCTCCATTCAGTATGATACTAGCTGTGGGTCTGTCATATATGACTTTTATTATGTCATTCTACCTTCTGTCTCTATGATTTTGACTACTCTAAGTACCTCAAAAAGTAGATTCATATAGTATTTATCTTTTTGTGACTGGCTTATTTCACTTAGCAAAATGTCCTCAAGGTCCATCAACGTTGTGGCATATTGCAGAATTTCCTTCCTTTTTAAGGCTAAGTAATATTCTGTTGTAGGCTATAACACAGTTTGCTTATCCATTCATTCATCAAAGGACACTTGGGTTGCTTCCATGTTTTAGCTATTGCAAATAATGCTGCTATGAACATGAGTGTACAAATACCTCCTTAAGACCCTGCTTTCAATTCCAGTTCTCATGAGTGTATAACCAGAATTCAAACCCTTTTGATTCTTACTAGTGTTCCTAACCCCTGCCCTTCAGGGATGGCAGGTTTTCCATAGATTAGAGGAAATTCACACTTTGGGCAGGGGTGGGGTAGTGTTCTGATCTTAGACAAGGAGACTGAAAATCAAGGACTGGAAAAAGTGAGAGGGCCAGTGAATAGTACAGAAAACAGTGAAGTAAAAATGACATCAGTCAACATTTCCTTGTCCTGAATATTGGGTAGGGTTTCCTTTGGGCGTGCAGGTAGCTAGTTTATTTTTGTTTGTTTTTGTATACAAGATTATTTCTCTCCTCTCAGAAGGCATGGCTACACAATCTTTTTGTATTTTATTTTATTTTACTTTATTTTATTTTATTTTATTTTATTTTTATTGTGAAGATGGGTATGGCAAGTCTCCCTATGTCATCGAGGTTGATCTTAAACTCCTGGCCTCAAGTGATCCTACTGCCTTGGCCTCACAAAGCTCTGGGATTACAGGCGTGAACCACTATGCCAGCACAATCTTTGTTTATTTCATATGGTACTCAGCTGAGGCTCACTTCCTTATTGCTCAAGGCATTGCTAAAGCAAAAGGGTGCAGCCATAGAGAAGGAACTCCATGAACAGGAAAATGACCTTAAAGAGAGAAGACCTTATTCAAAATTTTTAATGCAAGTAGAATCAGGAAAAAGCAGATTGGTTATCATAGAAAAATTGATGAGCAGGTCAGGTGTGGTGGCTCATGCCAGCAATCCCAGCACATTGGGAGGCCAAGGCAGGTCAATTGCTGGAGCTCAGTAGTTCAAGACCAGCCTGGGCAACATAGTGAAATGTCACCTTTACCAAAAATAAAAATTAAAAAAATTAGCCAAGCATGGTGGCACATGCCTGTTGTCCCAGCTACTCGGGAGGCTGAGGTAGGAGGAGGATGGCTTGAGGACAGGAGGCAGAGGTTACAGTGAGCCAAGATAGTGCCACTGCACTCCAGCCTGGGTGACAGAGCCAGACTGTGTCTCAAAAAAAAAAATAAAAAATAAAAATAAAAAAAAGAAAAAGAAATAAGTGACTCAAAAAAACAAGCTCAAAAAAATCTCCTGGAATCTCTTTATGTTTTTACAATAAAGAGATAAAAATTATTAGAAAAAAGATAAAACATGAAAAATAGATATGCGACATCCAAAAATATATGTGTATTTGGCCACTTCAGAAAGAGAGAACAGAAAGGCCAAAGTACAATATTCAGCAATTTAGCATAGATTTCATGAAAAAAAAAAAAAGACTTCAAAATCAGAGATGCTTGTGCTTGAATCTGAGCTCTGGTATTTTTTTTTTTCTTTTTTTGAGATGGAGTTTCGCTCTTGTTGCCCAGGCTGGAGAACAATGGCATGATCTCGGCTCATTGCAACCTCCGCCTCCTGGGTTCAAGCGATTCTCCCGCCTCAGCCTCCCAAGTAGCTGGGATTACCGGCATGCACCACCACACCCGGCTAATTTTGTATTTTTAGTAGAGATGGGGTTTCTCCATCTTGGTCAGGCTGGTCTTGAACTCCCGACCTCAGGTGATCCACCTGCCTCGGCCTCCCAAAGTGCTGGGATTACAGGCATGAGCCACCGTGCCCAGCCCCTCTGGCACTTTTAACTGTGGAAACTTAGGCAACTTCTTACTCTCTACTTCAGTTTCTTAGTTTTATGAAAGGGGTTATAATAATTGTATTGATCTCTTAGGATACTTGGGAAATTATGTGAGGTGATGTTTGTAAAATATTTGCATGAGGCTAACACATAATAAACAATAAATGACACCTGGTATGGGATGAATTGTGTCCCCTCAAAATTCCTTTTTTGAAGCCCTAACACCCAGTCCCTCAGAATGTGACTGTATTTGAAGACAGGACCTTCAAAGAGGTAATTAAGTTCAAATGAGGCCAATAGAGTGAGTCATAATTCAATCTGACTGGAGGTTTTTTAAGAAGAGAAGGTTTGGACACACAAAGAGACACCAGGAGTCCAGGCACGGTGGCTCACACCTGTAATCCCAGCACTTTGGGAAGCTAAGGTGGGTGGATCACCTGAGGTCAGGGGTTCAAGACCAGCCTGGCCAACATGGTGAAACCCTGCCTCTACTAAAATATAAATAATTAGCTGGGCATGGTGGCAGGCGCCTATAGTCCCCCCAGCAACTTGGGAGGCTAAGGCAGGAGAATCACTTGAACCTGGAAGGCAGAGGTTGCAGTGCAGTGAGCCGAGATCATGCCACCGCACTCCAGCCTGGGTGACAGACACTCTATCTTAAAAGAGAGAGAGAGAGTAAGAGAGACACCAGGGATGCCCATGCACAGAGGAAAGACCACAAGAAGACACAGCAGGAAGACAGCCGTTTGCAAGCCAAAGAGAGAGGCCTCAGAAGAAATCAACCCTCCTGACACCTTGATCTTGAACTTCCAGACTCCAGAACTGCGAGAAAGTAAATGGCTGTTGTTTAAAGCACCCAGTCTGTAGTATTTTGATATGGCAGCCCCAGTGAACTAATAGGTCACTTATTGTTATTATTTTTAAATCCAGACGCAAAGCTGAAAACCAAGGTGCTCTTCGTTTTCTGTACTAATGAAGGTTCTCAGACCTATCGTGCAGAGGAAGCCAAAATCCACACTCCTTTCCAGTCCTGCACATTGGCTGGCTCGCTACAGAGACCATTGCAGAATGACTCATCCCTTTTATGGATTCAGTATAGGATGCAGAGCTTGGTAGAGACCATCTGACAATTGCTATGAGTCAACAGCAGGGAAGTCCCTGCAATTCTATGACCTGTTCCATTCCCCAGCCCCCAGCTCCTCTGGGTGTGCCAAGACCATGTCACCCCAAAATAACACAGTTCTCCCTTGGTTTCCAAATCATCAGAATTGCCCTCCCATCACCCTCCTGAAGGTCAGAAGGTCAGATTCCATCAAAGACAACCACAGATGTGGTTTTAAAATAGTCCCTTCAGAAGCCCACAATTAAAACCTAATTACATATTCTTGCCAATTAGGGAAGGAGTTGCCCTCTCTAGTGATGGCAGAGTCCCCAAAAATCCATAATCTGAAAAAAGGATGTCTGCTCTCCCCTAACAAACCACTCTCCTTTCAATGGCAGATAGCTTACAAACCTCTGCCATTATTTGTAACCTTGAAGAGCTATTTAACCTCTGACCCTGATGAATTATCTTTAAAATGGTGCTAACAACGCCCACTGTTTGAAAGATCAAATGAGATCATTCAGGGTACTATGCTCACTTCCTGGGTGACAGGTTGTACTCCAAACCTCAGCACCACGCAATATACCCATTTAACAAACCTGTGCATGTACCCCCTGAATCTAAAATAAAAGTTGAAATTACAAAATAGAAAATAAAGACGACAGCAACTTTTTTAATAAGATCATTCATTCATGTATTCAGCCAATAACTCCTATGCCAGTCATTCTTTTTTTCATTTAACAAATATTTACTGAGCATCTGCTATATGCCGCACTCCCTTGAGGATGCAGCAGTGAATCCTATCTAGAGGGTCTCAGCTCTTAGAGTTTTCCTTCTAGGTGGAACACAAAGAACAAGTAGATAGATAAACCAGATAACATCAGACAATGATAAGCTATACCTGAAACAAGACACAATAATGGGATAGAAAGTAATAAGAGAGTACATTAGAGGTTGCGTGGTTGTGGAAGGCTTCTCAGACACCTGAATGTCAAGCTGGCCCTGGGAAGACGGGAAAGAACATGTTGTCAGAAGGCAAAGGGAACGACCGGTGAGTAGATTCTAGAAGGAGAGATGTATTTAAGGAGCAGAAAGAAGGGCAGTCGGGGAGAGGGTGAGGAGATCAGGGTTAGATTGGAGACGTGGTAGAGACCAGAACACCAGAGCTATGTATCTCCCTGGGTCGGAGGTCTCAGAAGACATGAAAAGTACTCAACACAGAGCAAATAACTAAAATATCAGATACTTAACCTCAGTGAAGACAAAGGATACAGCCGGGCGCAGTGGCTCACGCCTGTAGTCCCAGCACTTTGGGAGGCCGAGGCAGGCGGGTCACCTGAGGTCAGGAGTTCAAGACCAGCCTGGCCAACATGATGAAACCCCATTTCTAATAAAAATACAAAAAAATTAGCCGGATGTGGTGGGGCACGCCTGTAGTCCCAGCTACTCAGGAGCCTGAGGCAAGAGAATCGCTTGAACCCAGGTGGTGGAGGTTACAGTGAGCCAAGGTTGTGCCACTGTACTCCAGCCTAAGTGACAGAGCAAGACTCCATCTCAATTTAAAAAAAAAAAAAAAAGAGGATAAATGTTCAGAGATGAGATCTGAGAGAAAGGCAGGGGCCAAATCAGACAGGGAATCCCTGGCTGTGGTCAGACTTTTTGATTTAATTCAGAATGTAATGCAGTGGAGAGTTTCTTCTTCTTCTTCTTTTTTTTTTTTTTTTTTTAAGAGGTGGGGTCTCTGTCTCTCTCCCCTAGGTTGGAGTGCGGTAAAGTGATCCTAGCTCACTGCAGCCTCAAACTCCCGGCCTGTAATGCAGTAGTTCTTAACATTGACTGCACTGGGAATCATTCAGGAAACTGACAAATACTGATGTCTACGCTGCAGCCTCACCGATTCTGATATAGTTGGTCTCGGGGGCAGCCTGGGCATTTGGGGGTATTTTAAAGCTCTCCCATGATTCCAATGGGCAGCCAAAGTTGAGAAGCCACGAGAGAAAAGTGGGGAACAGGAAAGTGACATGATCTGAATTCTCTTTAAGAGAGATCTCTGTGGACAGATATGGTGGCTCATGCCTGTAATCCCAGCACTTTGGGAGGCTGAGGCAAGAGGATCAGTTGAGGCCAGGAGTTTGAGACCACCCTGGGCAACACAGCAAGACCCCGTCCCTACAAAAAAAAAAAAAAAAAAAACGAGAGAGGGAGAGAAAGAAAGAAATCGCCGGCTGCCACATAGGTACAAGACGTTCCCACACAATCTCCAGTGTTTTCTTCCTTCTCTCCCCACTTCCTGACGACCCTCAGAAATATGAAATTGCTGAACATTGCAAAGAGAAAGCCCAACCAGATATTGAGAAGTGAGTATCCCACTGCTTCTGTCTCCAGCTAGTGACTTTTTCCCTTTCTCTGTTTCCGGAATTGCTCACCCATCCCCTCCTCGGACTTGCAGCCTCCTCTCCTACATTTTCCAAATCCAAACTTTGCACCTTCTTTGACAGCCCTGAGGACCCCAGCCCCCAGGAGAGCAGCTCCAAGGAACATTCAGAAGCAAGTTGGTGAGTTTATTTTGATGAAATACAATAATTCATGTGCTTAGCAGCTGTTGCTATTTAAAATAAGAAAAAACCTGGGCCTGAATTTAAACTGTTTGGTAAAAGCATGTGCCCCACCAATCTGGTTCAACAAAATCAGACATTATGAAATCCACAAAAGAAGTGGAGCTCGTTACAGGAAGTTAAGATGCAAATCCTATTTTGTTTCAAATGAGCCCAATGAATGCATAATTTTCCACAAGAAATACTTTTGTGTCAGGATCCTCTTACCAAGAACCGAAGTTCTTGGGATGCAGCTGTTAGCAGTGTCTGATTGTCCATTTCATTCTGCAGGGAGTTCTGCCTTTCTAAGGAAGATCTGGAGCAAAGAGAGGAAGAGGACAGAGCTACTCTCTCTCATCAATTGCCTTCCAGAATATTCTCTGTGAGATTTGCCTGTGCTTCCAGATGAAGGAGAGCCAGAAACTTCATCCCAAAAGGTAGCTCCTTGTTATAATGCATATTTTGAATTAAAGACCCTTAGACATCAAAAGACACGGTTAGAGACTTTTCCCTTAGCTACGTAAAAACTAGGCAGACCTTGGCCAGGTGCGGTGGCTCATGCCTGTAATCACAGCACTTTGGGAGGCCGAGGAGGGCGGATTACCTGAGCTCAGGAGTTCAAGACCACCCTGGGCAACATGGTGAAACGCTGTCTCTGCTAAAATACAAAAAATTAGCTGGGCATGGTGTCACGCGCCTGTAGTCCCAGCTACTCAGGAGGCTGAGGCAGGAGAATCACTTGAATCTGGGAGGTGGAGGTTGCAGTGAGCCAAGGTCACGACACTGCACTCCAGCTTGGGCTACAGAGTGAGACTCTGCCTCAAAAAAAAAAAAAAAAAAAAAAAAAAAAAGGACTAGACAGACCCTGCAGGAAGAACAATTTTTCTTTTCTTCCTTTGCTTCCCTATCTTATTCTCTATTGCACAAAAGAAGACCAAGAATGTAACCACACCTAAACAGACCCTTTCACAGGATAATGTCTGTCTGCCTCTCAGGCTCATTCAATTGCCAAAGAGAACTATTCACAAATTAATCTTTGTTCCATTCATCCCTCCTAGTAATCATTTATTGCCCATCAACAGAATTACCTATGTTCCCCATCTCTCCTCTCCGCTCTGAAACAGGCTATGGTAGGTATCTGGGCCTCACTGAGATATTGGGTAATCACTCCGTAATTTTTACCCCACGCATAATAAATTAGTATGGCTTTTCCCTTATTAATCTGATTTTTGTCAATGAATCTTCCAAGGACAACAGGGAAGTTTTCCCTTCACGCCTACATAGACCACCATGCTTGTCCTCAGAATTTGCAGAGACCAGGTGTGGTGGCAAATGTCTGTAATCCCAGCAGTTTGGGAAGCTGAAGTGGGAGGATCATTTGAGCCCAGGAGTTTGAGACCAGCCTGGGCAACAGAGCAAGACCCCATCTCTACAAAAATAATTTAAAAATTTAGCAAGGCAGGGTGGCATGACCCTGTATTCCCAGCTATCGGAGGGCTGAGGTGGGAGGATCCCTAGTGCCCAGGAGTTAGAGGCTACAGTGAGCTATGATCATGTTACTGTACTCCAGCTTGGGCAACAGAATGAGACTCTGTCTTAAAAACAGAAAGAAAAAGAAAAGAATTTGCAGAAACTGGATGTCAAATTGAATCAACAACTACTCCCAAATTATTATTCATTCAGAAGAGGCTTTTTCCCTTCTTTCCTAGCACCTTCTCTAAGCTTGGGGTCATTAATTTTATTTGTCAAGAGTCTTTTGATTTCAAGTGGAAGAAGCACAATTCAAACTAAATAAACCAACAGAAAAGGCAGGAGAGGAATTATTTGTTCTTGTAGCTGCAAAGTCCAAGTATGATTTGGCTTCAGGCATACTGGGTCCAGGTTGAGGGGGCAGGAGAAGGAACCCGTCATGGACAAGTAAAAGGATTAACAAGCAGCCCTCTGGGCCCAGGATTCGTTGCCATGGATTAGCAACGCACCAGTTTTCAAGTTGTGCAGTTTTCTTCAGGTATGGATGCAGAAATGGCTGATTGAGGAATTTGAATTGAGTTTAGCTTGACACATATGGTTAAAAAAAAAAAACTAGAAGTCAAGAAATATAAGAGAAATGACCATTCAGATGAGCTCCCCCAAGATGGGCCTAAGTTGAGAAGGGGATGAAACCACTTTTACAAAAATTATGACAGTGATGGCTGGGTGCGGTGGCTCACACCTGTAATCTCAGCATTTTGGGAGGCCAAGGCAGGTGGATCATTTGAGGTCAGGAGTTCAAGACCAGCCCGGCCAACATAGTGAAACCTCGTCTCCACTAAAAATACGAAAATTAGCCAGGCGTGGTGCTCATGCCTGTGGTCTCAGCTACTCAGGAGCCTGAGGCACAAGAATTGCTTGAACCCAGGGGGCAGAGGTTGTAGTAAGCCGAGATCACACCACTGCACTTCAGGCTGGGTGACACAGTGAGACTGTGTCTCAAAAAAAAAAAAAAAAAATTATGGCACAGAGAAATCTGACATGGGGCTGGGCAAATGACTCACACCTGTAATCCCAGCACTTTAAGAGGCCAAGGAAGGAGGATCACTGGAACCCAGGAGTTTAAGACCAGCCTGGGCAACATGGTGAAACCCCGTCTCTACAAAAATTAGCCAGGTGTGGTAACATGCACCTGTAGTCCCAGCTACTGATACAGAAAAACTGGGCTCCTGGCTAAACCCCACCCTTAAGCCTGGAACCATGCCCCTAAGTGAAACAGCTGACCCTGTTTTTACTGCCCAAAGGTTGCCTTTTTGGCCTGCCATGCCCCTATCCTGTGTCCATAAAAAGACCAGCTGGCAGAGCAACACAAACAGCTAATGCAAGCATTCGTGGATGCAAGGCTGAGCATCGGGGATACAAGCAGCTGAGCACCAGAGACTATAGATAGACGCAGCTAACTTCAGAGGGTGCGGCTTCAGGAAAAGATCACCTTCTTCCCACACCATCTCCTTTCCAACTCCCCATTCTGCTGAGAGCCACATCCATTGCCCAATAAAATCCTCTGCATATACTATCCTTCAATCAGTCCGAGTGACCTGATTCTTCCTGGACACCAAACAAGAACTCAGGTGTCAAAAAGGGCAGGTGCAGAAGGCTGTCACCCTGACCCTTAATGGACTGTTAACACTTAGCCATCCACAGACTGCAGGCTGAGTGAAACAAGCCACTGCAGTTCCCGCCTACAAAGGGGATCAAGGGAACAATCCTGTCTCACTGCTTGGGAGGCTGAGGTTGGAGGATCACTTGAGCCCAGAGCTGGGCATGGTGGCTCACACCTGTAATCCCAGCACTTTGAGAGGCCGAGGCAGGTGGATCACTTGAAGTCAGGAGTTCGAGACCAGCCTGGCCAACATGAAGAAACCCCATCTCTACTAAAAATACAAAAATTTGCCAGGTGTGGTGGCATGCACCTGTAATCCCAGCTACTTGGGAGGCTGAGGCAAGAGAATCACTTGAACTCAGGAGGTTGAGTTTGCAGTGAGCTGAGGTGGAGCCACTGCACTCTGGCCTGGGTGACAGAGTGAGACTCAGTCTCAAAAAATAAAATAAAATAAAATAAAAACATAGATCCTAGTTGAGAGAGAGAAGAAAAAGAAGTGGGAAGAGGAGGCAATGGATGGGAAGGATGAGTGAGACAAGAGAATTAAGTGGATCAGAAGTTTTGAGTGGGGTAGAGGAAAAGAGATAAGGAACTTCCATAAGGTGCAGAATCTTGGGAAGAGAGAGGAGAAAAGGTCATTGCTATGATTTGAATGTTGTCTCCTCCAAATTTCATGTTGAAATTTGACCCTCAGTGTTGGAAGTGGAGCCCATTGGGAGCTGTTGGATCATAGTGGGCAGATCCCTCATAAAAGGCTTGGTGCCATTCTATTGGTAAAGAGTGAGTTCTAGTTCTATTAGTTCCTGGGAAAGCTGATTGTTTAAAAGAGCCTGGTTGGGATGTGGTAAGAGGGAGAAAAGAAAAAGGAAAAAAAAAAAAAATCCTGGGACCTCTCCTCACTCTCTTTCTCTATTGCTTTCTCTCTTGTCGTGTAACATCTGCAAGCACCATTCCTCTTCCCCTTCCACCATGAGTGGAAGTAGCCTGAATCCCTCACCAGAAGCTGATGCTGGCATCATGCTTCTTATACAGTCTGCAGAAACACGAGCCAAATAAACCTCTTTTCTTTGTAAATCATCCAACCTCGAATATTCCTTTATAGCAACACAAACGGATTAAGACAGATGTTTAGGAAGTCTTCCTGTATATTGTGTGGTGTACAGCAGTCTCCTGTTATCAGCAGGATACATGTTCCAGGACCCCTGTAGATGCCTGAAATTGCAAATAGTACTGAACTCTGTCTATATCATGTCTTTCTTCTATACATACATCCATATAGTAAAGGAATGGGGACGTTTATGTGCCTGTGGAAAGAGCACCAGGAATTGGGGCTCCAGCACCCCCTCTTCTGGCTGGGAATAAGGTGGGATGCAGGGAATGAACAACCCAGATTTGCAAGAGCTGCAAGGGGAAGCAATATTTTCAAGGAGAGTCAAGTTTCCCTTAAGACAGACTCATGGAGTAGTTGTAGATGCTTACCTTGGAAATGAGCACAGAGAGAAGACTTAAGAGGGAGGGGAAAGTGGAGAGTTTGGGTCAGCAAAGCAGACGATAGAGTTGGCTCTTCAGATGGCTGGCTCCTTCCCAGTGGCTTGTTACCTCCTTGATCTTACCTCAGCCCTGTCTGCCCAGGTCCTATACAGCATTTATTCCTGTTTATTTCCATCAGAGTACTCAATCCAAAATGGCACTGTGTTTTTAATTTGTTTATTGTCTGGTCCTCCAGTTGGCAACCACCACCACAAGAATGTAAACTCCATGAAAGCAGGGACCTGTCTGAATAAATATATGTTGAATGAATTCATTAATGAACAGATAGATGGATGGACGGATGGATGGACGGATAGACAGATGGATGGATGGATGGATGGATGGATGGATGGATGGATGGATGGATGGATGGATGAATAAGTAGTGCTATGAGGGTGGGAGGATAGAAAAGCAGAGATATGGCTGGGTGTGGTGGCTTATACCTGTGATCCCAGCACTTTGGGGGACTGAGGCCAGAGGATCACTTGAGCCCAGGAATTCAAGACCAGCCTGGGCAACATGGTGAGACCCTGTCTCTACTAAAAATTTTAAAATTAGCTGGGCATGGTGGCGAGTGCCTGTAGTCCCAGCTACTTGGAAGGTTGAGGTGGGAGGATCACTTGAGCCTGGGAGGTTGAGGGTGCAGTAAGCTGTGATCATGCCACTGCACTCCAGCCTGAGTGACAGAGTGAGACCCTGTCTCAAATGAAAAATAAAAAATAAAAAGGCACAGATATCCACAAAGCTTCCACATTTGCCAAGGTGCCCTGAGTTAAAGGGATGTGCGCCCTGGTGTGATTAGCTTCTGTAGTGTTATGATACGTATTGGTTTTCATCCATGGTTCCTGGTTCCTAACTCCCACAGCCTTTGCTACAGTGATTTGTGGTCCTGTTGGGTGTGTTAGGCCTCAGCGACAGGCCTTTGGCTTTCTCCCTACCCTCCTTTCACCTGCTCCAAGGCAGGACTCTAATGTTACCCGCCTTTCTGATTGTGGGTCTTAAGACCCTCCCATTAGAGGGTTCCACCCTATACTCTGGGGGAAGGAATGCTGATGTCATGAAGCTTCCATAAAAAAGCAAGAGGACTGGGTTCAGAAAGCTTCTAGATAGCTGACCACGTGGAGGTTCCTGGAGGATGCTGCACTCAGGGAGGGCATGGAAGCTTCACGCCCCTTCCCCCATAGCTCGCCCTATGTATCTCTTCATCTGTATCCTTTGAAATATCCTTTATCACAAATGGCAAATGTAAGTAAGTGTTTCCCTGAGTTCAGTGAATCATGGGAACCCCAACTTGAAGTTCCAGAGGCCAGACTTGCAACTAGTGTGGTAGGGGGACAGTACTGGGGACTGAGCCTGGGATCTGACACTATCTCCAAGTAGATAGTGAAGGAACTGAATTAGAGGACACCCAGCTGGGGTCCACTGCTTGGTGTGTGGGGAAAAAAACCCACACATTTGGTCACAGAAGTCTTCTTCTGTGTTGATGATTGTTGTAGCGTGAGAGTAGAGGAAAAGTGCAGTTTGGGGAGAGTTTTCCCTACAAAGCTTTCCACAAGATGGAGACATGGTGCCTGGAGCCTCCCAATTTATTCCTATGGACAGATCTCTCCTGGCCTAGTTGCTGTGCCCTGGGAAGTTCTCCTTGAGAGATGCTTGCCTAAATCCGCACTCCTGCAATGGGATTTGTTAGCTCCAAGTTCTAGCCTAAAAATACTCCTCTCTGATATCAAGGACAAAATTTATAAACACAAAAGTGGTTATTACGGCTTAATCACAGGCTTGGTGGTAGTGACTCTTGGCAATCTCTCTAGGGTATTAACAAGAGCAGAGTAAATATGTCATGTAGGTGGTATTTTTAGTCTCATCCACCCTTCCGACCCAAATGGGAACATCCCTACAGAAGGTTCTTGTGACTTCCTGGGCCCCACCCCAGCCTTTGCTGCTCAGAAACCGTAGTCATGCATGCTATGGTGGCAGCCATGAAATGCAGTAGCAAGAAGGGGCAGGTGGTTGCTGCCTGGGACCCATCTCTTTCCTTGTCAGACGGGCACCAAAGTCCTGGTCCCAATAGGCTAATCTATGCTTCCTGATTTCGGTGACTGAGTCACTTCCCTTTGTAACCATGGGACCAGCCCAAACTGGGCCTACTCTGTTTATAAGCAAATGTGGGCTTGTCTTTTAGACGTAACAGAGCCAAAAGCTGCAAGTCAGGCAGCCTGGGCATATGCAATAGAAAAAGCTTTGACAAGACCAAGAACCAACAATTCCTCCCCTTTGGAACCAAGAAGACCGGGACATGGCCGAAACCTGAACACCAGAACTCTTCGAAAGCAAGGGTTTCACTGGCTGGAAAGATCTGGGCCAAAATCAGCCTCAACATATCTTTTTTTTTTTTTTTTTTTTTGAGGCAGAGTCTTGCTCTGTCACCCAGGCTGGAGTGCAATGGCACGATCTCGGCTCACTGCAGCCTCGGCCTCCTGGGTTCAAGCAATTCTCCGGTCTCAGACTCCTGAGTAGCTGGGATTACAGGTGTGTGCCACCATGCCCAGCTAATTTGTGTTTTTTTAGTAGAGACAGGGTTTCACCATGTTGGTCGGGCTGGTCTCGAATTCCTGACCTCAGGTGATCCACCCACCTCAGCCTCCCAAAGTGCTGGGATTATAGGCATGAGCCACCATGCCCAGCCCAACCTCAACATATCTTACTATAAATGGTCAAATTTGAAGCCCTCCAATCAAACCCTGCCAAGCTAACATTCCTAAATCTTTTCCCTTGTCCTCTGATTCTTTAAAACTTGTCCCAGAGCCCAAATCAGGGAGACAGATTTTTTTTTTTTTTTTGAGACAGCATACTGCTGTATCACCCAGGCTGGAGTGCAGTGACATAATCATGGCTCACTGCAGCCTCGACCTCCCAGGCTCAAGCGATCCTCCCTCCTCAGCCTCCCAGGTAACTGGGACTATAGGTGCACAACACCACGACCTGCTATTTTTTATTTTTTACAGAGACAGGGTTTCACTATGTTGTCCCGGCTGGTCTCGAACTTCTAGCCTCAAGAGATCTTCCCATCTCAGTCTCTCAAAGTTCTGGAATTACAGACGTGAGCCACTGCGCCTAGCCCTAGGGGGACAGATTTGAGCCTGACTCCTGTCTCCTTGCTGGCCGGTTTCGCAGTAAAGCCTTTCTTTTCTCAAATTCTGGTGCCACAGTTATTGGCTTCCATGCACATCAGGCTGCAAGCCCATTTGCTCAATAACACCTTCACAGGGGGAGGCGCAGCTGACAGTTACATGTATCTCATGGGAATAAAAAAAGTCCATCCTCTAAAAACCCTCTTTCTGCCAACTCTCATCCCCAGCATTGGCAGCACTGAAAAAAAGAAAAAACAAATAATCTCCGACTGAGCCCTAGAGCCATGAGCCTAACTAAAAGAGTTTTCCGAGCTACATCTTTTCTATTCAGTGCCAGAAGGCTTTAAACATGAAGTTTACACTCCATTCCGAAGGGTGGGCTCTAGGGTAGGTATTAAGCTGGTCAGGGCTGGGGTCAGGGACTAGACTGTCTCTCCCCACACCCCCTGGATGTGGAGGGCATGTTTTGTCAATACTTGCAATGAACCAGGCACCCTGCTAAATGCTTCATGTGTATCATTTCGTTCAGTCCTCACAACGGCCCTATGAAGCAGTTACTGATATTCCTTTTTTTTTTTGGAGACAGAGTCCCAGTCTGTCACCTGGGCTGGAGTGCAGTAGTGTGATCTTGGCTCACTACAACCTCCACCTCCCGGGTTCAGGAGATTCTTGTGCCTCAGCCTCTGGAGTAGCTGGGATTACAGGTGCATACCACCATGTCTGGCTACTTTTTAGTATTTTTAGTAGAGGAGGGATTTCACCATGTTGCACATTCTGGTCTCCAACTCCTGGCCTCAAGTGATCCACCCGCTTCAGCCTCCCAAAGTGCTGGGATTACAGGGGTGAGCCACCATGCCCAGCCTCTCCTCTTTTTGTAACTTTCTTTATATGACCTTCCCAGGGTCACATAACAAGGGGCATTTTGAAGGTGGACAAATTCCCTCTGAGCCTCTGCTCTTACCTATGAAGCAGATTTATCTGAGCCTCCCTATAGGTTTTCCCCTATAGTTTACAGTCTGTAGAAGCCATCCCCAACCTCTCTGGCAACCAGGACCAGTTTCGTGGAAGACAATTTTTCCATGGACAGCAGGGAGGGAGATGGATGGTTTGGGGATAATTCAAGCACATTACATTGAATGTGCATTTTATTTCTATTATTATCACATTGTAATATATAATAAAATAATTATACAACTCACCATAATGTAGAATCAGTGGAAGCCCTGAGCTTGTTTTCCTGCAACTAGATGGTCCCATTCAGGGGTGGTGAGAGACAGTGACAGATCATCAGGCATTAGATTCTCATAAGGAGCACAACACCTAGACCCCTCACATGCGCAGTTCACAATAAGGTTCTCCCGCCTATGAGAATCTGATGCGTCTGCTGATCTGACAGGAGATGGAGCTTAGACAGTAATGCTGGTTCGCCGAGCTCACTTCCTGCCATGCAGCCCAGTTCCTAACAGGCCATGGTCTGTGACCCCAGGAGTTGGGGACCCCTGGTCTATAGAATTTGTTGTTTCCAGCCCTACCTCAACAATTAACCTCACTTTTGCTCGTTTTCATTTGGGAAACCGTAATATTGTGATGTAATAAGAAATACATACTTGGTCTTTCTCCCCAGTTCCTGGTACAAGAGCTTCCTGTAATTTCCTGAGTGACAGAATGTTAGGGGCATCTGTTGTTATTCATAGTAAGGTCCTTTCAACCACACCTGAGTATATGCTAATGGTATATGCAAATGACTCAAGGGGGGGTCCCCTAGATAGCTTCAGGCTTGGGGCTGGTTGCCAGAGGGAATCACATCCATGTGATTAGAAGTTTGGAACTTTCAGGCCAGGCGCGGTGGCTCATGCCTGTAATCCCAGCACTTTGGGAGGCTGAGGCAGGTGGATATCCTGAGGTCAGGCATTCCGGATCAGCCTGGCCTACATGGTGGAAACCCCGTCTCTACTAAAAATACAAAAATTAGTAGGGCATGATGGCGGGCGCCTGTAATCCCAGCTATTCAGGAGGCTGAGGCAGGACAATTGCTTAAACCCGGGAGGCGGAGGTTGCAGTGAGCCAAGACCGTGACATTGCACTCCAGCCCAGGCAACGAGAGCGAAACTCCGTCTCAAAAAAAAACAAAAACAAAAAGTTTGGAACTTTCAGCCCCACTCCCACAACCTTTAGGGAGGAAAGAGAGGCTGGAAAGGAAGACAGTCACCAATGGCCAGTGATTTAATCAATTATGCCTGCAGGATTAAGCCTCCACCCAAAACACCCCTAAACAGTGGGGTCTGTAGAGCTCCCAGGTTGGTGAAGACACAGACATGCTGGGAGGGTGATGTGCCCGGAGAGGGCATGGAAGCTCCACACCCCTCTCCTAGGCCTTGCTCTGTGGACCTCTTCCATCTGGCTGTTCCTGAGGGTTTTTTAAAATAATAAATTGGTAATCTAGTAAGCACACTGTTTTCCTGATTTCTGTGAGCCATTCTAGCAAATTATTGAACCCAAGGAGTAGATCCTGGGAAACTTAGAGCTGGTTGGTTAGAAGTACTGAGGAGCCAGGTGCAGTGGCTCATGCCTATAATCCAAGCACTTTGAGAGGCCCAAATGGAAAGATCACTTGAGGCCAGGAGTTCAAGACCAGCCTGGGCAACATAAAAAGACACCATCTCTATAAAAAATTTAAAAGTTAGCCAAGTATGGTAGTATGCATCTGTGGTCCCAGATACTCGGGAGGCTGGCGGGGGAAGGATTGCTTGAGCCTGGGAGTTCAAGGCTGCAGTGAGCCATGAGCATACCACTGCACTCTGGCCTGGGCAACAGAGTGAGATCCTGTCTCAAAAAAAAAAAGTACTGGAGCTCCAGGATTGGCATCTGAAGTGAGGGCGGTCTTGTGCGACTGAGCTGTTAACCTGTGGGGTCTGATGCTTAAACTAAAATAAAATCTTAAGTCTCCCACTGATTGAACAGACCTCCTCTTGGCCAAAAGGACCCCAAAGAAACCTTAAAAACTCAGTTTCTGGCTGGGTGTGATGGCTCACACCTGTAATCCCAGCACTTTGGGAGGCCAAGGTGGGCGGATCACGAGGTCAGGAGATCGAGACCATCCTGGCTAACACGGTGAAACCCCGTCTCTACTAAAAAATACAAAAAATTAGCCAGGCGTGGTGGTGGGCACCTGTAGTCCCAGCTACTTGGGAGGCTGAGGCAGGAGAATGGCGTGAACCCGGGAGGCAGAGTTTGCACTGAGCCGAGATCGAGCCACTGCATTCCAGCCTGGGCGACAGAGCAAGACTCCATCTCAAAAAAAAAAAAAAAAAACACCTCAGTTTCTGGCTGGGCGCGGTGGCTCACGCCTGTAATCACAGCATTTTGGGAGGCCAAGATGGATGGATCACCTGAGGTCAGGAGTTGGAGACCAGCCTGGCCAACATGGTGAAACCCTGTCTCTACTAAAAATACCAAAAAAAAAAAAAAAAAATTAGTCGGGGGTGGCTGCGGACGCCTATAATCCCAGCTACTCAGGAGGCTGAGGCAGGATAATTGCTTGAACCCGGAAGGCAGAGGTTGCATTGAGCCGAGATTGTGCCACTGCACACCAGCCTGGGCAACAATTGTGAAACTGTGTGTCAAAAAACAAACAAACAAACAAACAAACAAACTCAGTTCTGGCCATGACGCGAAAGGGTTGGAAACACCTCATTATGCACGCTCCCTTTCAGGGTTTAGATACAATACCTGACAAGCATTAATGTTAAACTACAGACCATTAAGACTGATGGAACAGACTATTTGTGGCAATAAGATACCAAAGTATAATCAGGACCAAAAGCCGCGCAGGGCAACGGTTTAATCATGCCCGCAGACCATCAATCTTGCTACATCGCATCCTTCACTGAAAACCCTTGTTTCTGCTGACTCCAAGTTTTTGCCAGAGCCTTACGTCTTTAACCAATTGCAAATTAAAGAATCTCTGCATCTGCCTGTAAGATGTAAGCCCTTGCATTAAGATGTCCCAATTTTTTGCGCCGAACCTATGTAAAACCTCTGTGTATTGATTTATGTCTTTGCCTGTAACTCTTGCCTCCTTACAATTATAAAGCCAAACTGTAATTTGACCACCTCAGGATCCCTTACTCCAGGCTTCTTGGGTTTGGGTTTTCCCTGAGCCACTCATATTGGTTCAGAATAAACCTCTTTAAGATATTTTACAAAATTTTATTTTTTTATTAACAGAGGTTAACTCCTGGTACATAGTGTCAGAATTGAATTACATTGTAGGACACCCAGCGGGGGTAAGAGAATTGGTTGACAGGAGAAAAAGCCCCCAGACATCTGGTGTCGAAGAGTTTTGTGGGTTAGTAGTAGGAACAAACTTCTCTTCCATTAACAATATGTGATTCTGGCCAAGTGCAGTGGCTCACGCCTGCAATCCCAGCACTTTGGGAGGCTGAGGCTGGCAGATCACCTGAGGTCAAGAGTTCAAGACCAGCCTGGCCAACGTGGTGAAACCCTGTCTCTGCTAAAAATACAGAAATTAGCCAGGCATGGTGGCATGTGCCTGTAGTCCCAGCTACTCAGGAGGCTGGGACAGGAGAATCGCTTGAACCCGGGAGGCAGAGGTTGCAGTGAGCCGAGATTTTGCCACTGCACTCCAGCCTGGGCAACAGAGCAAGATCTGTCTCAAAAAAAAAAAAAAAAACAAAAAACCAAACAAACAAAAAAATGTGATTCTGGTGGGGTTGACTCTACCCTCATCTACACAGAGGTGGCTCTTGACTCAGGCCTAGCCAATCAGAGCCTAGTATTCTTCCAAATCCAGAAGGATTACCGGGATTTGTCCAGGGATGGGTGTGTGGTCATATAGAAGCCAAAACAAATCCTTGAGGCCCTCTCCTTCACTGGCTTGCAGGATGACTTTGGGTGAGTCATTTACCTCTGTGGGTGTCTATTTTAGGAATGTGGCACTGGGTCAGTGCTACATCTACTGTGGACTAAGGCAGCATCAACATCACCTGGTGTTTAATAGAGATACAAATTATTGATCCAGCGTGATGGCTCACACCCGTAATCCCAGCATTTTGAGAGGCCAAGGCGAGTGGATCACCTGTGGTCAGGAGTTGGAGACCAGCCTGGCCAACATGGTGAAACACTGTCTCTACTAAAACTACAAAAATTTGCTGGGTGTGGTGGCACGTGCCTGTAATCCCAGCTACCTGGGAGGCTGAGGCAGGAGAATCGCTTGAACTCGGGAGGCGGAAGTTGCAGTGAGCGGAGATCACGCCATTGTACTCCAGCCTGGGCAACAGAGCGAGACTCCTTCTGAAAGAAAAAAAGAGATACAAATTCTTGGGCCCCTCCCAGACCCTTTGTATCTGGTCTGGGAGAATTTGTCCCCCTTGGGCCTCCCGCCAAGACTTTCTTGGGAAGAAGCCCAGTAATTTTATGCTTTAACAAACCCTCGAGGAGATTTCCATGCACGCTGAAGTTTGAGAAGCACCAGATTAGCTGGTCCCTGAGTATCTGAGTCAATTAATCATTGAGTAAAAAAAGAAATCAGAAAAATCAGACAAGAGCTGATCCAGCACTGACAACCATTCTTTTTTCCTCTTTCTTTTCTCTTTCATTTTAACTCACAATTGCCTCTCGTTTTCTTTTTCTTTCTTTTTTTTTTTTTTTTTGAGAAAGGGTCTTGCTCTGTTGCCCAGGCTGGAGTGCAGTGGCATGATCTCAGCTCACTGCAACCTCCACCTCCCAAGTTCAAGCGATTCTTCTGCCTCAGCTTCCTGAGTAGCTGGGACTACAGGCAGGTGCCACCACGCCTGGCTGATTTTTTGTATTTTTAGACAGAGTTTCACCATGTTGGCTAGGCTGGTCTGGAACTCTTGACTCAAGTGGTTCACTCGCCTCAGCCTCCCAAAGTGCTGGGATTGCAGGTGTGAGCCACTGCTGGCCTTTTTTTTACTTAATTTTTAAAAATAGAGATAGGATCTCACTATGTTGCCCAGGCTATTCTCGAACTCCTGGTCTCAAATGATCCTCCCACCTCAGTGCTGGGATTACAGGCGTGCACCACCACTCCTGGCTGACCTCCTACTTTCATCTCAGAGGCTCTCTCATGCCACTCTTGGGCAGCAGGAAATGTAAAGAGAGTTTCATGCCCTCTCTGCATGGCCACAACTAAGCCACAATAGACTTGAGAATGCAAGCAAGAACTGTGTCTGGGTTTTTTGTTTTAATAAAGGCAGGGTCTCACTCTGTCACCCAGGCTGTAGTGCAGTGGCATGATCCTGGCTTACTGCAGCCTCAAACTCCTGGGCTCGAGCAATCTTCCTGCCTCAGCATCCTGAATAGCTGAGACTACAGGCACACACCACCACGTTCAGCAACTTTTTTTTAAGTTTTTTTGTTTTTGTTTGTTTTTTCTTTGTTTGCTTATTTGTGTGTTTGTTTGTTTTTGAGACGGAATTTCGCTCTTGTTGCCCAGGCTGGAGTGCAATGGCGCAATTTTGGCTCACCACAACCTCCGCCTCCCAGGTTCAAGCAATTCTCCTGCCTCAGCCTCCCGAGTAGCTGGGATTACAAGCATGCGCAACCACATCCGGCTAATTTTTGTATTTTTAGTAGAGACAGGGTTTATCCATGTTGGTCAGCTTGATCTCAAACTCCCAACCTCAGGTGATCCACTCACCCCAGCCTCCCAAAGTGCTGGGATTACAGGCGTGAGCCACCGCACCCAGTCTTTAAAGTTTTATTGTAGAGAGGGGGTCTCATTAAGCCGATCTTGAACTCCTGGGTTCAAGCAATCCTTTTGCCCCAGCCTCCTAAAGTGCTGGGATGACAGGCATGAGCCACAGCACCAGACCAAGAACTGCATCTGTTGGTTCATGGCTATATCCAGTGCCTGGCATATGCATGGTCTTCATTAAGCATTTGTTGAATGCCCTGGGCGCTGTGGCACACGCCTATAATCCTAGCACTTTGAGAGGCCAAGGAGGGTGTATCATTTGAGGTCAGGAGTTCGAGACCAGCCTGGCCAACATGGTGAAACCCCGTCTCTACTAAAACTACAAAAATTAGCTGGGTGTGGTGGCACATGTGTGTGATCCGAGCTACTCAGGAGGCTGAGGCAGGAGAATTGCTTGAACCTGGGAGGTGGAGGTTGTAGTGAGCCAAGATCGCACCACTGCACTCTAGCCTTGGCGACAGAGCAAAACTCTGTCTCAAAAAAAAAAGTATTTGTTGAATGAACAAGTGAGGCCTGCCTTTTTCCTGAGGGCCCCTAGAGAAACAGAGAAATGCCCACACATGTCCTGGAGTGTATATTAATTTGCTCAGGCTGCCATAACAAAATACCACAGACTGCACAGTTTAAACAACAGAAACTTCTTTTCTCACAGTTCTGGAGGTGGGAAAGTCCAAGATCAAGGCCTGGCAGGGATGGGTTTCCCATGAGAGCTCTCTTCCTGCCTTACAGATGACTGCTTCTCACTGTGTCCTCACAGGGTCTTTCCTCAGCAAGTGCATTTGGAGAGAGAGAGTGAGGTGTCTGGTGTCTCTTCTTTTTCTATTATTTTTTTTAATTTTAATTTTTATTATTATTATTTTTTGAGTTGGACTCTCACTCTGTCGTCCAGGCAGGAGTGTGGTGGCACAATCTCGGCACACTGCAACCTCTGCCTCCCAGGTTCAAGCGATTCTCCTGTCTCAGCTTCCCAAGTAGCTGGGACTACAGGTGCGTACCACACTTGGCTTTGTGTGTGTGTGTGTGTGTGTGTGTGTGTGTGTCTGTGTGTGTGTTTTTAGTAGAGACAAGGTTTCACCAAGTAGGACAGGCTGGTCTCGAACTCCTAACCTCAAGTGACCTGCCTGCCTCAGGCTCCCAAAGTGCTGAGATTACAGGCTTGAGCCACCATGCCCAGCCTTTTTTTTTTTTATCTTAAATAACTTTTATTTGTTTTATTAGATTCATTTAGGCTAGATTAAGAGGACAAAATCAATATAAATATTACATTCATATCATTCAAGAGTCGTTATTAAAGGAAAGATTAAAATGAATTCAGACAATTGTATCTGAGGAAAATAATATTCAATGCCTAAAAATAAGAAGTATGTAAGATGGTGAATTAGTCCATTCTCATGCTGCTAATAAAGACATACCTGAGACTGGGTAATTTGTAAAGGAAAGAGGTTTAATTGACTCACAGTTCAGCATGGCTGGGGAGGCCTCAGGAAACTTACAATCATGGTGGAAGAAGAAGAAAACACGTTCTTCTTCACATGGTGGCAGCAAGGAGAAGTGCCAGGTAAAGGCGGGGAAAGCCCCTTATAAAACCATCAGATCTCATGAGAACTCACTCACTATCACGAGAACACAATGGAGGTAACTTTCCCATGATTCAATTACCTCCCACCAGGTCCCTCCCATGACACGTGGGGATTATGGGAACTATAATTCAAGATGAGATTTAGGTGGGGACACAACCAAACCATATCAGATGGTCATAATTTTCTCTGCTATGCTTCTTATAAGGATGCTAATCCTATCAGATTGGGTTCCTACCCTTATCGCAAAGCAGTTTCACTGTTCATTGGTTACCACTTCAGCCCACTGCATCTTGGGCTGCAATTTCTATCACTTGTACAAGTCTGGTGAGACAGAACACTCACACAAGTTCAGCAAAGCAACTCTATTACTCACAGGTAGACAGAAAGGGACAATAGAAGCTAGGATTTGGGCCAAGCCAGTCCCCCAAGTCTCAGGGAAGCTGCCTAGGGGAGATGGAGTCTTGTCTGTGCATGACCCAAGTGTACCATAGCTAAGGGACTCTGAAAAGCAACCCATCCTGGGTTTTATACCCCAGGGGCATGTGATCACTAGGCTAAAGCATTGAAGGATATCCTCCTGTTTCCAGGAGCTTTGAAACAGAGCCCAGACTATTCTTGCCAGGATGCTGCATTCCCAGCACATTCTACATTACAGTTATTATTATTATTACTATTATTATTATTTGAGACGAAGTCTAGCTCTGCCATCCAGGCTGGAGTGCAGTGGCATGATCTCAGCTCATTGCAACCTCCACCTCCTGAGTTCAAGCGATTCTCCTGCCTCAGCCTCCCAGGTAACTGGGATTACAGGCATGCACCACTGCATCCTGCTAATTTTTGTATTTTTTTTTTAGTAGAGATGGGATTTCGCCCTGTTGGCCAGGCTGGTCTGGAACTCCTGACCTCAATTTATCCTCCCGTATCGGCCTCCCAAAGTGTCGGGATTACAGGCGTGAGCCACTGTGCCCAGCATACAGTTATTCTTGAGAAGTACAGGTGACAAAGCGGAGTGGGAGGTGTTCCTGGGAGGTACTGGGCTGATCCAAGGCCACTGGGAGAACTGTCCTGCACTTATGACCTCAATTCAACTTCATCACTTCTGCTCTCCAAAAACAGCTACACTAGAGGTTAGCACTTCAGCTATGAATTTGTGGGGCTGGAAGAGGGTGAAGACACAAACATTAAGTCCATAACACAGTCCTACTAATTTCCCTTCCCCATCTCAAAGACCCCACACCCCCATCTCATTCTCACGCTCTTGCTTCTACTCGTCACCTCTGCTCATGCTCAGGGAGTTTTTATCTCCTCTACAGCAGGAAATCTCAGCTAAGCAAATAGCCTTAGCTTCAGAAACTCAAAATCCCTTCTGCTGTGCCACTCTCCCTCAAGGCAACAGATGCTTCATTTCCGACAGCCCAAATGGAAGAGGGTCATTGGGTATAGGAAGAAAAAAGTAGAAACTACAAGAGAAAACAAAAAATTCACATGACTTGCATAGCAGCGTATTACCCCTCCATAGGAATGATCAAAGTATAATACATTGAGTAAATAATGAATGATAATTTTTATTTCCTCTAAGTTATAGAGGAGAAAAGGAAACAAGGTTTAAAATGTGAACAATCATAATACGTAAGAAAAAGCAAACTGCAGAGCAGTGAGGAGAGTGTGATCTCTCTCTTTTTTTTTTTTTCAGACAGGGTCTCACTCTGTCACCCATGCTGGAGTGAAGAGGCCCGATCATAGTTCACTGCAGCTCCAACCTCCTGGGCTCAAATGATCCTCCCACCTCAGCCTCCCAAGTCACTGAGACTCCAGGTGTGCACCACCACACCCAGCTAATTTTTTAACTTTTTATAGAGACAGTGTTTCACTATGAAAACAAATATGTTTAGATACTTTATCAGTTTATAGGAAAAAAAAAACTGAATGGGCACACAGCTTTTTCACAGTAGTTTCATCTAGAGAATAAAATTAGGGAGAGAGCATTTGAACTTTTTATTTTATACACATCTACATTTAAATAAATCTATGAAACATTTAATGTGAATAATAAAATGTTAAAACATGATGAGGAGAGATAATTAAAAGACTAGATACTTAAGATAAACGTTTATTTTGTTAAAATTCCAATAAAACAAGGCTGTGATAAAAAGACAAAAACCGACGCAGTTTGAAAGAAAATAATGAAAATGAGAAGTTATAACAATTATCCATTCAAAGTTAAAAATTAAAAAGCACGCTGAGATGAAATGTCAAAGATGTAACAATGAGAAAGGCAGTATAAGGTACATTAAACAAAAAAGGTGTTAGAGAAAATATGAAAACAAAGACCACGGTTTGGAGACATAAAGAAAGCCAGGGAAGCCATTCATTAGAAGCAGCTAAGACTGAAGCTTTGTTAACACGATTTTTGTCTGGCTTCCCTAGTAAAAAGTCTCCTGTGTCAGAATTACTTGTTTTTGTCCCCAAAGCACCATCAGCCTCTCTATTTTCACTCATAGCCCCCGTGGCTCCAACTTCCACCTCTAGCTGACTTTTGGGGGCATCCACTTGTGAGCACAGGGTGCAGCTCCTTACAGCCACAAAACCACACTCAGGCCGGGCACAGTGACTCACACCTGTAATCCCAGAACTCTGGGAGGCCTTGGTGGGAGGATTGCTTGAGTCCAGGTGTTTGAGATCAGCCTGGGCAACATAGCAAGACCCCCATCTCTACCAAAAAAACAACAAAATGTAACAATTAGCCTGGCATGGTAGCATGCACCTGTAGTCTCAGCTACTTGGGAAGCTGAGGTTGGAGCTCGGGAGGTCAAGGTTGCAGTGAGCCATGATTGCACCATTGCACTCCAGCCTGGGTGACACAGCAAGACTGTCTCTAAAAAGAAAAAACAAAACACACTCACCTTGGCTAAGCACAGTTGACCCCAGGGGTCCTGAACCAGAGAGATGCAATTCTGTCCCTTGCAACGGAATCAGCTTTGTAGAACTTTCTGGAATCTTAGCTCACAGAAGGAATGTACCTCCACCCTCCCCGGAGCAAAGCAGAACTGCGTTGAAATTCCAGGTTACTTCTCTAAACCTCCATTTCCTCTTTTGTCAAGTGGAGGAAGTAAGAGCCCACCTCATAGAACTGTTATGGAGACCAAATACCCATAAGGAGAATTGGAAAACCTTCAGATGAGAACACTTGTCTCCTTTTGCAAAGGAATAGAATGAGGTTTGAAGATTTGTCCATCACACAGCAAATACATTTAACTCAATATCCTCTCTCTCCAGGGCATGTTCCTTTATGCTAGTCTTGGTTTGGGGATTACATTTTTTGTTTGTTCGTTTTCTTCAAGGGACATTTTTGGTTGCATGTCTTCAAAGTTGTTGAGGAGCAGAGATTTCCAGAGACGGGCTGATACCTGCCCCAGAGAACAATCTTTAGGATCAGTTGAGTTCCCTGAAATTGGAATAGAAGTTCAGCTTCCACTCAAGTGGACTTCTGTAGCATTAAATGAAAGAAAGATTTGGCTGGGCCTGGTGGCTTATGCCTGTAATCCCAGCACTTTGGGAGACCACGGCGGGTGGATCAGGAATTCAAGACCAGTCTGGCCCACATGGCTAAAACTCATCTCTACTAAAAATACAAAAATTAGCTGGATGTGGTGGCAGGTGCCTGTAATCCCAGCTACTTGGGAGGCTGAGGCAGGAGAATCTCTTGAACCCAGGAGGTGGAGGTTGCAGTGAGCTGAGATCGCACCATTGCACTCCAGCCTAGGCAACAGGAGTGAAACTCCATCTCAAAAAAAAAAAAAAAGAAAGAAAAGAAAAGAAAGAAGGATTCATGTATCTTCCCCTTTCATTTTGCTGTCATTCATGTTTCCTTATTTAAAGACATAAACTGAAAGATTAGAAGGGCAATGTAAAAGAATCACCTTTTTGTAAAATGAATTAAAATGATATAGAATACTAAAAATTGACCAAATAGCCATTAGGTAATTAGGGCCTGCCACTCCCACCCCTACCCCAACCCAAGGCTGCTTAAAATCCTCTAATACCTAGTTTTAAAAGCTGATAATGGAATTAACAAGCAAGAAAGGGGAGCCAAGAGGTGGAAAGTGTGGGCTTGAAAACTATTGATGTCCTATCTGAGTCGCCTGAGCCAGTTACCCCTGAAATGGTCCATTACGTGAGCCAATATTTCATTTTTAAGCCAGTTTGCTTGTTTTTCTGTCTGTTGCAATGGAAAAAATATAAATTAAAAATGTAAATATAAATACACCCATCCTCCCCACCTCTTCCTGCAAATGTTTCCAGGCTTAACTTGCCTGCCTCAAAGAGTGCATTCTCCCCACAACCATTGCCTTAACTTGGAGAAGAGTGAAGATAAAATCCCTGTAGTTTCAAATATATTCTCTTTCTTTGGTGTATCCCAAAGCCAATCAAGGCCATTGAACCATCCAGCTAGTGATTTACCAACCATAATGAGGATGGAAATCCAGGCTGTATTCTAGGGGTAATGGTTAGTTGTTGCATTATAATTCAAATAACACATGGTGAAGTCTCTAAAATATAATTAGCCAGCCTTCATATAATTGGTTCACCTTCATGGTTTATTCTTTGTCCAGTGGACGACTAGCCCCATCTATCAAATGGCAAGGCACTTCCCACTTGTGTGTCCCTAGGAATTCTCAACATGAGATGGTTGTCTCACATGTAAGATGGACTTCCACATGCAGCCTGGGAGTCATTGCACCAACCCTGGTCCTCACCATTCCCTGTCCCCTTTGCTGCTACAGATTGGCCACTGCCAGCCCCAGTTCATCGTCCTGTTGATAGACAGCTCAGCCACCCCTCCAGAGGCCCCTCCACCCTTCACCACCAATGCCTCTCTTCACTCTGGCTTTGTTGCTGCTGACTGTATAAGCAACTTGACACTTCTGCTTGCCTCTGTGTCTCTCACTGGCTGGTAGGGAAATGCCTGCCTCTTACCATCCAGACTTTTACAAGATGGATTGCCTTCACTCAGAGGTTCAGGGCCAGGTGCAGTGGCTCATGCCCATATTGTCAACACTTTGGGAGGCTGAGATGGGAGGATTGCTTGAGCCCAAGAGTTCGAGACCAGCCTGGGCAACATAATGAGGCCCCATCTGTTAAAAAAGAGAAAAAAAACGTGGTTCAAGCCCTTAATAGTATTGGCTTAAAGTCAAGAGACCTATAAATTTTTAAATGAGGACTTCATTTCTTGAGAAGGATTGCAACCTGCAGGTTGGGAAGCAGAGCGTCCAGTGGAGACCAAAAGCAGGCGCTTTAATAGAGGAAGGGTGGGACAGGAGTTTTATGCTAAATGGGTTGGCTGAACATATATATTTAAGAGGTTATGGGGAAGCTACGCATATTCATGAAAGGGGTTGTAGGCATGCATGCTAAGCAAACATACATGTTACATGCATCCCATGTTCACTCTGGGGTAGAGAGTTAACATTAAAATGCAGTAAAATTTGGCTTTATACATCAAAAGGTGAAACACAGGACACAAAGTCATTTTGTGTGCAGCCTCCATAAAATGGCCAGAACCAGTCCGTGGTCGGTGGTCATTTATCAGGAAGGAATGCTTTATGAATCTGGTCAGCTGCCATGTCAAAAACACAAAAAGGGAGGGAAAAGGGAGGGGACTCTGGCCATGGTGCCAGGCAGCTTGTTGAAGTTGAAAGTTGGAGTCAATGGAGAAATCTTCTTTTTTTTTTTTTATTTTTCTTTTTTTGCAGGGCTGGTTTTTGTTTAATTCTTAGGAAAAACCGTTTGGTATCAGCTAGTAAAGAAGAGAGTAGACCAACTTCCTGTTATCATAGCTGGGAAAATTAGTTTTTAATGTTTTTTGGGGGGGTTTCTTTGGCCAAGTGGGGTTCATTCAGTCAGATGGGAGCTAAGGATTTTATTTTTATTTCACATTGACATAGTTATTTTATTTTACCACTTGACTCTTCTGGGAGGGTCCTCAATGTAGAGGCTGACACAGTTCCTCTAATGTCACCTCAGCCTCTTCCTTCCCAGGAAGCACAAGCACTCTAACCTGCCTAGACCCAGAATCTCCTCCTTCTCAAACTCTGAACCTTGCACGGAGCCCAGACCCCAGTACCAGACTGTTCCCCCTGGAATAGGGTGATGGTTGTCTGGAGGGTTTCTGTAGTCCCTCCTGATATGGTTTGGCTCTGTGTCCCCACTCAAATCTCATCTCAAATTGTAATCCCCATGTATTGATGGAGGGACCTGGTAGGAGGTGATTGGATTGTAGGTGGTTTCCCCCATGATGTTTTCATGATAGTGAGTGAGTTCTCATGAGATCTGATGGCTTAAAAGTGGCAGTTTCCCCCCGTGCTCTCTCTCTCCTGCTGCCATGTAAGACATGCCTTGCTTCCCCTTTATTTTCCCCTATGATTGTAAGTTTCCTGAGGCCGCCCCAGTTATGTGGAACTGTTAATCAATTATACCTCTTTTCTTTATAAATTACCCAGGCTCAGACAGTACCTTTATAGCAATGTGAAAATGGACCAATACATCTTCCTATAGGCAAGTTTCCATCAGGGCCATCCCAAGTTCATTAGACAAGTCTGAATATGTGTTAAACCCAAATTGCAAATTGACCTTGCCTTCTGGGACCCAAACAGATGAGGTCGAAGGAATGAATCGGGTGTCCACAAGCATTACATACAGTTAGGGCAGCTCTATTTCCCAACACTTACAGAAAGACCTCCAAGATAATAGTATCTAACTGCACAGAACAGAATATTTGAGTGCTAGTGAAGATGCCCTGTTACATACACATAGACACACACACACACACTCAAACACACACACACACCACTCTTTACATGACATTTGGGACTGAATGAAAATACAAATAGTTTTGTGTCTTATTTTCTTAATAATATGCTATGATTTGTTGGGGCTGGGTGCAGTGGCTCACACCTATAATTCCAGCACTTTGGGAGGCCGAGGCAGGTGGATCACTTGAGGCCAGGAGTTCAGACCAGCCTAGGCAACATGGCAAAACCCTGTGTCTACTAAAAATACAAAAATCAGCTGAGTGTGGTGGTGCATGCCTGTAGTTCCAGCTACTCAGGAGGCTGAGACACGATACTCGCTTGAACCTGGGAGACAGAGGTTGCAGTGAACCAAGATCATGCCACTGCACTCCAGCCTGGGCGACAGAGCAAGACTCTGTCTCAAAAAAAAAAAAAAAAAGCTATGATTTGTTATTAAACACTTATTTCTACCTTGTTATTAAACATTTATTCAAAAATTCATTTTATTACATTGGATAGGTGTACCATAATGTATTTTTTTCACTTCTTTTTTTTTTTTTTTAAGACATGGTCTTACTCTCTTACCCAGGCTGGAGTAAAGTGGTGTTATCACAGCTTACTGCTGCAGCCTTGGCCTCCTGAGGTCAAGCAATCCACTCCTGCTTCAGCCTCCCAAAATGCTGGGATTACAGGTGTGAGGCACCATGCCTGGTCTTTTTTTTTTTTTTTTTTTACTTCTTATTGGGAATATTTCTTATTCCTTGCTCTTATGACAGCATGACTGATGAACAGTTATATATAATCTCTTATTATGTCCTTGTTTGTTTCCTCAGGATAGATTCCTAGAAGTGGAATTGCTGGACCAAAGGGTATAGGCTTTTTCCAGACTCTTGGTATATATTGCCAAATTGCTTTCCAGAAGGTTTTCCAAGTTTACACCTCCAATCAGGAAAGGGTGGATCTTACTTCAACTTCTTCAAAACTGAGTACTACGTGATTAGTTTTCCTTTATTCTTTTCTTTTGATTCATTTTTCTTTAATCTTTGCCTATTCAAAGATTAAAGGAATAAAATGTTTCTTGTTATTTGAATATGTGTTTATTTCAATACAAGCAAGATTAAACAATTTTATTATAATTACTATCTATTAGTGAGCACACCAAGAATTTATGTCTTTACTAATTTTTCATATTTAGATATTTCTGGAGATTTTCTTATTGAATTGCCAGATTACTTTTGATATTAAAGATTTTGTTTGTTTGTTTTTTGAGACAGGATGTCACTCTGTCACCCAGGCTGGAGTGCAGTAATGCAAACACAGCCCACGGAAACCTTTACCTCCTAGGCTCAAGCAGTTCTCCCACCTCAGCCTCCCGTGTAGCTGGCATCACAGACATGCACCATCACACCCAGCAAATTTTTTTATTTTTTGTAGAGGTGGGGTCTCACTTTGTTGCCCAAGCTGATCTTGCGGGCTAAAGCTATCCTCCCACCTCAGCTTCCCAAAGTGCTGGGATTACAGGCGTGAGCCACCACACATGGCCTTAAAGGCTTTTTTTCACAATGCTTTTTGTATTTTCATTTTGCTTAACACATTTGATTCACAGACATTTAAAGAATAATGTAGCAAAATCAATCATTTCCTCTAAAATTTCTTCTATTATTTTATGTTTAACGGGGTTCTCCTTGTTCCCTTACAATTTTACTAAACATGGTTTTGAATTTTATGGAGTAAAACCCAAGGGTATTCTCCTTCATGGAGTTTTTTTTTCCTGTTATGCTGAAAAAGGCTCTCATCCTCCCCAAGATCTGATAAAATAATCACTACACACATTTTCTCACATCTCTTTCATGTTTTCATTTTTTATGATTAGCTTTTCTTGGATAAATTAAAATTTATAACATTTTATTATAAAAATAGCATTTGTGACAAAAACATATGCATTAAATGATATTTAGGGAAATTTTAGTAAATAAAAAAGAAAAGAAATGGCATGTAAAATCTCAATAATGAGATTTTTTTTTTTTTTTTTTTAGATTCAAAGTCTCACTCTGTTGCCCAGGCTACTAGAATGCAGTGACATAATCATAGCTCACTGCAGCCTCAAACTCCTGGGCTCAAATTATTCTCCCACCTAGGACTACAGGTGCATGCCACCATGGCCTGCTATTTTGTTTTAAATTTTTTTGTAGAGACAGGGTCTCACTATGTTGCCCAAGCTGGTCTCAAACTCCTGGCCTCAAGCAATCCTCATGCCTCAGCCTCCTACAGTGCTGGGATTATAGGCATGAGCCACTGCACCTGGCCAGAGCACATATCACTTTAATGATTTTTTATAATACAGTAAACCTTTTGGGGCTCCCTAATTCCTTCAGGCATTCTTATCTTGGTACACTATACAAAGGCCTTCTCCTTTTTTTTTTTTTTTTTTTTTGAGATGAGTCCTCACTACATTGCCCAGGCTAGTCTTGAACTTCTGGCCTGAACGAATCCTCCTATCTCAGCCTCCCAAGTAGCTGGGATTGCAAGTGTGTGCCACTGCTCCCAGCTTACAAATCCTTTCTTAAATTTGTCTTCTTTCTTCTTTAACTGCACAAGGCACTTCTGCATCAGTTGTCGGAACTATTGCTGGAACAGACGTATAGGGACCTGATGCTCCTTGATACTTCAATTTTTTTAAAGATCCATTTTCTTTCTCCTAGTGCAAAGTTTCTCAACCTTGGTACTATGGACATATTGGCCCAGATAATTGTGGGGAGCTGTCGTGTGCACTGTAGGATGATGAGCAGTACCCCTGGACTCTACTCACTAGATTCCAGCAGCACACCCACCCCAAGTTGTAACAACCAAAAATATCTCCAAACATTACCTACTGCCTGTAGAGGAGGGGAAGGGAAGGGAAGAGGAGGGAGGGGTCAACCCCCCACTGAGAATCATCATCACACAGTGACAAACCCTCCACTCCATCCACAAGGATCTCAGCTGCCTGCATCACTCCTACTTAATTCTCTGAGACTCAGGTCAAGCCTTCCCTCTGCCTGAAATTGTTCCCTGACCTTCCCAAGTGAGCAAGCTGTATCACATCCCACAAAAGTGGGTGCAACCCTCTCTTTTTTCCTCTCTTATTGAACTGTCTTATAATCTTGAGTTTTGTCTGTTTCCCCCACTTGACCTTATGAACATCCCCCAAACACGGTACATAATAAGTGTTTGTAGAGTATATACAAAAGTCCTACAGCCTGTGTAGCCTATGGCAATCCCATATGAAATGTCATTTGTCTGTACATGGGAGATGGGACACAGAGAGTGAAACAGTGGAACTTTCTAGGTTCAATAGAGCAGGTACCTTGACCAGCATCAGGGCCACAAAATTATAACTACATATCTGCATTTTATCTCTGTGATGGCAACATCCTATGGGGATCTATAAATTGGATTTAGCCACCACCATCACCTCTTTCTAAAGCCAGGCCACCCTGTATTCACCCAGGTATTAGTCAGTGTTCTCTAGTGGGATAGAACTAATAGGATAGATGTACATATGAAGGGGAGTCTTTTAAGGAGTATTGATTCACATGATCACAATGTGAAGTCCCACAATGGGCCGTCTACAAGCTGAGGAGCCAGGAAGCCAGTCCGAGTCCCAGAGCTGAAGAACCTGGTGAACTTGATGTTCCAGCATGGGAGAAAGATGTAGGCTGAGAGGCTAAGCCAGTCTAGTCTTCTCACGTTCTTCTGCCTGCTTTTATTCTGGCCAAGCTGGCAGCTGATTAGATGGCACCCACCCAGCTTGAAGGTGGGTCTGCCTTTCCCAGTCCACTGACTCAAATGTGAATCCCCTTTGGGAACACCCTCACAGACACACCCAGGAACAATACTTTGCATCCATCAATCCAATCAAGTTGACCCTCAATATTAACTATCACAACCCAGTTGTAGGCATAAGAGCTGGACAATAAGATCACGAGACTTTCCCTCCACCTTGTGTGATAAGAAAGAAGTTGCCTGCCAATCAACAAGTGGAAAAAAACCCCAGGCAATAACTCCTTACAGACATGGCTTGCAAGACCACACCTTGGTTTAACAGGGCAATGAAACTGCCTTGCTACAAGCCTGATACAATGGCATTCCATGAAATCAGATGTTATCAAAGATCCATGGAACCCATGAACATACTTTCCTAGGTCTGGTGCAAACAGTGGCCCTGGGCATCACACCAGATTTGGGCTTCTGGGAAGATGACATTGATGCTTTGGGGGAGGCAAGTGAGGCCTACCGGTCTTCTTGTTTGAAGATTCCATCCTGGTACCACCCATGTCAAACGAGTAACTACCATGCCCCAAAACAACCAGACAGCCTGCTACATACTGGACGCCATGCTTAAGTTCCAGTACAATAAGAAACATTTCCTTGCCAAGCCAATAAAAATACCTTTTTCTCCCTCTGCTATTATCAGAAATCTGAACTTAATACTGTTTTTTTTCCAAGAGGGTAAAAGCAATCTTAGTATAATGACAGGTCATGGAAAAATAGGAGACATAAATAGATATTGACAAATTATTTTTTCTTTCCATTTTCATTTGTGTGGGGATTTTTCATGCAAAACAGGGACATAAAGTATTTGTGCAAGTCAAAATGTTTACTGAACAATTTTATAATAATCACAAATAGACCAGTTAAGTATTTTCTAGACCATGCCAGCATTTGGATTTTTTTTAAACAGGTAACTTTTTTAAATCAGTGACAACTAAATGATGTTTAGAGCATGTTAAATGTATAGTAGAATCCATTAATTCCCCTTTTTTTTTTTTTTTTTTTTTTTTGAGATGGAATCAGCTCTTGCCTGGGCTGGAGTGCAGTGTCATAATCTCACCTCACAGCAGCCTCCACCTCCTAGCTTCAAGCAATTATCCTGCCTCAACCTCCTGAGTAGCTGGGATTACAGATGTGTGCCACCAGGCCTGGCTAATTTTTGTATTTTTAGTAGAGACGGGGTTCACCATGTTGGCCAGGCTGGTCTCGAACTCCTGACCTCAAAAGATCAGCCCACCTGGGCCTCCAAAAGTGCTGGGATTACAGGCATGAGTTACTGCATCTGACCCCCCCCTTTTTTTTTTTTTTAAAGCAAATTATCCTACATGTAAGTACATGTATTTTAATGAACTTCCCTGTTGTTCCTGGGGATTTATTATTAAAATGCACTGAACTACTTATTTTTAATGCTACTAAGGGGCTGGATATTTTTATTTTACTAATTAACTGAAGCCCTATGAGGTTTTTTGGGATTTGTTTTTGTTTTTTGGTTTTGAGACTGAGTCTCGCTCTGTCACCCAGGCTGGAGTGCAGTGGCGTGATCTCGACTCACTGCAACCTCCGACTCCCAGCTTCAAGGGATTCTTGAGCCTCAGCCTCTCGAGTAGCTGAGATTACAGGAATGCACCACCACATCCAACTAATTTTTGTATTTTTAGTAGAGACACGGTTGCACCATGTTGGCCAGGGTGGTCTTAAACTCCTGCCCTCAAGAAATCCCTCAACTTGGCCTCCCAAAGTGTTGAGATTACAGGTTTGTGCCACTGTGCCCGGCCCCCGTGAGGTTTAAGATAGTAGTTTGAGTCCAGGTGCAGTGGCTCCCACCTGTAATCCCAGCACTTTGGGAAGCCGAGGTGGAAGGATCACTTGAGCTCAGGAGTTTAGAGACCAGCCTGGACAACATAGTGAGACCCTGACTCTACCAAAAAACAATAACAACAGAGAATTTTTTTAAAAAAGACAAGAGTTTGCAAACTATAACGCACAGGTAAATCACCTGGGAGTCTTGTTAAAATGCAGATTCTGGCACCACAGGTCAGAAGTGAGGCCTGAGAATCTGCATTTTGAACAAGCTCCCTGGTGAAGCTGACCTGCTGGTCTGGGGACCACACTTTGAGAGTGAGAGTTTGCCATTATCAAACCCACAGAGCCCATTTACATCCTGGCAGGGATTAGAATCCAAGCCTCCAGGTAATCTAGTTATTGTTCATCTATCCCACATAGACCTTAGGAAGGTAACGATAAAATTCATCATCCCTGCTGGGTGTGGTGGCTCACGCCTGTAATCCCAGCACTTTGGGAGGCTGAGGCAGATGGATCACCTGAGGTCAGGAGTTCAAGACCAGCCTGGCCAACACGGTGAAACCCCATCTCTAGTAAAAATACAAAAAATTAGCCGGGCATGGTGGGGGGCGCCTGTGATCCCAGCTACTTGGGATGCTGAGGCAAGAGAATCACTTGAACCCGGGAGGCAGAGGTTGCAGTGAGCCAAGATCGTGCCGTTGCACTCCAGCCTAGTGACAGAACAAGACTTCATCTCAAAAAAAAAAAAAGAAAAAAGGAAAAAAATTCATCATCCCAAATGTGACTTCTTGTAATAAGGAAAAAGGAGGTGCCGTTAATGATTCCTGGGGCCAGAGCAGGACTGTTTAAAGCAAATAGAGACTTATGGTTACGTTGCCAGTAAAAGAAGTAGAGATTAACTTCAAATGAACAAATTATTAAGCATTTTAAAATATCTATTGGGAGGAAATGCAGTGCTTACTCTAGGAGGAAGTTAATCAGCAATATGTTGCAATTGCTAGAGATGTTCAGAAGCAGTAAACAAGGAGGGAGGATAAGAGGGATAGATTTAATTTCTGTAGTTGTTCAAAAGGCTATTGATAAGGTTCTCCAGGAAAGGCTGATAAAGATGAGTCACCAGAGGATGGAAGGAATGTTTCCTCGTGATAGGAAAGTGACTTAGAGCCTGGAAACAAAGGCAAGGGACGAACAAGCACTTATCTACGCTAGGGTGGGTGGCAAGCCTGCCACAACGCTGGGGGGAAAGGAGGGGAGATGGGATGGGCTATAAGCTGAGAATGTGCACTTGCTTTCATTTAAGGCAATGAGTGCATTTACAAGGCAGTTTCAAGGTGTTGCAGTTTAGGAGCGAGTGAATGGGAGGCTGGAATAAATGCCAGATGAGATAATACCTTGAATAGAACTGACTCTTCTACTCAAAGAACAACTAACTTCGAGGCAAATGCAATTAAAAATAAAATGCTTAGGTTGTCAGTTTGGGTGAATGTTGGAATGAAATGGATGACTAAGGGAAATACACTACGCAGAAATCGCAACAGAAGAGCACAGTTTAAACCGGAGGGTCTCTGGTTTAAGCCTGAGGCTGCAGATCACCATTGCTTGGGGAATGTCTGCAAATTGCCAAGGTCTGGGCTCCACGCTGGACCTGCTGCATCAGAATCTTAGAAGGGGGATGGACTCAGGCATCTGTGTTGTGCAGGGAGAAACACTCCACTGGAGATTCTGATGCACAGCGAGGAATGAATCCCAATGAGTTGGCTTATTAGAATGATGCGGAAAGACTCATATTTGTCAACCAAAGAAAAATGTTTCTCAGTTAGTTAATGGAACATAATAGCATGGTACATAGTTCTTAATATTCATTTTTCTTCAACAATTTATTGAGAAATAGAATGCAAATACAGAAAAGAACACAAAACACAAATATACAACTTACCAGATTGTATAAACACCTGTGAAACCCCCAACAGATTAATAAATAAGGTTATTGCCAGCACCCCATGAGTCCCTTAGGTACCCCTTCTCAATTACACACCCCTATCTACCCTCCAAAGTAACAACAATCCTGGCATTTTAAAGACTCAATTCCTTGTTTTGCCTTCTAGTTTCACCTCCTCAAGATGCTCCCTCAACAATATCGTCTCATTTTTCATGCTTTTGAACTTTTTATAAATAGGAGTACATATTTTATGTCCGATTTCTTTCATTCAATACTTTTCAAAGACTTATCTATGTTCTTGTTTGTACCTGGGCTCTTTCATTCTCTCTTTTTTTATTATTTTACTTGTTTATTTTTTTGAGACAGGGCCTTGCTCTGTCACCCAACCTGAGTGATATGGTTTGGCTGTGTCCCCACCCAAATCTCATCTTGAATTGTAACTCTCATAATTCCCGTGTGTCATGGGAGGGACGCTGTGGGAGGTAATTGAATCATGGAGGCAGATCTTTCTCGTGCTGTTCTCATGATAGTGCATAAGTCTCGTGAGATCTGATGGTTTTATAAAGGGCAGTTTCCTGGCACATGCTCTCTTGCCTGCCGCCCTGTAAGACATGATTTTGCTCCTCCTTCACCTTCTACCATAATTGTGAGGCCTCCTCAGCCACGTGGAACTGTGAGTCCATCAAACCTCTTTCCTTTATAAATTACCCAGTCTCAGGTATGTCTTTATTAGCAGCGTGAGAACAGACTAAAATCCTGAGCATGGCTCACTGCAGCCTCCACATCCTGGGCTAAAAAGATCCTCCCATCTCAGCCTCCCAAGTAGCTGGGACCACAAGCACACACCACCACACCTGGCTAATTTTTTAAATTTTTTTGTAGAGATGGGGTATATTAGTCCATTCTCACACTGCTATGAAGAAATACCTGAGACTGGGTAATTTATAAAGAAAAGAGGTTTATTGGCTCATGGTTCTGTAGGCTCTACAGGAAGCATGGTGGGGGAAGCCTCAGGAAACTTACAATCATGACAGAAGGTGAAGTGGAAGTAGGCTTGTCTTATGTGGCCAGAGCAGGAAGAAGAGAGAGAAGGGGGAGGTGCCACACACTTTTAAACAACCAGATCTCATGAGAACTCACTATCACAAGAACAGCAAGGGGAAAGCCTGTCCCCATGATCCAATCACCTCCCACCAGGCCTCTCCTCCAACACTGGGAATTACAATTTGACATGAGATTTGAGGAGGGACACACATCCAAACCATATCATGGGGTCTCGCCATGTTGCCCAGACTGGTCTTGATCTACTGGCCTCAAGCAATCCTCCTGCCTCAGCCTCCCAAAGTGCTGGGATCACAGATGTGAGCCACTGCACCTGGCCCCTTTTACTCTCAATATTATAGAGTAATGGTCAGAAAACTGTGGCCCCTGTGCCAAATCCAGTTCCCCATCTGTTTTGTAAATAAAGTATAATTGAAATATAGCCATGCTTATTCATTTCCCTATTCTCTGTGGCTGCTTACATACTACAACAGCAGAGTTGACTAGGTATGACAGAGACTGTACAGCCCTTAAAGCCTAAAATATTGACTCTCTGGCCCTTAACAGAACAAATCTTCCAACCCTTGCTGTATAACATTTTATTGTACAAATACAATTGACCCTTGAACAATGCACGAGGTTAGGGATACCAACACCCCACACAGTCAAATATCTGCATATGCTTTTGACTTCCCCAAAACTTAACTACTTACAGCCTACTGTTCACCAGAAGTATTAACTGATCATTAACAGTTGATTAACACATATTTTGCATGTTATTTTTATCACATACTGTACACTTACAATCAAGTAAGCTTAGGGAAAAGAAAATGATATTAAGAAAATCATAAGAAAGAGAAAATGTATTTACTGTGGAAGTGGATCAAGGAAGATGGTCTTACCATCTCAGGGGTAGCAGAGGTAGAAGAAAATCTGCATATAAGTGGACCCAGAAAATGTGCATATTAAGTGGACCCACATAGTTTAAACTCGTGTTGTTCAAGGCTCAACTGCTACCAAAACTTATTTATCCATTCCATTACTGATGGATATGTGGATGGTTTCCAATTTGAGGCTACTACAAACATTCCTGCTATGAATATTCATGTGCATGTCTCCTGTGCACAGGATCATGCACTATATACCTAGAAGTGGAACTGTGAGATCATATAATAGGCATAGCTTTAAAACTGTAGATATTGCCACCTGGTTATACATTGCAAAATGGTTTTTCCAATTTCCTTTTCCACTAGCACAAAATGAGCATTCCTGTGGCTCCATGACCTTATCTACACCAAGTATAGTGTTTAGTGCTCTCTCATTGCGTTTAGTGTTATCTCATTGTATTTCTTAACTATTGCTTCAAAACAAATTATCCCAGAACTTAGTGCTTAAAATACCAGACACATAATCTCACATAGTTTCTTTGGGTCAGGAATCTAGGAATGGCTTAGCTGGGTGGTTTGGGCTTAGGCTGTCTCATGAGCTTGAAATCAAGATGTTGGGCAGAACTGCAGCAAATCCTCATGTCGTCTTCTGAAGGCTCAACTGGGCTAGAGGACCTATTTCCAAACTCACTGACGTGGCCGCTGGCTGGAGGCCTCAGTTACATGCCCCATAATCCTCTGTGGAGAGCTGTTTGTCACATGACAGCTGGCTTCCCCCAGAGCAACTGATCTGTGAGAGAGAGAAAGAGAGAATGAGAAATCAAGGTGGTTTCTTTTATGACCTCAACTCAGGAGTGACATACCACCACATCTGCCATATTCTGTTGATCACACAAACCAACTGTAGTGCAATATGGGAGGGTGTGAACACAAGGTGGCAGGGATCACTGGGAGCCATCCTGAAGTCTGGCTAGCACATTCATTGTGGTGTTCGTTTGCTTTTCGCTGATTACTAATATGTGGAGCACCTTTTCATTTGTGTTGGCCATCAGAATTTCTTCTTTTGTAAGTATTTTGGTCATTTTTTCTGTGGAGCTGTATGAGTGCTTGAGTGTTTGGGGTTTTTGTTTTGTTTTTTTTGTTTTGTTTTGTTTTTTGTTTTTTTTTTTTGAGACAGAGCCTTGCTCTGTCACCCAGGCTGGAGTGCAGTGGCACAATCATGGCTCACTGCAGCCTCCACCTTCCACTCAAGCATTTCTCCTGCCTCAGCCTCCCAAAGAGCTGAGACCACAGGCAGGCACCATTCCTGGCTAATGTTTTATTTTTTGTAGAGATGGGGTCTTCCTATGTTGCCTAGGCTGGTCTTGAACTCCTGGATTCAAGTGATCCTCCTGCCTCGGCCTCCCAAAGTGCTGGGATTACAGGCATGAGCCACCACTCCTGTCCTGTAAGAATACTTTTTTTTTTCTAGAGATGAAGTTCTGCTATATTGCCCAAGCTCAAGCTGAAGTACAGTGGCTAATCACAGGTGTGATCATGGTGCACTACAGTTCAAACTCCTGGGCTCAAATGATCCTCCTGCCTCACTCTCCTGATTAGCTGGGACCACAAGCACATAGCAACATGCCCAGCCTAGGTAGTACTTTTTATATTCTGCATATAAAGCCATTGTTCATGTGTTTTACAAACATTTTCCACCATGTGGCTTACCTTTTCACTTTTTTTTTTTTTAATTAGTGTCTCACTATGTTGCCCGGGCTGGTCTTGAACTCCTGGCCTCAAGCTATCCTCCTGCCTTGGCTTCCCAAAGTGCTGGGACCATTTCACTTTCTTAATCATGTATTTTTTTATATATTATTATTTTTTTTTCTTTGAGATGGAGTTTCGCTCTTGTCACCCAGGCTGGAGTGCCATGGCATGATCTCAGCTCACTGCAACCTCCGCCTCCCGGGTTCAAGCAATTCTTCTGCCTCAGCCTCCCGAGTAGCTGGGATTACAGGCATGCATCACTACACCCAGCTAAGTTTGTATTTTTAGTAGAGACGGGGTTTCACCATGTTGGCCAGGCTGGTCTGGAACTCCTAACCTCAGGTGATCTGCCCGCCTCGACCTCCCAAAATGCTGGGATTACAGGTGTGAGCCACCACGCCCGGCCCTTAATCATTTCTTTTAATAAGCAGAAGTTCTTAACTTGAACATAGCCAAATTTATTGACCTCTTCATTTATAATTGGTGATTTGTATATTCTTTAAGAAATCTTTCTGTATCATGAGGTCAGGAAGACATTTTCTCATGTTGTCATCTAAACACTTTATTATTTTGCCTTCCAAAAAATAGGTCTATTATCTTCCTGGAATAGATTTTTGTGTAAGTATGATGTAGGTGTCCAATTTTATTTCTGCTCCATATTGATATCCAATTTTCTCTATACCATTTACAAAAAAGACTGTCCTTTCTTAAAGTTCTGCTGAGTCCCTCTTGTGATAAATCAACTGTCCATATATTGAGTCTGTTTCTGGGCTTCCTTTTCTGCTATATTGCTCTATTTGTCTTTGTTTTTCTAGGCTTTTTTATTTATTTATTTTTTATTTTGGGACAGGGTCTCCCTCTGTCACCCATACTGGAGTGCACGGCTCACTGCAGCCTCGAACTCCTGGACTCAAGCAATCCTCCCACCTCAGTCTCCCAGTTACCTGGGATTACAGACGCATGCCATCACGCCCAGCTGATTGTTGTATTTTTAGTAGTGACACAGAGTTTTACCATGTTGGCCAGGCTTATCAACCAATTTTTTTTTTTTTTTTTTTTTTTTTTTTTGTGATTAAGTGTCTCTCTGTCACCCAGGCTGGAGCACAATGGCACGATCTCGGCTTACTGCAACCTCCACTTCCCAGGTTCAAGTGATTCTCCTGCCTCAGCCTCCCAAATATCTGGGACCACAGAAATGCGACACCACGCCTGGCTAATTTTTTTTTTATTTTTAGTAGAGACAGGATTTCACCATGTTGGCCAGGCTGGTCTAGAACTCCTGACCTCAGGTGATCTGCCTGCCTCAGACTCCCAAAGTGCTGGGATTACAGGCGTGAGCCACCGCACCTGACCTAATTTTTGATATTTTTCACAGACAAGATTTTGCCATGTTGCCCAGGTTCATTCTAACACTACACCTTGTTATTACCATAGCTTTATCATAATAAGTCTTAATATTTTTTACAGCAAGTCCTCCAGTCATGTTTCCAAGAAACAGAGAAAAGAGTAATGCAACTCTTGGCCTTAGAATGGCTGATCTGGTTGGCTGGGCACAGTGGCTCACGCCTGTAATCCCAGCACTTTGGGAGGCCGAGGCGGGGGGATTGTCTGAGGTCAGGAGTTCGAGACCAGCCTGGCCAACATAGTGAAACCCCACCTCTACTAAACATACAAAAAATTAGCTGGGTGTGGTGGCAGGCGCCTGTAGTCCAGTTACTCGGGAGGCTGAGGCAGGAGAATCGCTTGAACCCAGGAGGTGGAGGTTGCAGTGAGCCGAGATCGCACCATTGCAATCAAGCCTGGGCAACAAGAGCGAAACTGTCTCAAAAAAAAAAAAAAAAAAAAAGAAAAGAGTGGCTGATCTGATGAGGGATATACAGTCTCTGTCTTTAGGAGTCCCTAAATCCTGGTATTCTTTTACAACCTAAATTAAATCCTACCTTGTCCATGACAACTTCTCCAGGCAGAGAATCCCTCATCTGACCACACCTGATAATGTGGATTCTGTCTCCGTCAAGTAGGTAACCACACATGCTACCATATAACTTAATTCCCGTAGCTGCTACATTTTCCACTCAAAGACAGGAATGGCGTTTTAGTAAAGGATTTTATGGTATTCATTTTTGTGCATCTAACACAGAACCTACATGCAGTAGATGCTTAATAAATAAATATATAATTTTTCATTATTTGAATTGTGATTTATTGTCTATGCTAGGCACCAGAACGAATGAATGAATGTTCATTTCCAAGACAAACAAGAATAATCTCCAACAACATACAAACTTAAGATCCTAATCAGGGTTCATCCACAGGAATAGAGCTAAATATCACTTGCTAAATGATAATGTGGTATTCAACTAGCTCCATGTATCCTTTCAATGGCTCCTGCAGCTCTTCAAGTCCAAGAATTAAAGCCCTATTTGTGATCACCAGCAAAGATGCAAAAGCCCCTTGAACACCCTGCACACACATCTCCTCTATTGTTTGTCACACATACAGATACCCAGTTTATTACGAGGTCTGAACTCAGTGAAGGTATAAACACGAAAGCAGTTTCATTTTTCTCCAACTACTCACTACCTTTAACTACACAGTTGACCCAGTTGACCCCTGAACAGCATGGATTTGAACTGCTTGGGTCCACTTCTACCTGGATTTTCTTCTGCCTCTGCCACCCTTGAGACAGTGAGACCAACCCCTCCTCTTCCTCCTCCTCTTCACCCTATTCAGTGTGAAGAGGATGAGGATGAAGTCATCTATGATGATCCGCTTCCACTTAATGAATAGTAAATATGGCCGGGCATAGTGGCTCACGCCTGTAATCTCAGCACGTTGGAAGGCTGACCACTGCATTCCAGCCTGGGTGACACAGCAAGACTCCATCTCAAAAAAAAAAGAATCCTAAATATATTTTCCTTATGATTTTCTTAATATTCTATTTTCTCTAGCTTGCTTTATTGTAAGAATATAGTATATAATACATATAACACAAAACATGTGTTAATTGACTATGTTATCAGTAAGACTTCCAGTCAACAGTAGGCTACTAATAGTTCAGTTTTTGGGCAGATGCCGTGGCTCATGCCTGTAATCCCAGCACTTTGGGAGGCCAAGGTGGGCAGATCACGTGAGGTCAGGAGTCCAAGACCAGCCTGGCCAGCATGGTGAAACCCCATCTCTACTGAAAATACAAAAATTAGCCAGGCATCTTTGTGCACACCTGTAATCCCAGCTACTCAGGAGGCTGAGGCTTGAGAATTGCTTGAACCTGGGAGGTGAAGGTTGCAGTGAGCTGAGATCACCCCACTGCACTCCAGCCTGGGAGACAGAGTGAGACTCCATCTCAAAAAAAAAAAAAGAAAAAAGACAAGAAAAATAGTTAAATGTTTGTGGAGTCAAAAGTTACATGTGGATTTTTGACAATGCCTCTAAGCCTTGCATTGTTCAAGGGTCAGCTGTACTCCCAAATATTCCTCTCTCTTAGAAACATAGTTTTTAGTCCCATTACGGTATTTAAAAGCCTAACACAAGCAACTCAGTAAGTTTAAAGCTTCAATATCACATGCAATTTCAAGATCTTCTCCTCATAGCTCAGTTTGACCACTGGTCAAAAGGACCTTTGTCTATTTCTCTGATGGTTGCAGAATCTAGCTGATGCATGCATACATGTGCACATATGTGTGCACATACACACATACTGGCACATACTTATACTAAGAAATAATCTGCTGCTTATCTGAAATTCAAATGTAACTGAGAGTCCTATATTTTATGTGGCAACCCTACTTCCCACTCCTTCTTCTGGGTTTCCCATTCTCCTCCGAGGTGTTGGGCTCCAGGAAGAAAGATGCAGAGCGAGGAAGTGTGAACATCTTCTACTTAACTGCTGCTGCTGTAATTCTCCTTCAGCTGTCATCCACCGTGGTTGCAGCCTGCCAAATCCGGCTTTCCTCAGGCACTTGTACAAGCTTTCAGGCGGCCCTGCAGGGTGGCACATTTTCTCTAAGACAACTAGTCACGTGCTCAATGCCCATGAGTTCAAGAGCCTCCTTTCCTCCCACCCAAAGCCCTTATCCCCAAGGAGGTGAGATTAATTTCTGATCAGGTGGGCCTTGTGCCAGCTATTATTTAGTTGTTATCTCTCAACTCCAAACCCAACCTTCTGTATTCTGCTTTGTGATACAAGAGTTGGAATTGGGAAAAGCATATTTCTGCTGTTCCAGCTGCTTCCTGTGAGGTTCTACCCATGGGGGTGTTAGAGGGGAACTGCAAGGCTGGAGGAAAAAGGAACTTGCTCTTTCTGTTCCTGTGAACACTCTCCTAGCAAGGCTTCCTTTCTCCTGCAATGGCAGTTCCTTCCCATAGCAGCATCTCAATCCAGTTTGCAGTTTTCCTAACACTGGCAGAACCAGTCTAATTGCACCCCTCAAAGACTCCAACCCCCGTCCCTCCTTAGAGATCTGAGTTTCAGTTTGCAGGGCACTTTTCTCCTATTATTCTAGTGATTTTTTGGTTTGTTTGTTTGTTTGTTTGAGACAGGGTCTCACTCTGTCTCCCAGGCTGGAGTGTAGTGGAGTGTAGTTACAGTGAGTCATACTCACTGTAACTGGGCTCTAGTGATCCTCCTACCTCAACCTCCCGAGTAGCTGGGACCACAGGTGAATGCCACTCTGCCTGGCCAATTTTATTATGTTTTGTAGAGACAGGGTCTCACTATGTTGCCCAGTCTAGTCTCAAACTCCTGGCTTCAAGCAATCCTCCCACCTTGGTCTCCTGAGTCTCTGGGATTACAGATATGAGCCACTGCACTTGGCTGATTCTAAGTGTTAATGCCAACCTTTTCTCATTGTTCCCCCAGACCTCTGAGTATAGCTGTTTCCTTCAGTTGCTTCTTCTGTGATACATTAATATTGTTGTTGGGTTGGTTTTGTTTTGTTGTTTTTTTTTCCTTTTTAGTTGCCTGGTTATCAACTTGATTCCTAGTTAACAATTCTCGGCCAGGCGTGGTGGCTCATGCCTGTAATCCCAGCACTTTGGGAGCCCGAGGACAGGGGATCACTTGAGGTCAGCAGTTTGAGACCAGCCTGGTCAACATGGTGAAACCCTGCCTCTACTAAAATACAAAAATTAGCCAGGCGTGTTAGCGAGTGCCTGTAATCCCAGCTGCTCCGGAGGCTGAGGCGGGAGAGGTGCTTGATTCCAGGAGGCGTATGTTGCGGTGAGCTGGGATCACGCCACAGCACTCCAGCCTGGGCAACAGAGTGAGACTCCATCTATCTCAAAAAAAAAAAAAAGAAAAGAAAAAAGTTCTTTATATTAAATTCTTTTTCTTAAGTGGACTCTCAATATGTTGCCCAGGCTGGTCTCAAACTCCTGGGTCCAAGTGATCCTCCCTGCTCAGCCTCACAAAGTGCTGGGATTACAGGCTTGAACCACTGCGCCTGGGCCATACTAAATTCTCTCTGTTAAAATAACTGGTACGGGGCCAGGCACAGTGGCTCACACCTGTAATCCCAGCAGTTTGGGAGGTCAAGGCAGGTGGATTGCTTGAGCCCAGGAGTTCGAGAACAGCCTGAGCAACACAGCAAGACCACATCTCTAAAAAATAATAATAAATAAATAAATGAAATTAAATAACTGGTATAGTTTCTGCCTCTTGATTGGACCCTGACTGATACAGTGGCCCTGATTCTCCTCTGAGCAAAGGACTTTTCTGTTCTTATCCATTCAAATCAATAGTGCTTATAGCAAAGAGCCCAGACATAGTACTCAGAAAATCTGCACTTTCCCGCCATTCAGTGCCAAATCTAAAACAAGTTGCCTAAAGTCTCTTGGTCTCTATTTGACCAATTGAAATCGGAACAGTAATATCCACCTTCGGAGGAGGGTCTGGACCTCCATAAAGATAGCCAATGAAACATGCTAACTCAAGAAATATCAATTATAATTCCTCCTATTTATACCATTTTTGCATCCATTACCTTAACTCACGTATTCATACAACAAACATGTATTAAAACCAAATACCTCCCAGGTTCTGGGTATGCACTAGATTATCAAAAGAGCACTATATTATGATTATCATTCATTGTGCATTTGCTTCATGCTGTTATGTTGACCATTCTGCATATGTTATTTTTTTCATTTTATCATGGCAGAGAGCATTATCTCTCCACCAAAAGTTCATGCTCTTCCTTCCATTGTATAGAGGTATTCCCAGCTACCCTCCCAACAAGAGATGATATTACCTAGCTACCTTCATAGTTAGATACATTATGTGACCAAATTCTAACTGTAGAATATGAGTAGAAGAAATGTTCACCATTTCTTACTCTTGTCCATTAAAAAAAAAACAAAAACCACATGGGGCTGTTTCATGTTCTTTCCCTTTTCTCTGTCTTGAAGCCAAGACCCAGGGAATTGTAGCCATAGATCCTAGTATTGTAGGCAACTTCCAGGATGGTTCCCAATGATTTACACCTCCAAGTATTTATCCCCATGTGTTGTCACTCTTATATTGAATACGGCAGTCTTGTGTAACCAATAGGACTTTATGGAAATGACAAAATATTACTTATAAGGCCAGTTCATAAAGGATATTGTGGTTTCTGTCTTCTTCATTCTGGATTACTCACTCTGGGGGAAGCTAGCGCCATGTTGTGTGGATGCTCAAGCAGCACTGTGGAGAAGACCACATGATAAGTCATTGAGGCTTCCTGCCAACAGCCAAGTAAGTGCGCCATCTTGAAAGTGGATACAGTCCCAGTCAAGCTTTCAGATGATGGCAACCCTAGCCAACATCTTGACTACAACCTCAAGAGAGACTCTGGTCAGAACACCCCAGCTAAGCCACTCCCAAATTACTGACCCTCTGAAAGTGTGCAATAATAAATGGTTTTTATGGGGTACACAGAAATAGATAACTAATATGCCTGGATTCCTGAATGACTACAAGGAAAACTACTGCTAACAAGGAACACATACATTGAATGAGTGGTAAATAAACATCTATAGTGTTAAACCACTGAATATTTGAGGTTTGTTACATTGCATAATGACTACTCTATTCCAGTATTATCAATTCAAATTTTATTCTCATCTACTATTCTGTATAAGAGACCCTCATGACACTGAGGTTGGGACAAAATAATATTTGAATTTTATGCATTTGTTTGCTCTTGTAGACGGTAGTTGCCTTCAAACTTCATTTGCTAATGGAAACATTTTTTCAATAAATCCTTTCCCGATCTCCCAATACAAAACAGAGAATATCTGAGCATGTTCATACTGAACAAAGCAAGGTTACAGTAGTGACGATCTCACACCCTCTGTCTCAGCCTCTAACCCACTCCTTGAAGTCACCTTGGGACATAATAACAGCATTTCCAACAGGGAAGACATGGCCTGAGGAACACAGATTCACCAATATAAAATTCTGGGATACTTTGTAATGGAAACAGCACTTGGAAGAGTTAATTATCATATTAGTTTGCTAGGGCTGCCATAACAAAATGCCACAGAACAACAGAAATGGCTTCAACAACAGGAATACATTTTCTCACAGTTCTGGAGGCTGGAACTCCAAGATCAAGGTGCCGGCAGGGTTGGTTTCCTCTGAGGCCTCTCTCCTCAGCTTGCAGATGGCTGACCTATTGTTGTCTCTTCACATAGTTGTCTGTCTGGGCACGCACATGCCTGGTATCTCTGTGTCCTAATCTCTTCTTCTTACAATGACAACAGTTGGACTGGATTAGGGCCCACCCCAATGGCCTCATTTAAACATAATCACCTTTTCAAAAGCCCTATCTACAGATACAGTCATAGTCTGAGGTACTGGGATATTAAGACTTCAACATACTAATTTTGGGAGAACACAATTCATTCTTTCTCTCTCTCTCCTCTCCCTCTCCCTCTTCCTCTCTGTCTCCCTCTCTTTCTCTCCCTCTATCTTTGCTTCCTCCCTGCTTCCCTCCCTCTTTCTCTCCAGCTAGTAAATTAGCCTGAAATAATTTGTTCAAAGTAAGTAGGCAGGGCTGGACATGGTGGCTTACCCCTGTAATCCCAGCGCTTTGGGAGGCCAAGGCAGGTGGGTCACTTGAGGTCAGGAGTTCGAGACCAGCCTGACCAACATGGCGAAACCCTGTCTCTACTAAAAATACAAAAATTAGCTGGGCGTGGTGGCACGCACCTGTAATCCCAGCTACTTGGGGGGCTGAGGCAGGAGAATCACTTGAACCTGGGAGGCAGAGGTTGCAATGAGCCGAGATTGCACCACTGCACTCCAGCCTGGGTGACAGAGCAAGACTCCATCTAAAAAAAAAAGTAAGTAGGCATGATGTATCAGGTGAACTCCAAGAAATGTAATTTGGTTGAGGAAAAAAATAAGCTCATCAAAGTAGATGCAATTTTGGAGAGTCAGAGAGAATTCTGAATGTTAAAAAGACAGCCAAATTATACTGCTTCAGTCAGTGTGAGCCTTACATCTCTGGTCATCTCAGTGGTTAAAATTCAGTTCTTCTTGAAATCCTTTTAAGTTCTAAGATTTCCTTTCTTTCATAGGGAAAGACAATGGTGATTCTGGTTAAAGCTGGAAAGCAGCAGTGGGTTTGATGTTTAACTGCTCTCAGCTCACTTTCCAGGCAACTCTAGAAGATATATATATATATTTTACATTTAAGAATATATATATATATTTTACATTTTAATCATACATTTTTAAAAGGAAAAAGGATTATTTTGTTCACGTTACAAGTGTGTCTTCATCTCTTCCCTTAGGAAATGTCTTGAAGGCAAATAGAAGGAGATGCTACCATGTGAAGTAGATCCTGCTGTCAAACCCAGAGGGTTCAACAGTTTGGGAATAAAGCTCGCTTGAAGGAAGAAATTCCAAGTGTCTTTCAAAGCTAATGACTATTAGCACGATTTTCTTTTTTGCAATCACATGGATACAATGGCAAAGCAATGGCCTGGCATAGGGGCTCATACCTGTAATCTCAGCACTTTAGGAGGCTGAGGCAGGAGGATCCCTTGAGGCCAGGGATTCGAGACCAGCCTGAGCAACATAATGAGATCCTGTCTCTACTTTAAAAATAAAAAATAAACAAAATTAAAAGATAAAAATAAATTCAAAAATTATGAGGCAAGGCTAGCAAGGTTGATAATTTACCCACACTCTGTCCCATTAAGGATGATTTTGGCTACAAGTATCAGATATTCATCTCAAGTAGATTTAAATTAGAGAGTTTATTATCTCACATAACAAAAAGGGTGAAGGGACGATGGTCCATTTAGTAGTCTGCCTCCTCAAGGACCCAGGCTTCTTCTAGTTTCCCTGATAGCCCTCAGTTAACTCCTCTCATGGTTCCAAGCTGTCTGCCACAGTTCCAGTCATTACTTGCATCAGAATAGAGACTGTTTCTTCCACGTGTGTCTCTTCTTTTCTTTTCTTCCTTTTTTTAAAATTTTTTTATAGAGACAGGATCTCGCTCTGTTGCCCAGGCTGAAGTGCAGTGGTGCAATCATAGCTCACTGCAGCCTCAAACTCCTGGGCTCAAGCAATCCTCCCATTTCAGCCTCCTGAGTAGCTGGGACTACAGGTGTGCACTACCGTGCCCAGCTAATGTTTGTTTGTTTGTTTGCTTGTTTATTGCAGCCTTGGTATGTTGCTCGAACTGGCCTTGAGCTCTTGGACTCAGGTGACCCTCCCTCCTGGGCCTCCCAAGGGCTCGGATTACAGGCATGAGTCTCCACACCCTGCGTCTCTTCTTTTCAATGAGAAAAATCTTCCCAGATGCCCCACAGTAGAAGTTTCAATGTCTCATAGCCAGAATTGTTACATAATCCTTTGCCTAACTACATCACTGACAAGGGAACGGGGCATGAAGACCAGTTTAGAATAATCAGTATGTGCTTCTGAGTCATGCAGGAGAGGACCATTTGCCCTGAGCAAGTGACTGTACAGAAAGAACGAGAACACCTGAAATCAGGGGAACCAACGGTATCTGCAACATACTACAAAGCAGGTGTACAAAACATGAACGTTCTTCTTTGTCCGTAAATATCTTGCTCATGTGCCCTTGTCCCACTGATGTCAGGGGTGGAAAAATCCTAACTTCCAGTTAAGGTAACTTGGTTACTTCTAGTTCAAAACAGTCTCTCTAGTGCTGGTTCAATTTCTTTTGGATAAATATTCAATCCAATTCAAGGTTCAAATTCTCTACCAGGGCCATCTCTCTCTTGTCAAGGGTTGGTTCCTCATTCTCTGTCTCAAGATGGTATGGCATCCAGGTCCTCAGAAAAGCCTACACTTCCTCCTAATGATGGGGCAGGGGCCCACATATGTCCCACTGTGCTGTCTCCTGGACCTTCAGTATTCTCTGCAGAAATGTCCTTTGTCCTGCCCGATCACTGAGACTTCTGCTGGCCTCTGATGCCGGTGATATAGGAGTAAAGAAGAAATTATTTAGGCAGACAGTGAGGGTAAGGAAGTCCTCAGTAAGGTTTCCTTTTAATGAAAAGCAGCCCCTGAATCATTTCTTTTCTAACAAACAGCAGCCTGTAAAATTGAGCTGCAGACACAGAAGCTTGCACGGGTGAATGCGGCAGCTGTGTCAATAGGAAAAGGCTACCTGGGACTAGGCATGTTCAAAATGGCAGCTGCATCTTCCCTTTCCCTTTCCAACCACATGTGCATTAGGCAGCAGACAACATGGTGCCGGCCAAGTGGAAAGCCTATTTGCATAATAAGATTAGGGTGGCGTGGCCAGCTTCCCCACACGCTATGTAAAACTCACACCTGGTCCAACCAATCTGTGGGCCCTGTGTCAATCAGACACTGCCTCCTCAAGCCTGTCTATAAAATCCAATGCACTCCATCGTGGGTCAGAAGTCCCACTGGCGCACTCCTCTCTCTCCTACTGTTACCCTTTCTCTTTCTTTTGCCTATTAAACCTCTGCTCCTAAACCCAATTCTTGTGTCCGCAAACTCGATTTCCTTGGCATGAGACAACAAACCCCCGGTATTTACCCCAGACAATGACACCATCTCACTGGTGGCCACAGTTGGTAGATGCTCAGATCTCCCAGTTGGGTTGTGCCACTGGGTGACTGGGCCAGGACCCTCTGTTGGGTAAGTCCCGCCTTAGCTTTCGCTGGCTCCGTGGATCCCTCTGAGATTGGGCTGTGACTTCCTTTCAATCTCCCTGGCCTCAGCAATCCATCCTGTAGCTCTTGGCTACACAGTCCTATGTTGACCCTATAATAAAAAGACAGGTTGGGTGCAGTGGCTCACACCTGTAATCCCAACACGTTGGGATGCCAAGGTGGGAGGAGTGCTTGAAGCCAGGCATTCGAGAACAGCCTGGGCAACATAGTAAGTCCTTGTATCTACAAAAATACATATATATATATACATATATATATATACATATACACATATATATATATACATATACACATATATATATATATATACACATATATATATATATATATGTGTATATATATATATATATTGAGACAGAGTTTCACTCTTGTTACCCAGGCTGGAGTGCAATGGTGCAATCTCGGCTCACTGCAACCTCCGCCTCCCGGGTTCAAACGATTCTCTGCCTCAGCTTCCCGAGTAGCTGGGATTACAGGCATGCACCACCACGCTTGGCTAATTTTGTGTTTTTAGTAGAGACGGGGTTTCTCCATGTTGGTCAGGCTGGTCTCTAACTCCCGAACTCAGGTGATCCGCCCGTCTCGGCCTCCCAAATTGCTGGGATTATAGGCATGAGCCACCGCGTCTGGCCACAAAAAATATTTTTTAAACTAGCTGAGCACGGTGGCACATGCCTGTAGTCCCAGCTACTCAGGAGGCTGTGGCAGGAGGATCACCTAAGCTCTGAAGGTCGAGGCTGCAGTGAGCTGTTATCACACCACAGTACTTCAGCCTGGGTGACAGAGCAAGATCCTGTCTCTAAAAAACTAAAAATAAAAAATAAAAAGACAGCTAGTACATTCAATTACTTTCTTTGTCTCTCTTGGTAATGGTGGAGGGGAGTGCTGGAGGTATTCCCAGGCACTCAGGAATTGACAGAGACCCAAGGCACCAGTGAAAGCCCTCTCTACATAAACACACGACACCACCAGTGTTCCTCTAATGCAGCCACTCTGTGCTGGTGCAGGGCTTCCGATGACTCATTTGCATCCCAGAGTCTCAAATGGGGACTGGGGCCCATACCCCACTGCTTGAGGATTCCCCCATATGTCTCCAGTTTTTGCTACTACACATTCTCACCCCACCCAGCAGGAGTTTTGATCCAGAGGGAGGGAGACAGGACACACTTACCTGACCCTTGTCCTTCCTCTCTCTCTCTCTCTTTCTCTCCCAATCTCTCTCTCTCTCTCTCCCAATCTCTCTCTCTCTCTTTCACCCACAGACACACACACACACATGCACTTATATCAAAAACTTTGGAATCAAAAAGCTCACTGCTATTTCAAAGACAAATACTACAAGTTCAAAAATATGCAGGCCAGGCGTAATGGCTCATGCCTGTAATTCCAGCACTTTGGAAGGCCAAGGGTGGCGGATCACTTGAGATCAGGAGTTCAGCACCAGCCTGGCCAACACGGTGAAACCCCATCTCTGCTAAAAATACAAAAATTAGTATTTTTAGTGGTGCAGTGGCACAAGCCTGTAATTCCAGCTACTCGGGAGGCTGAGGCACGAGAATTGCTTTAACTTGGGAGGTGAGGGTTGCAGTGAGCCGAGATCACACCACTGCACTCCATCCTGGGTGACAGAGGGAGACTCTGTCTCGAAATAAATAAATAGACTCCAACTAGATTCCCCTTCAATGCATTTGTTTGGGGGTGTCTGATCACCACATACAAGTTCTGTCTGCACGTGTAACATGAACTTACAGGTCAGAAAGACACTGACTCTTTGGAGTGTCTTTAGGCTTTGGAGACAAAAAAAACACTCTGAATGAGAATCACAGCTCCTGTATTCTGCTTTGACTTGAAACTATGAGCTCAGTTTTGGGTGAGACACTGAAGATGTAATGGGGGAGAAAGCATTCATTGGTATGGGCAAAGCAATAAAAGAAAACTCTAGGAGTCAACTAAGTGGGATATGAACGAAAACTACCAGAAATGGTGATTAGCTCATCTATCATCAGAAGGAATCAACTCATCATTTCAAAAAAAACAAATAAAAATTGGGCCATAATTAGGTCCAATTAACTCATCCTTCAAACACATTCTCTGTAGTGGACATCTGTTGTTTTGGCTGCCTTTCGGGTAATTACAAGCCAGTTTCCCTTTGGAGGAACATCCCTCCCCCAAATGTCTGCCATATAATTGATTGGGAATGACCCCATCCCTAACTCCAGGAATGGGTATCAACTCCCTGAAGCCAATCAGCTAATCAGTCTAATCCCCCAAGCCACAGTTTAAAGATTCACACATAACCAGTTAGAGCCAATGAGCTTCAAGGGGGTGCGTGGAAGAGAAGATGTCACTCTTCTTCTGAATATGTAGCCACCATCTTGTTTCCACTGTAGAGGCAGCCTAAGGATGAAGCCAACCTATGGGAGAAGGCAGTGAGAAAGGATGGTCACACTACTTGAGGCTGAATGTAGATTAACTTCTCAGTACTGTGAGCCAATACTGACCTAAGTGCTTAGGACATACATCATTTGCACAACCCAGTAAGAGGTAGGGTATTACCCCATTCTACAGGAAACCTGGTACTCATATAAATTAAGAGGATTGTCTAGTGTCACAAAAGCCAGGATTTGCAACCAATCATCTTGGATGCCAAAGCCCTGGCTCTTAATCATTCTACATGCTTATATAATCCTCACAATAAACTAAAACTCAGAGAGTTTAGGTAACATGTCCAAAGTCACACAGAAGGGAGATAAATGATGGAGCTGTGATTCTCATTCAGAATTTTTTGTCTACAAAGTCTGCATATTCTGCTTTAACATCAAACTATGAGCTCATTTTGGGGTCAGGTAGAGCCAATAACAAGGTTGACACATGCGTTTTTTTGTTTGTCTTTATTTTGTTTTTTTGAGACAAAGTCTCGCTCTGTCACCAGGCTGGAGTGTAGTGGTGCCATCTCGGCTCACGGCGCCATCTCGGCTCACTGTAACCTCCACCTCCCGGGTTCAAGCAATTCTCTTGCCTCAGCCTGCCGAGTAGCTGGAACTACAGGCATGTGCCACCACGCCCAGCTAATTTTTGTATTTTTAGTACAGATGGGGTTTCACCATGTTGGCCAGGATGGTCTCGATCTCTTGACCTCGTGATCCGCCCTGGCACATGTTTTTAAGAGCAAGGTTCCAGAGCCCATGAGGCTGGTGTACTAACACTCAATAAATGTCAAATGCCTCTGTATCTTATTCTTTTTTTTTTTTTTTTTTTTGACAGCGTCTTGCCTCCAGGCTGCAGTGCAGTGGAGGGATCTCAGCTCACTGCAACCTCCGCTTCCCAAGTTCAAGTGATTCTCCTGCCTCGGCCTCCCAGGTAGCCTGGGATTACAAATTTGAGCCACCATGCCTGGCCTCTATATATCTTAGTCTTAAATTCACCCACTGATATGGTATAGCAAGAGGGGCAATAAAGATAATAATAACCTAGCTATGCATAAACAGAAACCCAGCTAGATTTATTCCCTACTTGGAGGGTCTTTTGGATACCACTGGCCCTCCCCTTAAATCCATTCTCTTCTTTCTAGGTATGGAGGTGAACTACAATTCCCAGCATCCCTTGCAGTTAGGTGTTTAGTGATTTAGTTCTTGCCAAAGGGATTCAAGTGGAAGTGGTGTGTGTCTAGGCCTATGCAGTGGGCGTGACTCCTCCATGTTCTTTCTCTTTCCCACTGGTTGGAACCCTCACCATGCAGATGATGTTAATGCACTGGTATAGAGCAAAGCAACACGATGAAAGAACCTGGGTCCCTGAAAGACTATGTGGATTAGAGCCACCTCAATGATCTCAACTGCTAACCTCAGCACTGTTACATGAGAGGGAAAAAACCACTTTGTTCTTTAAGCCATGTATTGTTGGATACTTTTGTTATGGCCGCTTAGCAGTTTTACACTAAGACAAGGATCTAGAGGTCTTGGAAAAGAATTAGTCATGTTACGGGTGAGCTCAAGAAAAGTAACTAAACACAGCTCCCTATCTCAGGTTAAAAGCCACAGGATCTCATGCCTCTTTGTTATTCTCTCAGCATGAAAGCTCACTGCAGTGAATGAATAAAGCCAGCACTGGGTCAGGGGCTAAGGCAAGCTGCAGAGACTGTAAGGCATGGAGCCAGCATCTGTAGCAGACAGCAGGGAAAGTATGCCACATAGCTTAAGAGAGTTTCCTAAAATCCTGGTGCTGTGAGCAGAGCCTTTGAGAGAACCAGTGAACCCCCAAAACATCTGTTACATGAAGACCAAAAATGAGGGACTCTTCTGCCGGGAGGAAGCATCAGAAAATATTACTTTGATGGTGCCTTGGTAATTTTGAGCTGTTATAACAAGATACCATAGACTGGGTGGCTTAAACAACAAGCATTTGTTTCTCATAGTTCTGGAGGCTGGGAAGTTCAAGATCAAGGCATGGGCTGATCCTGTGTCTGGCGAGGGCTCTCCTTCTGATTTGCAGAAGGCCACTTCCCATTATACCTTCATATGAACAGAGAGAGAGAAAGCTCTCCTGTCTCTTTTTATAACTTCATTAATCTTATAAGGACTCCAACTTCATATCTAATCACCTCCCAAAGGCCCTTTCTCCACATACCACTACATTAAGAATAACAGTTTCAACATATGAATTTTGGGAAGACACAAGCATGCAATTCATAACGATGGGGTTTCTTGAGGGAAAAAAATCAACATCAAATAGTAGCTCACTGGAAGCCATAGATTAGAACTTCTTCTCTATCTCTCATAGTGCCAGTGCTCAGAAATCACCATTTGGTTAACTGATTTCCCGAGTATAATAATGTAGTCACAATCCCTTTGAGCAGACACATATTACTCGTGGGCAAGGGTATAGGGAAATAAATCACCTTGTACTCTGATGCTGAGGATGTTAGGGAAATACCACACTCCAGTGTTTAGGAGCCAGGACCCAGAAGCCAGCGTTAACACCTACTAGTTTTGCGACCTGAGTCTCTGAGGCGACCTCAGCTTCCTCATCCATAAAACAGGGATGATGGTAATGATAGCAGCATCTATTGCATACCATTATTATGAGGATGCAAAATTCTTAGAATAGTGCCTGTCCTATAGTAAGCCCTATGGAAATGTTTGTTACATCAATGTTCATACCACCTTCCAGGATGGGATTTGATAATATGCATTAAAAGCCTTGACCCAGCAATTACACATCAAAGGATTTTTCCTAAAGACATCATCACGGGACATGTGCAAAGATTTATCTTCAAAGAGGCTCACTGCAGTATTAAGTGACCATAAACAAGGGCCTGGCTAAATAAATGATGGGACAGGGCAGCCATATTTTATGCAAAGGATTGAATTGCTGAACACCTCTCATAATACAATACCTCACATTATGCAAGATTAAATTTCCTACAGAAAATAAATGCAAGGCAGGATTCACATTTTATGAAATTTTGCCCATAAAGTTGGATTTAATTAATATTTTATATCCTACTATTTCAAGTTGTGTAATTCAAATTTGCATTAAATGTAACCTGACTGTATATTTATTATGGAACTACACAAAAATTTATGTTGCAGAAGAATAAGCAACAGCTGAGGATGACATCCATGATATATCCATTTTTAAAAGTGTGACCCCATTTTTACCAGATAGACATTTTTAAAACACTGGAAAAATAGACAGCAAAATTTCATGTGTGCTAGCAGGTTACTTGTAATTGTTGTTTCCTTCTCTTTCTTTGCCTACAGTTCCTAATGCGCTAAAGGAACATGTATTATTTTTATAATAAGAATAAAAGGGTCGGGCACAGTGGCTCACGCCTGTAATCCCAGCACTTTGGGAGGCTGAGGCACGCAGATCACCTGAGGTCAGGAGTTCGAGGCCAGGTTCCAACATGGTGAAACCCCATCTCCACTAAAAAAATATAAAAATTAGCCGAGCGTTGTGGCGGGCACCTGTAATCCCAGCTACTCGGGAGGCTGAGGCAGAAGAATCGCTGGAACCCTGAAGGTGGAGGTTACAGTGAGCCGAGATTGCCCCACTGCACCCAGACTGGGAGCCAGAGTGAGACTGTCTCAAAAAATAAGAATGCTAAAATAAAAATTATAAATAAAATTAAATAAAATAAAAAGAAAATAATTCTGCCTTATCATAGAATGTCTACAGCTTTAAGAAACTACTTGTTTTTCTCTAATACTTGGTCCCAGAGATAGGTCTGGATGGAAAATGCCCATATGGCAGTGTTGACCAGAGCTCAGCCTCAGGCCCCAGGAGCCCAATTCAGAGTCAATTAAATCTCTCAAAATGCAACAAAGGACATGTTAGAAATCAGATTACACTGAATGTAATCTGGTTTATACTTAACATGCCTATATGTATTTCTTTTTTTTTTTTTTTTCAGACCGAGTTTTGTTCTTGTTGCCCAGGCTGGAGTACAATAGCACAATCTCGGCTCACCGCAACTTCCACCTCCTGGGTTCAAGTGATTCTCCTGCCTCAGCCTCCCGAGTAGCTGGGACTACAGGCACCCGCCACCATGCCCAGCTAATTTTAGTATTTTTAGTAGAGACAGGTTTTCACCATGTTGGCCAGGCTCGTCTTGAACTCCCGACCTCAGGTGATCCACTCGCCTCGGCCTCCCAAAGTGCTGGGATTACAGGAGTGATATGTGTTTCTTTTATATTTTTTTGTAGAAATGAGGTCTTGCCATGTTGTCCAGGCTGGTCTCAAACTCCTGGGCTGAAGTGATCCTTCTGCCTCAGCCTCTCAAAGAGCTGGGATTACAGATGTGAGCCGTGTCACCAGCCCATATGCGATCTTTTGACATTTGACAATACCTTTAAACAAAACAGAAAGGATGCCATTTTGGTGACTCAAAAAAAAGAGCAAATCACACTAACGAACCTTCAGTCATCTTCTAGCTCATTTTCCCCAACCATAACTGGCACAGTCTATGTAAAGTGGAAATGAGAAGAAAAGCTCACTGATTGCTCACTTCCTCCTTTCCCAGGGAAAGGGCAGGTAGAGATGTGGGAAGGAATAGAAATCCAAGGGAATCCAGGGGCCTAAAGGACTGCGCTCTGTCCTGTGGCTGCTAAATAATGGTGTTAATTCTCATTCATGGCCTTACAGGCCTCACCCCTCCCCACACCAGCCATTCCAACTCCACTTGAAGTTTCAGTCTTTTGTTTTGAACAAACACTCTGCTAAGTAAACACCTTCATATGGATTACCAGGTTTAACTATCACAAAAAGCCTATGAATTCAGCACTATCATTTTCCCAATCTTATAGAGTTTAGAAGCTGTACAGAGGCTAGGAGCTGGGGCTCTGATTTGAATGCTGGATCCACCAGGCTTCTGAGCTGTGTAATCTTCAGCAAATTACTTAACCTTCCCATGCTTCATCCTTCACTTTTCTCATATGCAAAATGAAGATGACAGTAACAGCACCCACATGGTTTTGTTGTAAAGCTTTTAGAACAGCGACTGGTGGACAGGTGCAGTGGCTCACACCTGGAATCCCAGCACTTTGGGAGGCCAAGTCAGGAGGCTTGCTTGAGGCCAGGAGTCCAAAACCAGCCTGGGCAAGATAGCAATATCCTTCTCTACAAAAACAAACAAACAAAACCTTAAATTAGCCAGGCACAGTGGCATGCAACTGTAGTCTCGGAGGCTGAGGCAGGAGAAGCACTTGAGCCCAGGAGTTTCAGGCTTCGGTGAGCTGTGATCATGCCACTGCACTTCAGCCTGGGCAGCAGAGCAAGACCTTGCCCCCAAAATAAAACAAAAAAGAACAGTTCCTGGAGCAGAACTAGTGCTTAATGTAAGTTTGTAGTGAGTAGCACAAGGTCAGACATAACCAAGTCCATGCACATTTGTGTCTTTCCACAAGGTCAGACAAGGTTACCTTGATTAGGTGAACACAAGGTCACCTTGATTAGGTGAACTTAATCAAGGTAACCACTTGGTTACCTTGTAGATTAAGGTAATCACTTAAGGAAATCACAAGATTTCCTTGATTAGGTCAACTTTTACTGATGTTATTTCAATCATGGGGTTCCCGAGCAGGCAATTCTCCTTAGTACTTCCCATTCACTCAGTAGTCAGAGCTGTGGGCACACGGGCTCAAGCCAATCCACAGGTCAGTCAATATTGCAAACCATATATAAGAGTATGCTTAATCAGTCTATAAATGTTGTAGATTAAAATTTCGCACGAAACAGAGAAGCATTTAACAGCAAGAGAAAAGGGGATAGGAAAAGGAGTTAATGAATGAGGCCAAGGAGAATGAAGTGGACAGTTAGAGTGTCCTGGGATGACCTGGATGGTTGTCAATGTCTTGCGAGGAGAGCAAGACATTGTCTCCTTGATGTGGGCAGGATCTTCAGGGGCAAATGCCAGGTGCTGCTCATGAGTGAAAGCAAGACCAGGTCTGCCAAGATGGCCATGTCTAGTTGATACAGTTCTGCTCACTTTATGGCCTTTGAGTCCTCAGGTGAGAACTGATAGTAAAGGGTGATGCCCTTATCTGGTTGGGTTTTGTCTCTATTGATTAAGAGAACATCTGGACCCTGTTGCCTTAATGTGTTTTGAAAAGTTACCTGGACTTTTTTCCTTTTTTTTTTTTTTGGTGAGACGGAGATTTATTCTTGTCACCCAGGCTGGAGTGCAATGGCGCGATCTCGGCACATCGCATCCTCCGCCTCCCAGGTTCAAGCAATTCTCCTGCCTCAGCCTCCCAAGTAGCTGGGATTACAGGCATGTGTCACCACACCCAGCTAATTTTGTATTATTAGTAGAGATGGGATTTCACCGTGTTGCCCAGGGTGATCTCAAACTCCTGACCTCAGGTAATCTGCCCGCCTCGGCCTCCCAAAGTGCTGGGATTACAGGCATGAGCCACTGCACCTGGCCAACCTGGACTTTTTTCTAAGGTGGAATCACTTATGTCAAGGGTGCTCCATACAAGATTTGTTATTACAACAGATGAGGAAATGTGGCCTCAGACAACATAGTAACTTGCCCACAGTTACAAAGCAAGTATTCGATGCAAGATCTGTTTTGGGTTCCTTGAGATTCTCATAACTGTGGGTTTATACCTTTTTATGAAATTTGAAAAGTGTTCAGTTGTTATTTTTTCAAATACATTTTCTATTCCTCTTACTTCTCACCTCTCCTTCAGAGACTCCGATTATACATATATTAGAGCACCTGATGTTGACCAAACTTTATCATAGATTTTTTTTTTTTTTTTTGGCATTGGGAGGGGGTTGAGTCAGAGTCTTACTCTGCTGCTCAGGCTGGAGTGCAGTGGCACAATCTCAGCTCACTGCAACCACCACCTCCCAGGTTCAACTAATTGTCTGCCTCAGCCTCCAAAGTAGCTGGGACTATAGGCATGCACCACCATGCCCAGCTAATTTTTTATTTTTTTAGTAGAGAAGGGTTTTTGCCACATTGGCCAGGCTGATCTTGAACTCCTGGCCTCAAGTAATCTGCCTGCCTCAGCCTCCCAAAGTGCTGGGATTACAGGCATGAGCCACTGCAGAGAACAGAGGCTCTGTTCTTTGTGTGCGTGTGTGACTTTTTTTTCTTTAGTCTTTTTTCTCTGTGTCTGAATATTTCCCATAGCCTATGCCTTCATAGTGTCTAATTTGCTATTTGCTCCACCATTGTACTGTCATCTCTTGAAGTTTAATTTGGGTCTTTTTTCTCTGTCTCCTATATCTCTCATTAACATGCTCAGGCCTCCATCTTCTTGAGTATATTTCTTTTTTTTTTTTTCCTCTAAACTGAAAGTGGCTTTATTCAGGATTTGCTGATCATAAGAACAAAGATCTCTCCAACTGTCTCAAGAAAATAGGGACTAATTGTAAGAGTCCATGTGGTTGGTGCTAGAATCAAGACAGCTCTGAGGCCTGGGGAGCCCTCTCCATGTCTCTCCTGGAAAGCCCAGCCCCTCCCTCAGGAGTCTCTGCTCTTTCTGTGCATCTATTCCCTGTATAGAGCATATTTCTAATAGCTGTTTTAATGTCCTTATCTACTAATTCTATCATCTGTAACATCTTTGGTTCTGTTTCTATTGGATGATTTTTTTTTCACGATTGGGTCCTACTTTTCTGCTTCTTTGCATGCCTGGTAACTTTTTACTGGACTTCAAACATTATGAATTCTACATTGCTGAGTGCCGACATTTTTTATATTCCCATAAATATTTGGGAGTTTTGTTTTAGCATGCATTTAAGTTATGCGAAACAGTATGAAACTTTCAAGGCTTGCTTTTCAGACTGTTAGCCAGGTCCAAAACAGCCTCTAGTCTAAAGTTAATTTGGCCACCAGTGAGACAATATCCTTCTCAGGACTCCATTCAATGTCCCATATATGAGGAGGCTGATATGGTTTGGATATGTGTTTCCTCCAAATCTCATGCTGAAATGCAATCCCCAGTGTTGGAGGTGGGGCCTAGTGGAGGTGTTTGAGTCACGGGAGCAGATCCCTCACAAATGGCTTGGTGCACTCCCCGTGGCCATGAAAAAGTTCTCACTCTGTTAGGTCATGCAGAAGCTGGTTGTTTAAAGGGGCCTGGCATCTCCTCCTCTCTCTCTTGCTCCCTCTCTCACCATGTGATGTGCCTACTCCCTTTTTACCTTCCGCCATAACTGAAAGCTTCCTGTCACCAGAAGCTGAGCAGAGGCTGGTGCCATGCTGCTTATACAGAATCCTGAGAATCCTGAGCCAAATAAACCTCTTTTCTTTATAAATTACCTAGCCTCAGGTATTCCTTTGGAGCAATGCAAAATGGACTCATGGAGAGGTCTTTCCTTTCTGGTCAGTAAGAACACAATTCCCGATCCTATGTGAGCTCCACCTGGTCCTTCTTGGTGGTCTTTCCTTGGCCTCTGGGAGTTTCTTCACAGGCGTGTACTGATCAGTACTCAGCTAAGAAATGGAGGGGAATGCTCTAAACAGCTCCAAAATCCTTTCTGTGTGGTTCACTCCCTTGCCTTGGCCTCCCCAGACTCTCAATGCAGGGACACTGTCGTATTCTGTTGTGTTTCTCCTCTCTGCATCAAGACCTGTGGCCATCAAAAGACTTAGCTATTTCCTTTCTTTCAGGATCTCTGTATTGTGCTATCTGTGGTTCAATGTCCGGAAATTATTGTTTCATATATGTCATCGGGTTTTTGAGTTGTTTAAAGCAAGAGAGTAAATCTGGTCCCTCCCAGTCTGCCATGGTTGAAAACTGAAGTCTCTGAAGCCAGGATCTGAACCCAGGGAGACTGACTCCTCAGCTTCCTCCCCATCCCTTATCAATCCTTCAGTTCCTTCTCGTGTTTATTCAAATGTCACATCACTACTGAGAGGTCTTTGCACACCACCTCAGCCCCAGCTGCACTCCCTGTCCTCCCTGTTTCCCTCCAAGGAATGAAAGCTCCACAAGGGCAGGGACTTTCGCTTTTGATCCTAAAGACTGAGGTCCGGCACGTGGCTCACACCTGTAATCCCAGCACTTTGGGAGGCTGAGGCAGGTGGATCACCTGAGGCCAGGAGTTCGAAACCAGCCTGGCCAAGATGGTGAAATCCAAAATACAAAAAAATTGCTGGACATGGTGCCACATGCTTGTAATCCCAGCTACTCAGGAGGCTGAGGCACAAGAATTGCTTGAACCTGGGAGGCAGAGGTTGCAATGAGCTGAGATCGTGCCAATGCACTCCAGCCTGGGTGACAGAGTGAGACTCTGTCTCAAAAAAAAAAAAAAAAAAACACTGAGGCTTTGGTCCCATCCCCCAGGAGCCTGAACTGCATGTTAGAACAGAATCTTGAGCTTATGACATATTCAATACATGATTTTTAAATGAATACATAGCATCCTCTGCTCTCCATGCTAACATGCAGGTCAGGTTTACTTAGTGTAAGCAGATAGGGAGGGTCTCCAGAGATTACAAGAATTTAATGAACTTGAGCAATCAGCCTGTTTTATAGCCTCCTGCCCTGAAGTCCTTTTCTTCCTAAACCTTGTATGGAATGCAGTCACCTAATCAGTTAAAACCAGCTCCTGGCAGACTCCCACAACTTACAGATGAACCCAAGTGAACATTCCTCATTACCATGCTAAAGTCTCCACCCCCAGAGGAGCTATAGCTTCATTACCTTAACATGCAACCTATGTGCTGGCATGATAGCTCAGCGCATCTGCACAACTGAGACCCCACTACACGCAATGCTGCACCCTCTCCCTTCTCTATTACCCCATAAAACTCGCCTATCACTTTCCCTTGGGAAGACACTGCTTTGGAGAATACTCTCAATGTTCTCCTTTACTTGTATCAAGTAATAAAACTCCTATTGATCCAAACCTACATCCCTATAAAGAGTCTTTGTTACTTGCCTGATGAAGAACCCCAGTTTTGTTTTGTTTTGTTTTGTTCTTTGGGATGGAGTCTCGCTCTGTTGCCCAGGCTGGAGTGCAGTGACGCGATCTCAGCTCACTGCAAGCTCCGCCTCCCGGGTTCACGCCATTCTCCTGCCTCAGCCTCCTGAATAGCTAGGACTACAGGCGCCCACCACCACACCTGGCTAATTTTTTGTATTTTTAGTAGAGATGGGGTTTCACCGTGTTAGCCAGGATAGTCTCGATCTCCTGACCAAGTGATCCACCCACCTCAACCTCCCAAAGTGCTGGGATTACAGGTGTGACCCACCTCACCTGGCCAAGAACCCCAGTTTTTTAGAACAACATTAGCATCTGTGCTCTAGAAAACATCCCACAATGGGCAAACCAAGGACAGATTCTCCACTAAAAGAGAACAAAGCTCATTTCCCCAGGAGAGATTAAGTTGGAGCTGGACACAAATAGCCCTGGGCCTTACAGCCATCTTCTGACATTAGTCACGGGAGTGAGGTCACCCCAGAACACAGAGGTTCAGAGCTCTAGAGCTCCACTGTCCATTGCAGTATCCATGGGCACATGTGGCCATTGGGCACTTGAAATGTGGTCAGTCTGCATTAAGTTGGGATCATTAGTATAAATTACACCCCAGTATTTTAAAAAACTTTAGTATGGAAAAAGAAAATAACGATGTTTTATATTAATAGCACACTGAAGTAACAGTAATTTAGTCATATTGGGTTAAATAAAACATTATGAAAATTGTCAGCCGGGTACAGTGGCTCACGCCTGTAATCCCAAAACTTTGGGATGCCGAGGCAGGCGGATCACTTGAGGTCAGGAGTTTGAGAACAGCTTGGCCAACATGGCAAAACCTCCTCTTTATTGAAAATACAAAAATTAGCTGGGCGTGGTGGGGGGCACCTGTAATCCCAGCTACTCTGGAGGCTGAGACACGAGAATCACTTGAACCCGTGGTAGGGGGTTGGAGGTTGCAGTGAGATGAGATTGTGCCACTGCACTCCAGCAGCCTAGGCAATAAAGCGAGACTCCGTCTCAAAAAAAAAAAAAGAAAAAAAAAAAAGAAAATTGTCATGGGTGTCTTTTATTTTTTGGTTGGAGTCAGTGGTGTGATCATATCTCACTGCAGCCTCAGCCTCCTGGGCTGAATCCATCCTCCCACCTCAGTCAGCTAATTTTTTTTTTTTTTTGAGACGGAGTCTCAAAATTTTTTAATTTTTTGTAGAGACAGGTTTTGCTATGTTTTCCAGGCTGCTCTCAAAATTCTGGCCTCAAGTAATCTGCCCTCCTCGGCCTCCCAAAGTGCTAGGATCACAGGCGTGAGCCACCGTGCCTGGCCTCATATTTATTTATTTATTGAGACAGAGTCTCACTCTGTCACCCAGGCTGGAGTGCAGTGGCACGATCTCGGCTCACTGTAGCCTCTGCCTCCTAGGTTCAAGCGATTCTCCTGCCTCAGCCTCCCAAATAGCTGGGACTACAGATGTACGCCACCACCCCCGGCTAATTTTTATATTTTTTTAGTAGAGATGGGCTTTCACCATGTTGGCCAGGTGGGTCTTGAACTCCTGAGCTCAGGCAATCTGCCCACCTCCACCTCCCAAAGTGCTAGGATTACGGGCTTGAGCCACCATGCCCAGCTATTTATTTATTTTTGTGGAGACAGGGTCTCACCATTTTGCCTAGGCTCATCTTAAACGGCTCAAGCAATCTCCCACCTTGGCATCCCAAAGTGCTGAGATTACAGGCATGTCCCACCACGCCGGCCTCTCTTTACCTTTCTAATGTGGCTAGCAGAAAGTTTAAAATTACATGTGTGGGTCAGATGACATTTCTCTTGGGCAGCACTTCCCTGGACAGGCAGTGTATCCCAGAAAGGCAGACCTGGGCTAGCCACAGAATCTTCAACCCCATCCCCAAGACTTGAGGCTGACAAGAAGTAAAACAAAGTGAAGGTGGAGGAGATGAAAAATGGGATGCAAAGAAACAGATGTGATATAGTCCATCTTTCTCTCTCTTTTTTAAAATATAGACTGGGTCTCACTGTGTTGCCCAGGCTGGTCTCAAACTCCTGACCTCAAGCAATCCCCCCAACCTCAGCCTCCCAAAGCACTGGGATTACAGGTGCAAACCACCATGCCTGGCCATCTTTTTTTATTTTTTAATTGTGATAAGAACACTAGGGGCCAGGTGCAATGGCTCACACCTGTAATTTCAGCACTTTGGGAGGCCAAGGCAGAAGATCGCATGAGGCCAGGAGCTCAAGACTAGCCTGGGCAGCATAGCAAGACCCCCATCTCTTAAAAAAAAAAAAAAAGAAAAAAGAACACAACATGAGATCTCCTCTCTTAACAGATTTTTTAAGTGTCCAATACATTCCTGCTGACTATAGGTAAATGTCATACGGCAGATTTCTAGAGCTTATTCATCTTGCTTGACTGGAGCTTTCTGCCCATTGATTAGTAACTCCCCATTTTGCCCTCCCCCAGTCCCTAGCAACCACCATTCCACTCTTTGATTCCGTGCATTTGACTATTTTAAATCCCTCCTATAAGTGGAATCATGCTCGGTACTCTGACGCCCTTTCCCGCTCACTCCTTCCCCACCCCGTCCTCTAGGCAACGCAACATGAGTCACCTACTCATTGCCTTAGGGAGAAAGTTGTCACCATAAAACCAGAGAACAATAGAAACAAATGCTTAGTTTTTAAAATCAAAAGTCAAAGACAAAGTCATAATCCAGACTGGGTAAAACCCCCTTGATACATCAGTGTTGTGTGGGGAAAAATAAATTTAACAAAAACCCACAGGCTTTATCCGTTTCCAATATCAAGAAGGGTCCCCAGGGCAGAAACAGAGTTGGACTGGGAACCAAGTTGAGTGCTTGGTGAAAATCAAGCCGCCATGTACCATGCCCCCCTCACCTGTGACACCATCAGAAGGTCACATAGGCTGGGAGATAAGAGCCTAGCCTTGGCCAGGCACAGTGGCTCACTCCTGAAATCCTAGCATTTTGGGAAGCTGGGGTAAAAGGATTGCTTAAGTCCAGGAGACCAACCTGGGCTACATAATGAGACCCCTTCTCTACTAAAAATAGAAAAATTAGCTGGGCATGGTGGTGGGTGCCTGTAATCCCTACTCAGGAGCTGAGGCACCAGAATCCTTTGAACCTGGGAGGCAGAGGTTGCAATGAGCCACGATCACACCACTGCACTCTAACCTGGGTGACAGAGTGAGAATCTGTCTCAAAAAAAAAAAAATTAGCTGGTCATAGTGGTGCATTTTTGTAGTTTCAGCTGCTTGGGAGGCTGAGGTGGGAGGATTGCTTGAGCTGGAGAGGCAGAGGCTGCAGTGACCCGAGATTGCATCACTGCACTCCAGCCTGGGCAACAGAGAAGGAAAGAGAGAAAGAAAGGGAGAGAGAAAAAAGGAGAGAAGGTGGGGGGAGGGAGGGAGGGAGAGAGAGAGAGAGAGAGAGAGAGAGCCCAGCCTTGGAGCCAGACTCCCTCCGTTCAAATCCTCGCTCTGCCACTTACCAGCTGCATGACCTTATGAAGCACCTTCGTTGTCTGGGGTAAATGCCTGAGGTTCGTCGTCTTACGCCAAGGAAATCGAGGACGAGGACACGCAAGAAGTGAGTTTAAGAGAAGAGGTTTAACAGAGAGAAAGGGAAAAGCTCTCTCTTCTGCGGAGAGAGGGGACACCTAAGTGGGTCTTTGGGTTTTGCGGTGAAATGCATGTGCGGGGAGGGGAGGGTTTATAGACTGGCTTGAGGAGGTGTTGTCTAATTTACATAGGGCCCAAAGATTGGTGGACTAGGTGTGATGTTTACAAAGCGCGCAAAGAAGCTGGCCACCCCACCCTAATCTTCTATTATGCAAATGGCTTCTCTACCTGGCCGGTGTGATGTTGTCGGTTCCTTACTGTACACCTAGTTGACAAAGAAAAGGGAAGATGGAGCCGCCATGTTGAACATGCCTGGCCGCCACGTAGCCTTTTCCTATTGGCACAGCTGCTGCATTCACCCATGCAAGCTTCCAGCTTGCTTATCTATGTCTGCAGCTCGATTTTACAGGCTGCTCTTTGTTAGAAAATAAATGATTTAGGGACTGCTTTTTGTTAAAAGGGAAACAGCCGAGGACTTCCTTACCCTCACTATCTGCCTAAATAATTTTTTAGCGCCTGTACCACTTAGACCCACAGGGAGTGACGTTCTCCAAGCTCCTCAAAAGAAACTTAGAGGGTGGTGGTTAAAGTTGAGTCTTCGCTTCACTCTTACTTGGGGTCTATGTCCCACCATCTGAAAGACAATTCAGGGAGCTTTGTTAAGTTGTTATCTTTAGTTTCTGTAGGGTAAGCAAATATCTCCTAACTCTTAACTTCCTTGGCTATTGTTTCAGGATGATTGCCTTTCTTGTTTAAGAAGTTACTTATTTAGGGCCGGGTGCATTGGCTCAGGCCTGTAATCCCAGCACTTTGAGAGGCCGAAGTGGGCAGATCAAGAGGCCAAGAGATCGAGACCATCCTGGCCAACATAGTGAACCCTATCTCTACTAAAAATACAAAAATTAGCTGGAGGTGGTGGCACACGCCTGTAGTCCCAGCTACTCGGGAGGCTGAGGCAGGAGATTGGCTTGAACCCAGGAGTCAGAGGTTGCAGTGAGCCAAGATCACGCCACTGCACTCCAGCCTGGCAACAGAGTAAAACTCCACCTCAAAAATAAAAAAAAAAGAAAGAAAGAGAGAGAGAGAAAAAAAAAGTAAGTTACTTATTTAGTTCTCAGGGCCAGCTAGGTGCCTGGAATTTCCCTTGAAGGAACTCAGGATTTTCCTTTACTTCCATTCTTAGGCTTCACAGGCCCTTACAAAAGGGGCTCCTCACTCTGTCTCAGTTTCACATCATGCAGTAGGTCAGATGGGCCTCAAGAAATGATCGGGGCATACACATGGGCATGGCTTCTCTGGGATTTTTGTTTTTACTTTTTTATTTTTTGAGACAGGGTCTCACTCTGTCACCCAGGCTGGAGTGCAGTGGTGCAACCTAAGCTCACTGCAGCCTGGAGCTCCTGCACTCAAGTGATCCTCCTGCCTCAGCCTCCCAAGTAGCTAGGACTAGAGCCATGCACCACCATGCCTGGATAATTTTTTCATTTTTTGTAGAGATGCCCAGGCTGCTCTTGAACTCAAGCGATCTCCCACCTTGGCCTCCCAAAGCACTGGGATTACAGGGGTGAGCCACCACACCTGGCCCTGATTAGACTTTCTAGCCCTGCTAGAAAGCACTGCACTTCCCTTAATAGAGTAGCCCAGGCCTGGCTCCTTGGTGGCAGCTGCACCACTCCATGTGTACACCATGCAACTGTACTCCATTGCATGCTTCAGACTGTACTCTGTGAGCACCATTGACCTGAACTGCAACTGGAATAGTGCTCTCTAGAGTTATGCAGTGCGGCAGTCCTGTGTTCCTTGGGGAACCTCGAGCCTCCTGAATCAATGCTCACTGCCTTTCTCTGCCATCAGCATTTGTTGTTCAGTGACCCAAGTGGTATACTGCAGTGGTTCTGAAACGTTGGTATGCATTGGAATCACGACAGACTGTGAGGCACCATCCCCGGAGTTTCTGATTCAGTAGGGTCTGGAGGAAGGCCCAAGACTTTGCATTCCTACCACATTCCCAGGGGAGGCTGATGTTGCTGGCCCAGGAGGCACCCACTGGTGTAGTGGGTGCTGTTGGTGCCTCACAGGGACCCTCTTCCCAGCCAGTGCATCCATCCCCAGATGCCCAGAGCACTGGCTGCTAATAGCTCACAGCTGTTTCCTCTCTAGAGCACTGCGTGGTATGGGTTGAATTAATTGTATGCTCCTAAAATTCCAGTGTTAAAGTCCTAACCCTCAATATCTTAGAATGTGACCTTATTTGGAAAGAGGGCCTTTAAAGAGATAATTAACTTAAATTATATCATTAGGTCTTTAGGGCCCTGATCCAATATAACCACGGATATAGTTTGGATATTTGTCTCCTCCAAATCTCATGTTGAAATGTGATCCCCAGTGTTGGAGGTGGGGCCTAGTGGAAGGTATTTGAGTCATGGGGGTGGATCCCTCACGAATGACCTGGTGCCATCCTCCCAGTAATAAGTTGAGAAGTGATTCTTACAAAGAGCCCAGCACCTCCCTCCCTCTCTTGCTTCTTCTCTCACCATGTAATCTCCGCACATACCAGCTCCCCCTTGGCCTTCTGCCATGAATAGAAGCATCCTGAGCTCTCAGCAGAAGCAGATGCTAATGCCATGCTCCCTCTACAGCCTGCAGAACTGTGAACCAAATTAATCTCTTGTCTTCATAAATTACCCAGCCTTGGGTATTCCTTTATAGTAATGCAAACAGACTAGGACCACCACTGTCCTTATAAAAAGGGGATATTTGGACACAGACAGACAGATACACACACACACACACACACACACACACACACACACACTGCTAGGTAAAAATGAAGGTAGAGGGCCAGGCGCAGTGGCTCACACCTGTAATCCCAGCACTTTGGGAGGCTGAGGTGGGTGGATTACTTGAGCTCAGGAGTTTGAGACCAGCCTGGGCAACATAGTGAAACCCTATCTCTACCAAAAACACAAAAATCTAGCTGGGCATGGTGGCACGTGCCTGTAGTCCCAGCTACTCGGGAGGCTGAGGCAGGAGGATCACTTGAGCCTGGGAGGCAGAGGTTGCAGTGAGCCATGATTGCGCCAGTGCACTCCAACCTGGGTGACAGAACAAGACCCTGCCTCAAAAAAGAAGACAGATTGAAGTGGTGCTTCTACAAGCCAAGCGAAACCAAAGATTGCCAGCAGACCACCAGAGGCTGAGGGAAAGGCATGGAACAGACTCTCTCTCATGGCCCTCAGAAAGAACCAACCCTGCTGGCACCTTGAACTTGGACTTCCAGCCTCCAGAACTATTAGAGAATAAATGTCTGTGGTTTAAGCCATCCAGGTGGTGGTACTTTGTTTCAGCAGCCTTCCAAACTAATGCACAGCCCTTGGGCAGAAAGGAACCACTAGATGATGGCCCCCACACCTCCTGGGATCAGACCTCGGACGATAACCCACGGGAATGGGGCCAGCCCCTTGGCCTTAAGTGGGGACCAGCTCTGTGTTGTCATTTTGCTTCCTGTGGCATTAGTGAGCTTTCTGTACTGTTTTATCCTGCTTCCTCACTCATCTCCTCCTGAGAATTCTTGGTTTCCATCTTAGGATCTCCTGCTAGGGAACCCAACTCAAGTCAAAGGATGAGAATTTGCATTCCCTATTACCCCATAGGCAAGAAATGATTACTTTCTCTCCTCCCAATCTCCACCTCACCATCAAAGAAAGATGGGCGGCAGCCTAAACCTTGTGGGTATTTTTTGTTTTGTTTTTGTTTTCTGTTTGCTTGATTTCGGGGTGGTTTTGTTTTGTTTTGTTTTGTTTTGTTTGAGACAGCCTGGCTTTTTTACCCAGGCTGGAGTGCAGTGGCTTGACCTCGGCTCACTGCATTCTCTGCCTCCTGGGTTCAAGTGATTCTTTTGCCTCAGCCTCCCCAGCAGCTGAGACTACAAGCGTACACCACCGTGCCCAGCTAATTTTTCTATTTTTAGTAGAGACAGGGTTTTACCATGTTGCCCAGGCTGGTGTTTTTTGTTTATTAAGAGATGGGGTCACCCTATGTTGCCCAGACTGGACTCTACCTCCCGGGCTCAAGCAATCCTCCCGACTCAGCCTCCTGATGGCTGAGACTACAGGCGCCCACCACCATGCCTGGTCTGTGTTGGCTATGGTCTGTGTTGAAGCCTCCCTTACTTTGAGTGAAAAAGAACCTGCTCCTAGGCCTATCTTTGGGATAAGAAATTGTACTCGGCTCACCAAGGCCAGGGTGGTGGAATTACGGAACAGAAGCGCCCTCAGCTGGCAAGCTGGAATTAGACACACCCAACTCAATTTCTCCTGTGGAGAAGGAACAGCGAGGGAACACCAGCCCTCTACAGCCTTCCTTCCTCCACACACGCACTGCTACCCATGCTTTCAGAAATACTAAGAATTAGCCGAGCGTGATGGTGCATGCCTGTCGTCCTAGCTACTCCAGAGGCTGAGGCGGGGGGATCTCTGCATCTGAGAGTTTGAGGATGCAATGAGCTATGATCATGCCACTGCACTCCAGCCTGGGCAACAAAGCAGGACCTGGTAATACGGTTTGGGTCTGTGTTCCCACCCGTATCTCATGTCGAATTGTAACCCCCAATGTTGGAGGTGGGGCCTGGTGGGAGGTGATTGGATCATGGGAGGGGATTTCCTCTTGGGTGCCGCTCTCATGATAGTGACTTACCACTAGAGCTGCTCATTTAAAATTGTGTAGCACCTCTTCCCCTGTTTCCTCCTGCTCCAACCATATAAGAGGAAACTGCTTCCCCTTCGCCTTCTGCCATGATTGTAAGTTTCCTGAAGCCTCCCCAGCCATGCTTCCTGTACAGCCTGCAGAACCATGAGCCAATGAAACCTTTTTTCTTTATGAATTACCCAGTCTCAGTTATTTCTTTATAGCAGTGTGAGAACGGACTGATACACCTGATCTCTAAATTAAAAAAAAAAAAAGTTAAATACTAAGAAGTGATTTGCAGAGCTTGTAGGGGTAAAGCTGGGTCTAGAGAGGGCTCAAAAGTACTGCTTCCCCATATCCATCAGTTCAAAGAGTGCCTGGCCTCGATCATAGACTAGGGCAGAGCTGGCCTCCAGCATCTGTCCAAGAATGTGACCCAGACCTCCTGCCCCAGAACCTCCTAAGGGTGAGAACAGGCCTTTGGGACTCTGCCTCCCTCACCCTCACCACCATGACCCGGACCCTGTGTTTCTTGTTTCATTCCTTACTAGTCCAGATAGTCCAGGGTAGGAAGGCTTGGAGGGACAGAGTGTGGGATAGATGTGCACACACTGCAGCTCTGTGTCTGTGTGTGCATGCAGGGCCATGTGTGTGGGAAAGATGCAAGAAACGTCTCCCTAGGAGGGGAATACCTGCACACTGGTTGAGAACATGTTATTGTGAAAAGGTACCTTGGAAAGCGCTGTATCCATCAGCTTCATTGAGCAGATAAGGAAAATGAGGCCCAGAGAGAATAGACCTGCCCGAGGTTGGTCATGCTGGAGCTTACCCCAAGAAAAGAGAAGTAAGCGTGATGTGTATATTGGGTTGTGCACATGTGTGCTTGCCAAAAAAAAAAAGGTTTAAACACACACACACACCTCCTCCCCCACTTCTTCCTGCTACAACCATATAAGAGGAAACTGGAGTTTTTGTTTTGTTTTGTTTTGTGTTGTTGTTGTTGTTGTTTTGAGTCAGGGTCTCCTCTGCCACCCAGGTTGGAATGCAGTGGTACCACCTTGGCTCACTGCAGCCTCAACCTCTTGGGCTCAAGCCATCCTCCCACCTTAGCCTCTCAAGTAGCTGGGACTACAGGTGTGCACCACCATGCCTGGATAATTTTTTATTTTTTTACTTTTTGTAGAGATGGTGTCCCACTATGTTTTCCAGGCTGGTCTCGAACTCCTGGACTCAAGTGATCCATCCTCCTCAGCCTCCCAAAGTGATGGGATTACAGGCATGACCCACCATACTCAGCCCCAGGAGTCTTGATTTATGCCCCTGAAATGGTTTGGGTCCATGTCCCCACCCAAATCTCATGCCAAATCGTAATCCCCAATGTTGGAGGCCGGGCCTGGTGGGAGGTGATTGGATCATGGGGGTGGATTTCCCCCTTGGTGCTGCTCGTGAGTGCTCATGAGATCTGGTTGTTTATTTTGGTTTTGTTTTTTGTTTTGTTTTGTTGAGACGGAGTCTTGCTCTGTCGCCCAGGCTAGAGTGCAGTGGCATGATCTCAGCTCACTGCAACCTCTGCCTCCTGGGTTCAAGCGATTCTCTTGCCTCAGCCTCCTGAGTAGCAGGGATTACAGGCATCCACCACTACATCCAGCTAATTTTTGTGTGTGTCTGTATTTTTGTAGAGACAACATTTCACCATGTTGGCCAGGCTGGTCTTGAACTCCTGACTTCAGGTGATCCGCCTGCCTTGGCCTCCCAAAGTGCTGGGATTATAGGCATGAGCCACCGCACCCAGCATGAAATCTGGTTGTTTAAAGTGTATCACCTCCCACCTCTCTCTCCTCCTCCTACACCAGCCATGTAAGATGTGCCTGCTTCCCCTTCTTCCATGACTGTAAGTTTCCTGAGGCCTCCCCAGCCATGCTTCTTGTAGAGCCTGCAGAACCATGAGACAATTAAAACTCTTTTCTTTATAAATTACTCAGTTTCAGTTTTTTTTTTAATGGCAGTGTGATAATGGACTAATACAGCACCTGATCCTCAGTCTGTCCAAGAATGTGACCCAGACCTCCCAGGCTGCAGTGCAGTGGCTTGATCTCGGCTCACTGCAACCTCTGCCTCCTGGGTTCAAGTGATTCTTTTGCCTCAGCCTCCCCAGCAGCTGAGACTACAAGCGTACACCACTGTGCCCAGCTAATTTTTGTATTTTTAGTAGAGACAGGGTTTTACCATGTTGCCCAGGCTGGTGTTTTTTGTTTATTAAGAGATGGGGTCTCCCTATATTACCCAGACTGAACTCAACCTCCTGGGCTCAAGCAATCCAGAAGAGCAAAAGAGAAGAGCATGGCATGGCCACAGCGAGTTCCACTTCTTTTTTTTTCTGAGATGGAGTCTCACTCTGTCACCCAGGCTGGAGTGCAGTGGCGCAACCTCGGCTCACTGCAAACTCTGCCTCCCAGGTTCATGCCATTCTCCTGCCTCAGCCTCCCAAGTAGCTGGGACTATAGGCACCCATCACCACGCCCAGCTAATTTTTTTTATTTTCAGTAGAGATGGGATTTCACCACGTTGGCCAGGATGGTCTCAATCTCCTGACCTTGTGTTCCGCCCGCCTCGGCCTCCCAAAGAGCTGGGATTACAGGCGTGAGCCACTGCACCTGGCCCAGCGAGTTCCACTTCTAAGTGGGCAAGGATCAAATACACAGAAAACGCACATGGATGGTGGGGCCAGCCAAGGGTGGGACTGTTGAGGCTGGAACTCCATAATGGCCAGCTTGTCTCATGCTGGACTTGAAGTTCTTGAGAGCAGGCTCCTACTTTTTTTTTTTTTTTTTTTTTTGAGACGGAGTTTAGCTCTGTCACCCAGGCTAGAGTACAGTGGTGCAATCTCAGCTTACTGCAACCTCCACCTCCCAGGTTCAAGTGAATCTCCTACCTCAGCCTCCCAAGTAGCTGGGATTACAGGCATGCACCAGCATGCCCAGCTAATTTTTGTATTTTTAGTAGAGACGGGGTTTTGCCATGTTGGCCAGGCTGGTCTGGAACTCCTGACCTCAAATGATCAGCCTGCTTCAGCCTCCCAAACTGCTGGGATAACAGGTGTGAGTCACCATGCCCAGCCTCTAATGCACAAGTGTTCAGCAATGAACGCATGCATCCATGAATGAATGGCTGCTTGACAGTCATTAGCAAATGATTGAAGTTCTGCACTTTCAATGGGAATATAGACTTACACTTTAAGGGACATTCAGTGGGAAGCATCAGGCAGCCATCAGCATTTATTTCTTAAGCATCTAACATATGCCAGGCTGTTCTGGACATTAGAAATTCCTTCCTTCCTTCCTTCCCTCCTTCCCTCCCTCCCTCCCTCCCTCCCTCCTTTCTTTCCTTCCTTCCTTCCTTCCTTCCTTCTTTCTTTTTCTTTCCAGACAGAGTCTCCCAGGCTGGAGTGCAGCGATACAATCATAACTTACTGCAGGCTTAAACTCCTGGGCTCAGTCAGCCTCCTGCCTCAGCCTCCTGAGTAGCTGGGACTACACATGCATGCCACCTCATATGGCTAATTTTTTAATTTTTGCAGATACAGGGCTTCACTATGTTGCCCAGGCTGGTCTCGAACTCCTGGGCTCAAGTGATCCTCCACCTCAGCCTCCCAAAGTGATAGGATGACAGGCGTGAGCCACTATGCCTGGCCAAGAAGGAAACTTTCCTCCAGGAACTCACATTCCAGAGGAGACAGAAGAGGAGTCAGAGAGATTGGAGAGTGGCCTGTGAGAAAAATTCTACATTTTACAGTAGAAGAAACTGAGGCTCAGCAAAGTACATACTTACCCAGGCCACACGGCTGGCAAACAGCAGTGCCAAGATTTGAACCCATGTCTGTGTGACCCCCAAAGAGCCACAGACAGAGATAAATGAAGGAGGGAGGTGGAGAGTTTTCTCCCTGGTTCAACGAACCCAAAAGATGTGTCTCAAAGACCAAAAACATCCGCACCTGGGGGCCGGGCACGGTGGCTCACACCTGTAATCTCAGCACTTTGGGAGGCCGAGGCAGGCAGATCACCTGAGGGCAGGACTTCAAGACCAGTGTGTCCAACGTGGCAAAATCTTGTCTCTACTAAAAACACAAAAATTAGCCGGGCATGGTTGCACCTACCTACAGTCCTAGCTACTAAGGAGGCTGAGGCAGGAGAATCACCTGAACCCAGGAGGTGGAGGTTACAGTGAGTCAAGAGCACCCCACTGCACTCCAGCCTGGGCAACAGAGCAAGACTCCATCTCAAAACAACAAACAACAACAACAAAAATATCTGCACCTGGGAAATGCTCAAAGCCTTTTGTATTTCATAGATCCCAGGCCTGAAATATATCAGCTGGTTCCTAATGGCAGTCAGGCTCTTGCCAATCTCAGCATCACACTGTGATTAAGAGCCCAGTGCTACATCTCCGTGCCGGCTTTTCATCTGTAACATGAAACTATACCTACCCCATAGAGTGTTACAATCATGAAATCAGTTAATAAGTGTAAAATTATTTAAGTTCCCAATACATCGTCAATACTCGGAAATTGTTATTATTACCTCCAGCTTTCGCTTTCTTTTGTGTCCTTTGTTCCCTGATGATTTCTCAGAAGTAACTCAATAAATTTGCCCTCCATACAAATCTCCATTCTCTTAGTCTAGTGATAAAATCCGAGGGTTGGTTGAGAAGGACAGAGAGCAACCTTGGAAAATGTGTTTGTATGACCAGCGCGGTTTCACAGGTTAAGTCATCTTCCCCTCCCGACACTTTTTTCAGGCTGGGTCTCGCTCTGTTTCCCAGGCTGGAGTGAAACAGCACAATCATAGCTCACTGCAGCCAGCCTAAACCTCCAGGGCTCAAGCAATCCTCCCAGCTTAGCCTCCCAAATAGCTGGGACAATAGGCCCTCGTCACAACTGCTGGCTAATTTTTTCGTATTTTGGAGCTCTCACTTTGTTGCTCAGGCTGGTCTGGAACTCCTGGGCTCCAGTGATCTTCCCGCCTCAGCTTCCCAAAGTGCAGAGATTACAGGCGTGAGCCACCGCGCCCTGCCTGGACACTTTAGAAATGGTGTTTTGGGCTGGGTTTAGGAGCTTTGAACTTTGGGGTTAGCCTGACCTCTAGTGGGCAAACAGAAAACAGTACAAAGCTGGCGGGAGATGCTCAAATGTGGCAAAGCGAAGTCCCCGCCCTGGCAGGACGCTTTATTGAGTAGCTGTTATTGACAGCTTACTAGATGTTGAATTTAAGCACCTCATTGAAGTCCACACAGATTGTAAGTGGCAGGGTTGGGGTCTCCCAAGCCTGTCTGGCCTCAGAGCCTTCTTGTTTATCCACAAGGCACAGCGCCTGGCTGGAGAAAACCATCACGTTGCATCCAGACAGGTGACCCAGTGGATAAAGCCCTTCCCTTACATCATTGAAACAACACACACATCCTGTGACAAAGGTTATTACACCCACTTCTTACACCTAGAAGCTGCAGTGCTCAACAGCCTAGCCCAAAGTCATACTCCGTCCTTCATTCAATGCTAATTTATCACTCAGTCTTCAGCATAGTGCTGGACACTGGAAATAAATGGAAAGCAAAACACACAAGATCCCTACCCTGCCCGCAAAAGGCTTGGAGATTAATCAGTTGCTACCAGAACTGAGGTCCCCGTTGCCCAGGCAAATGATCTTTTTGCTATGACACTAGGAATGCCAGCTGATTTTCTGGGTGGCTAGTTTTTGGTTTATTTGCTTGTTGTTGTTTTTTTGTTTGTGTTTTTGGTTTTTTTGAGACAGACTCTTGCTGTGTCACCCAAGCTGGAGTGCTGTGGTGTGATCTCAGCTCACTGCAACCTCTGTCTCCTGGGTTCAAGCGATTCTCGTGCCTCAGCCTCCCAAGTAGCTGAGACTACAGGCACCCACCACCATGCCTGGCTAATTTTTATTAGACGGGATTTCACCATGTTGGCCAGGCTGGTCTCAATCTCCTGACCTCAAGTGATCCACCTGCCTCAGGTGTCCCAAAGTACTGGGATTACAGTTGTGAGCCACTGCACCTGGCCTGGTCTTCTTACCTGGACTAGAAATTCAGCAAAGATGGGGATACTAGGGCTTAATTTTCTTTTACTCTATCCACAGATCCAGAGCCTGAGTCCAGTTCTGCCTGACTCCAAATTTCACCTTTTTTTCCCTTTTCTTTTCTTTTTTTTTTTTTTTTAATGAGACAAGGTCTTGCTCTGTCACCCAAGCTGGAGTGCAGTGGCACGATTATGACTCACTGCAGCCTCAATCTCCCAGGCTCAAGCAATCCACCCACCTCAGCCTTCCAAGAAGTTGAGACTATAGGCGCACACCACGCCTGGCTAATTTTTTTTATTTTTCATTTTTTAAAAATGTTTTGTAAAGATGGGGTTTCACTGTGTTGCCCAGGCTGATCTTGAACTCCTGGGCTCAAACAACCCTCCCATCTTGGCCTTCCAAAGTGCTAGGATCACAGGCATGAGTCACTGAGCCCTCTTTTCTTTTCCCTTAATTTTTATCTTAAGGACGGGATCTTGCTCTGTTGCCGAGACTAGAGTGCAGTGGCACAATCATAGCTCACTGCAGCCTCAGACTCTTGGCCTCAACCAATCCTCCTGTCTCAGCCTCTCACGTAGCTGGAACTATAGGCACAAATCACCACGCAATCTCACACTTTTAACCACTGCACTATAATACTTTGTCCCTGACTTCTGGGCACTGTTGTTTGATCTACAAAGTTCCATGTGGTTCCATGTACTTACATATGCGTTGTTGGTCTGCGAGTTGGTTTCCTGAGATAATTTTTTTTTTTTTAGACGAAGTCACTCTGTCACCCAGGCTGTAGTGCAGTGGCACGATCTCAGTTCACTGCAACCTCCACCTCCCGGGTTCAAGGGATTCTCCTGCCTCAGCCTCCTGAGTAGCTGGGACTACAGCAATGTGCCGCCCCACCCAGCTACATTTTGTAAAGTTAGTGGAGACGATGTTTCACTATGTTGGTCAGGCTGCTCTTGAACTCCTGACCTCAGGTGATCTGCCCACCTCGGCTTCCCAAAGTGCTGGGATTACAGGCGTGAGCCCCCTCCCACCTGGCCCCTGAGATAAGGATTAAAGTGCAAATCATTTATCTGAGAATTGACCCCAGGAAGCACTGTGGGGGAATGGGGAAGTATATTAGTCTGCTAAAGCTGCCAAAACAAAATGCCATAGACTGGGTGGCTTAAACAACAGGAATATACTTTCTCACAGTTCTGGAGGCTGGAAGTTCAAGATCAAAGTGCTGGCAGGGTTGGTTTCCTCAGAGGCCTCTCTCCTTGGCTGCAGGTGGCTGACCTCCTGCTGCCTTTTCACATGGTTGTCTGTCTGTGCAGCAGATGCCTGGTGTCTCTCGGTGTCCTAATCTCCTCTGTTAAGTACAACCGTCGGATTGGATTAGGGCCCACCCTTACAGCCTCATTTTAGCTTATTAACCTCTTGAAAAGCCCTATTTCCAAATGCAGTCACGTTCTGAAGCACTGGGGGTTGAGACTTCAACATGTGAATTGGGAGGGGAGCACACAGTTCAGTCCCTAACAGGAAGTAAGACGGGAGGGAAAGACACAATGAAAGGGCATTTGACTAAGTAGGTTACTGCTGTGGGGAACCGGGGCTGATCCCACTGGGTACATCTGAGACAGTTTAGGACACTCTCTCATGCCTGTAATCCCAGGACTTTGGGAGGCCGAGGCGGGCGGATCACAAGGTCAGGAGTTTGAGACCAGCCTGGTCAACATAGTGAAACCCCATCTCTACTAAAAATACGAAAATTTAGCCAGGCGTGGTGGCGTGTGCCTGTAGTCCCAGCTACTCAGGAGGCTGAGGCAGGAGACTCACTTGAACCTGGGAGACAGAGGTTGCAGTGAGCAGAGATTGCACCATTGCACTCCAGCCAGGGCAACAGTGCGGGACTCTGTCTCAAGAAAAAAAAAAAAAAACACTCTCAAGCTAAGTGTGATGGCTCACGCTTGTAATCCCAGCACTTGGGGAAGCCTAAACGGGCGGATCCCTTGAGTCCAGGAGTTCAAGTCTAGCTTGGGCAACATAGAGAGCCCTCATCTCTACCAAAAGAAAATGAAGAAATAAGGCTAGTGCAGTGGCACTCACCTGTAGTCCCGTCTACTCTAGAGGCTGAGGTGGGAGGATCGCTTGAGCCCAGGAGGTCAAGATTGCAATGAGCTGTGATTGCACCACCGTACTCCAGCCTGGGCCACAGAGAAAGACCTTGTCTAAAAAATAAATAAATAAAAATAAAATAAACACTCTCAGGGTGATCCTTCCCTGCTGAGGAACAAGGAGTGGGGTGTTTATCTTTCATTGCCCATCTGTGTTGTCAATGGCTGCTTCCAGGACATTAGCTCCCCAGCACTCACAGTCTAAGAGAAAGTATTCGGGCTGACAGATGCAGCTGCTCACAGCAGGATGCAGTCAGCATGAAAAGGGACAGTGAGTGCGTGAGGATTTGGGTGGGGCACTGACTGTCTTGCTATGCCACCCCATAAACCCCCTAAGTCCATCAGATTCTTTTTTTTTGAAATAGGATCTTGCCCTATCACCCAGGCTGGAGTGCAGTGGCCCAATTGTAGCTCACTGCAACCTTGACCTCCTGGGCTCAAGTGATTCTCCCACCTCAGCTTCCCAAGTAGCTGAGACTACATTTGTGCACCACCATGCCTCACTAACTTATTTAAATTATTTTTTGTAGAGACAGGGCCTCACGATGTTGCCCAGGCTGGTCTTGAACTCCTGGCCTCAAGTGATCCTCCTGCCTTGGCCTCTCGAAGTGCTGGGATTACAGGCATATGCCACAATGCTCAGCCTACCTGATTCTTATGTTATGGTACCTGGCTCTGAGCCAACTCTAGTTTGTTTCAACAGCAGATCTTTAAGTGATTTTTCTACCAATTGTATGTGCCAACAAATTGCCAAGTCAAGTCAGAGCATTTCCATTACAGCCTGCTTGGTTTCCTGTTTTAGCTACTCTTTCCATCCCAGAGCGGGAGCAATTTCACTGTCTCACATTCCAGCTCAAGCTTATGAGTCAGGACTCTTTGGGCCCAGTGCAGTGGCTCACGCCTGTAATCCCAGCACTTTAGAAGGCTGAGGCAGGCAGTTCACCTGAGGTCAGGAGTTTGAGAACAGCCTGGCCAACACGGTGAAATCCCATCTCTACTAAAAATACAAAAATTAGCCAGGCATGGTGGCATGTTTCTGTGGTCCCAGCTATTCAGGAGGCTGAGGCAGGGGAATTGCTTGAACCCAGGAGGCAGAGGTTGAAGTGAGCTGAGATTGTGCCATTGCACTCCAACCTGGGTGACAGAGCAAAACTCCATCTCAGAAAAGAAGAAAGAAAGAAAGAGAGAGAGAGAGAAAGAGAGAGAGAAAAAAAGAAAGAAAGAAAGAAAGAAAGAAAGAAAGAAAGAAAGAAAGAAAGAAAGAAAGAAAGAAAGAGAAAGAAAGAAAGAAAGAAAGAAAGAAAGAAAGAGGGAAAGAAAAAGAAGGGAAGAAAGGGAAGGGAAGAAAGGGAAGGAAGGGAAGGAGAAAAAGACAAAGAAAAAGAAAATCAGGACTCCTTGGTTCCAAGTTGCAGAACCTCAGTACAAATTGGCTTAAAAATAGAGAGGGTGGGTTTATAGGCTCAAGTTACTGAATATGCCAGGCACTACTGGATTGGGTGTCCAAAAAAGTAGCTTTGGGAATGTGTCCTTTTAAACCCCTTAGTTCAGTTTTTCTGTGCTGGCTTCTATGGAAGGCAGGCTGTCGCTATGAAGTGGCACAGATGACCCCAAGCAGCCCCAGGTCTACATCCCATGGATACCTCTACCAGTTAAGATGCCTTTTGGAGACTCATAACCAAAAAGCTGACTCAACAAGACAGACAGCACCCAGAGACAGAGTCCAGAGGTGGGCTGAGCTTTCAGCTCAGTTGATTCATCTGCACCAAGATGAATCTTTATTCTGTCTCTTTACTCTGCCCATTCACAGCACTGGCTTCATCCTCGATCTGGCTTAAATGTATTAAAGCATCCTTTTCAGAAGCTCCTAGCAAGACTTTCCTTGCACCTCTTGGCCCAAATTGATTTTAACTTGTCCACCCTTGAACTAGTCACTGCCAAGAAAATGGATTATTATGATTAACTTAAGATAATTATCTGGGGGTAATGAATTTTAGAGAGTCGACCACTATGACCACCAAGAGATGTGTCTTTCTTAATATTTTCTTAATATTTTCTCTGGCTTACTATATTGTAAAAATATAGTATATGATATATTTACCATACAAAATACGTATTCATCAACTGCCTATGTTATTGATAAGATTTCCAGTCAACAGTGGGCTATTAGTATTAATAGTTAAGTTTTGGGGAAGTCATAAGATAACATTTGCATTTTCAACTGCATGGAGGGTTGGTGCCCCAAACCTTCATGTTGTCCAAGGGTCAACTGTATATAAATTATGTTTTGTTTATTTTTTTAGAAGACTACTCTTCTTCTTCTGGTTCACATTCTCTCATGACACGCTTGACTCTTATGGGTTCCAGCGGAGTCATGGGTCCATCCATGAACCATGGCAGTGACTCTGACTGGCCAGGATTGGGTCCTACTCCTAACCCTGGAACCAGGGGACTGTGCTCAGCACCGCTAAAGCTGCATGGACTGAGAGTCAGTGAGGAGTAGCTCTTCAAAGAAAAAAAAAAAGTTCTTAAAGCAGAAAAAAAATGAAAACAGGTGCTGCTCAAGGAAAAATAACAAGTGTCCACTATTATCCCACTCCATTTGAGAGACCAATAAAGACTTTAGATAGCTTTAGACAGGTGGAGATCAAGAGTTCTGAACCCAACAGTGTGAGGCTCTGCATCCAGGAATCCAGGCTTCTAGTCAACTCCTGACCTTAGACTTCAGATTTAATAGGTTGCTGCAAAAGTAGTTGCAGTTTTTGCCATTACTTTTAAAGTTGGACTTTTCTCTCCTCTCTCTGCCTAAATTCCAGGCTGGACCACCTGCATACACCTAGAATCTTGCCTAGTTTAATATTCCCTCTCTGTAACTCAGGGATCAGAATCTCACCCTTGGACCCCAGCCTGGATGCCTGGGGCCATATCACTTCTGATAACCTATTTACCCATCTACCTTCCTGCCAGGGTCTCCAAATATCACCTCCTGGATTCCCCAGTGACCTGCTCCACCTGCCTGAGTGACCTGGCAGAGATGGCCGCCTTTTGATGGGAAACAAGACATTAGTATGGTCTTGTTGGTAAAGACAAGATGTTGGTAAACAAGACATTTATAATAACTCAGACAATTCCTCCTTCCATTGGAAGATAGCCTGGCTCCATGGGGCTACTGGGACCTGACAAGTTATGTTTAGCACTACTGTGTTTTGTTTCCTGGTTCTCAAGTTGTGGCAGAGATTCTTCAGGTTCTTACCCAGCCCATTTCTTCTTCCTCCTGAGCACAAAACTGGACTATATTTCCCAGCCTCCCTTGCAGTTAGGAGTAGTCATGTGACTGAGTCTGGCCAATAAACTGAGCATAAGCAAGGCACCACTTCCAAGACTGGCCCAGTGAAACCTCCTACATGCTGTCTTCCATTGTTTTTCCCCATCTCCCAGTTGATTAGAAAAATTCAAGATCCTAAATGGGATCTGTACTAGTCAACTCAGGCCGCCATAACAAAACACCATCAACTAGGTGGCTTCAACAACAGAGATTTATTTTCTCACAGTCCTGGAAGTTGAAAGTATGAGATCAGGACACGGTGGCTCACGCCTATAATCTCAGCACTTTGGGAGGCTGAGGTGGGTGGATCACCTGAGGTCAGGATTTCGAGACCAGCCTGGCCAACATGGTGAGACCTTTTCTCTAATTAAAAACACAAAAATTAGTCTGCATGGTGATAGGTGCCTGTAATCCCAGCTACTCAGAAGACCGAAGCAGGAGAATCGCTTGAACCCAGGAGGCAGAGGCTGCAGTGAGCCAAGATGGCACCACTGCACTCCAGCCTGGGTGACAGAGTGAGATTCTGTCTCAAAAAAAGAAAGAAAGAAAGTATGAGATCAGGGAGTCAGCATGTCAGGTTCTGGGGAGGGCCCTCTTCCTGGCTGGCTGACAGCCACCTTCTCACTGTGTTCTCACATTGGCAGACAGAGAGAGAGCCCTGGTGCCTGCTCTAGCGTCTTTTCTTATGAGAACACTACTCCCATCATAAAGGCGCTACCATGGTGACTTCCTCTAAATCTAATTAGCTCCCAAAGGCCCCATCTCTAAATTCCATCACACTGGGGGTCAGGGCTTCAACATATGAATTGGGGCGAGGAGAGCACAATTCAGTTCATAGCAGTGGTCCCTGAATGACCTGCCTTCTATTACGTTGTAAGAAATACATTTTTATTGTGTAGAACACTGAGCTTTGGGGAGACCTCTCATTACAACAGCTCATGTTATTCACCTTAACAGATGCATCAGATCAATCCTAGCTCCTATTCCCTCACCTTAGTGAATAGAGCTAAGCCCACCAGACCAACAACTCCAAATGCACACATGTGTGTGTCTGTGTGTGTGTGTCTGTGTGTGTGTTTTCAGAGCCTCATGCTCTGCCAGCCAAGCTAGCTGGGTGCAAATTTGTGAAGAACATAAAATATAAGGTCTTACTGCATCTATTCTTGCCCTCTTCTCCAATCACTTCCCCACACAGAATCCCAAGTGGCCCTTTACAATGCAAATGTAATTATATCACTCCCCTAATCAAAATCTTCAGCATCTGCCTCTTGCTCTTTGGAAATCTTCACCAGGGCAAATCAACACAGCCCCTGAACTGAACAAGCAGCTGTTGATCTGGCAGATGAGTTCTATTCTTTTTTTAAATTCTTTTTTGAGACAAGGTCTGGCTTTGTCAGCAAGGCTGGAGTACAGTGGCATGATCACGACTCACTGCAGCCTCAACCTCCCAGGCTCAAGTGATCCTCCCACCTTTGCCTCCTGAGTAGCTGGGACTACAGGCACACACCACCACGTGTGGCTCATCTTTTTATTTTATTTTATTTTGTAGAGATGGGGTCTTGCCATGTTGCCCAGGCTGGTCTCACTCTCTTGCCCTCAAGCAATCTTCCCACCTCAGCCTCCAAAAGTGCTAGGATTATAGGCATGAGCCACTGTGCCCAGTCAGATGAGTTCTTTTCAATCCCCATCAGATAGGCGAGTCTCGAGCAGTTCAATTCACTTGGGACAGACAGTTGTACACATTTGAGGTCTAGCCCAGAGCTATAGTAACTCTCCTGCTGTCTGTCACAACATAGTCCCAAGGGGCCTTGATCTTCTGGGCCTCCCACAGAACATCCCTCAGGTCCACTATATTGATGACGCCATGTCAATCAGACCTGGTGAGCAGGAAGTGGAAGATATCTGAACATTCTGGTGTGCCACAGGATGGTAGATAAATCCTACAAAGATCCAGGAACCTGTCACATTGGTGAAGTTTTCCTTGCAGCCTAGTGGTCCGGGGCATAGAAAGACGTCTCCTCCAAGACAGAGGAAAGAATATTGGACCATGCACTTACTTCCTTGTTTTTTGTTGTTGTTGTTGTTTTTTTTTTTTTTGACAGAGTCTCAGCTCACTGCAACCTCCCCCGCCCCGGTTCAAGTGATTCCTCTGCCTCAGCCACCTGAGTAGCTGGGATAACAGGTGCGCACCAGTGCGCCCAGCTAATCTTGTATTTTTAGTAGAGACAGGGTTTCACCATGTTGGCCAGGCTGGTCTCACCTAACCTCAGGTGATCTGCCCACCTCGGCCTCCCAAAGTGCTGGGATTACAGGCGTGAGCCACCGTGCCTGGCCTGCACCATTCACTTACTATCACTAAGAAAAACCTAGCATTGGTCAGGCACGGTGGCTCACACCTGTAATCCCAGCACTTTGGGAGGCCAAGGCAGGTGAATCATGGGGTCAAGAGATCGAGACCAGCCTGGCCAACATGGTGAAACCCCGTCTCTATTAAAAATACAAAAATTAGCCGGGCATAGTGGCACATGCCTGTAGTCCCAGCTACTTGGGAGGCTGAGGCAGGAGAATTGCTTGAGCCAGGGAGGTGGAAGTTGCAGTGAGCCAAGATCCCTCCACTGAACTCCAGCCTGGTGACAGAACAAGACTCCGTCTTGGAAGAAGAAAAAAGAAAAAAAGAAAAACCTAGCATTAGCAAGGTCTTTGGTGTTTTAGAGACAGCTCATACCATCCTTTGGGCTCCTGCTTCTTGCTAACTCAGAAAAAAAAATATTAGTTTTGAAGTAGACGTAGAGTGAAATAGAGCTTTGTAGTAGGTTTCAGCTGCAATACAAATGGTTCTGCAACTTGGGCCATGCAGCATGGCAGGTCCCATGGCATAGAGCTATCTGGGGTGGAAAATGACACCATGTGGAATCTCTGGCAAGCCCCACTAGAGAGTTACAACAAATACCCATAGGGTTCTGGAGCAAGGCCATGCCATCTGCAACAGAGAACTCTTCAACATTGGAAAAAGCAGCTCCTGGCATGCTACTGGGCCCTAGTAGAGATGGAGTACTTAACCATGGGATGCCTATCGTGAGCCAGTAATTGTCAGACCCACCAAGTCTTTAGCTTGAAAAGTACAGCAGAAATCCGTAGTACAGTGGAAACAGCACCTTCAGGGTCAGTCCTGGGCAGGTCCAAAGTTCAATTAAGTTACAGAAAGATGTGACCCAGACCTACATGTTCCCTGCCTCATTGCTCTGATGCCTTCCTCAGCTCATGCTTACATCTTCATGAAGGGTTTCTTTTTTTTTTCTGAGACAGAGTCTCGCTCTATCGCCCAGGCTGGAGTGCAGTAGCGCGATCTCGGCTCACTGCAAGCTCCGCCTCCCGGGTTCATGCCATTCTCCTGCCTCAGCCTCCCGAGTAGCTGGGACTACAGGCACCCACCACTACTCCTGGCTAATTTTTTTTTTTTATTTTTAGTAGAGACGGGGTTTCACCATGTTAGCCAGGATGGTCTCGATCTCCTGACCTCGTGATCCACCCACCTTGGCCTCTCAAAGTGTTGGGATTACAGGTGTGGGCCACCGCGCCCGGCCAAGGGTTTCTTATGTACAGTTGATGGAGAAGGAGAGACCCCAAGCCAAGTTTATGCACGGGATGTCTCCTCTGTTGGTGAGAGCTGAAGATGTCCTGCTGCTACACTAGACTCCCAGGCAGGGGCAGCTTAGGAAGGCTGGACAAGCTTTGGATGGTATACCCGGCCATCGACTTTGTGAGAAGAGAGAAGTTGCCTGACATGAGCATATATGCAGACATCTTGGCAGTGGTGAATAGCTTAAATGGTTGGCAGGGAGCCTTGAAGGAGTGAGATTGGAAGACAGGAGAACCTGAAGCAGAAGTATGTAGATGGATTTGTGGGAGAGGTGCCAACTGTGTGGATCTTCAAGTCTCATGTCAATGCCCACCAGAGGGTATCTTCCAAAAGACAGCATTAAACAACTGGGCGGACAGGCTGACTGGTCCAGTGGAGGCCCGCCAGATTGTGTACCCAGCCGTAACTGTGTTGGCACAGTGGGTCCTTGAATAGACTAACCATGGTGGCACAGACGGAGGCTTGCTAAGAGCTCAATAACATGGGCTCCCTTTCACCAAGACTAATCTGCTGGCTGGGCGCAGTGGCTCATGCCTGTAATCCCAGCCCTTTGGGAGGCTGAGGAGGGCAGATTGCTTGAGCTCAGGAGCTCAAGACCAGCCCAGGTAACACAGCAAGATCCCGTCTCTAGTAAAAATAAAAATTAAAAAATCAGCTGGGCATGGTGACACACGCCTGTAGTCCCAGCTACTCAGGAGGCTGAAGTGGGAGGATCGCTTGAACCCAGGAAATCGAGGCTGTTGTAAGCTGTGATTGCACCACTGCACTACAGCCTGGATGACAGAATGAGACCCTGTTTCCAAAAAAAAAAAAAAAGGCCATATGTGGTGGCTCATGCCTGTAATCCCAGCACTTTAGGAGGCTGAGGCAGGCATATCACCTGAGGTCAGGAATTCGAGACCAGCCTGGCCAACATGGTGAAACCCAGTCTCTACTAAAAATACAAAAATTAGCTGGGTATGGTGGCGCACACCTGTAATCCCAGCTACTCAGGAGGCTGAGGCAGGAGAATCAGTTGAACCCGGGAGGTGGAGGTTGCAGTGAGCCGAGATCACACCACAGCACTTCAGCCTGGAAGACAAAGCAAGACTCCATCTAAAAAAAAAAATGGGGGCAACTTGGCCCCCCAAGGGACCATAGGCAATGTGTGGAGATATTTTTGGTTGTCATAATGGAGGAAGGGATGCTACTAGCATCTAGCATATAAAGACCCAAGCATGTAATTAAACATCTTACAACGCAAAGGACAGTCTCCCACAACAAAAGATTGTCCAGCCTCAAGGTTGAAGAACTATTAGACTAAAGCCTGTTGTGCCTTTTCTCTTTTTTCTTTCTTTTTTTTTTTTTTTGATGGAGTTTTGCTCTTGTCACCCAGGCTGGAATGCAATGGTGCGATCTCAGCTACTGCAACTTCTGCCTCCTGGGTTCAAGCGATTCTCCTGCCTCAGCCTCCTGAATAGCTGGGATTACAGGCGCCCACCACCACACCCAGCTAATTTTTTTGTATTTTTACTAGAGACAGGGTTTCACCATGTTGGTCAGGCTGATCTTGAACTCCTGACCTCAGGTGATCCACCAGCCTCAGTCTCCCAAAGTGCTGGGATTACAGGTGTGAGCTACCAGTCCCGGCTTTTTTCTTTTCTTTTCTTTTCTTTTTTTTTAAGACAGGGACTTGCTCTGTCACCCAGGCTGAAGTGCAGTGGTGTGATCATAGCTCACTGCAGCCTTGACCTCCTGGACTCAAGCAATCTTCCCACCTCAGCCTCCTGAGTAGCTGGGACTACAGGCACACGCCACCATCCCTGGCTAATTTTTTAATTTTTGTAGAGATGAGTCTCGCTATGTTGCTCAGGATAGTCTTGAACTCCTAGGCACAAGTGATCCTCCTGCTTCAGCCTCCCAATGTGCTGGGATTTCAGGCGTAAGCCACCCCACCTGGTCCTGTTGTGCTTCTCTGACGGCCAGTCCAGCCTTGTAATCATAACGGTGATATTGAAGGCAGATCTTCATCTTGTTCCCCGAGCGTGTGTCCATGCTGCGGGGATAAGAATGTGATTTATCTAAACTCTTGCCACACTAGGGAGTATTAATTTGTTTACCCTCTGCTGGAGGCCAGGTGCTGGTATCCAGTAGAGGTCCTCCCGCGGAAAAGAGCAGACCACGAAAACACAATCTCATGGGAGTCCACTAGGGGGCAGCCATCAACAGCATTCACTTGCTAAAGTCGCTTCAAATCAAATGAAACTAAAGCTGGAAATCCACGGGCACAGGGAAAACAGACCGTTATCTCACCCCTTATGCAAGAATGAACTCAAACTGGATTAAATATTTAAACATAAGATCTGAAACTGCAAAACCACTATAAGAAAATATAAGGGATCGAAAGGAACCAAATAGGCCCGGTGCTGTAATCCCAGCACTTTGGGAGGCCGAGGAGGGCGGATCACTTAAGGTCGGCAGTTCGAGGCCAGCCTGGCCAACGTGGTGAAACCTCTCTCTACTAAAAATGCAAAAATTAGCTGAACATGCCAAGGTGCATGCCCTTAGTCCCAGCTACTCAGGAGGCTGAGGTGGGAGGATCACTTGAACCCAGGAGGTCAAGGCTGCAGTAAGCCGAGATCACCCCACTGCACTCCAGCCTGGGCAATAGAGCCAGACCCTGTCTCAAAAAAATAAACAAAACATAATTTATATACAGTTGACCTTTGGACAACATGAAGGTTTGGGGCACCAACCCTCCATGCAGTTGAAAATGCAAATGTTATCTTCTGACTTCCCCAAAACTTAACTATTAATACTAATAGCCCACTGTTGACTGGAAATCTTATCAATAACATAGGCTGTTGATGAATACGTATTTTGTATGGTAAATATATCATATACTATATTTTTACAATATAGTAAGCCAGAGAAAATATTAAGAAAATCAAAAGGAAGAGAAAAATTATTTACTATTTGTTAAGTATAAGTAGATTATCATAAAGATCTCCATCCTTTCAAAAGTCTTTTAAAAAAAAGAAAAAAAATTGCCTCAGGTCTAGGAGTCTTGAAAAAGAATAATTTATTAGAAAAAAAAAGAACTTCATGCTGAGTAGACTGAAGAGGAGGAGGAAAAGGAGGAGTTAGTCTTAACTGTTTCAAGGGTATTTTATGGTAGTAAATGACAAAATAGGCTACCATCTACATATATTTTATGCATTCATGCCATACCTATTTTTTAAATTTTTTCGATATTTCTAGGCTATGCAGTTTTTCTGCAAATTTCTTTTTTCTTTTTTCTTTTTCTTTTTTTTTTTTTTTTTTGGAGGCAGGATCTCACTCTGTCACCCAGCCTGGAGTGCAGTGGTGTGATCTCGGCTCACTACAACCTTCACCTCCTGGGCTCAAGTGATCCTCCCACCTCAGCCTCCCAAGTAGCTGGGACTACAGGCACACACCACCATGCCCAGCTAATTCTTTAATTTTTTGTAAAGACAGGGTCTCAATTTGTTGCCCAGGCTGGTCTTGAACTCCCAGCCTCAAGCAATTCTCCCACCTTGGCCTCCCAAAGTGCTGGGATTACAGACATGAGATACCACACCTAGCCTAAGTTTTTTCAAATTATTGCAAATCTCCTAAACATGTTCCAATACATTTATTGAAAAAAATCCATGGACTCAAGCAGTTCAAACCCAGGTTGTTCAAGGGCCAACTGCAGATAGATAGATAGATAGATAGATAGATAGATAGATAGATAGATAGATAGATAGATAGATATAATTTTGGTAGCATATTATACATTGGTTTTTACTGTGCTTTTCACTTGTCTATATATATCTTGGACACCTTTCCACAACAGTAAATAGTATGCCATCTAATTCCTTTTTTTTTTTTTTGAGACAGAGTTTCACTCTTGTCGCCCAGGCTGGAGTGCAGTGGCGTGATCTTGCCTCACTGCAATCTCCACTTTCCGGGTTCCAGCGATTCTCCCACCTCAGCCTCTCGACTAGCTGGGATTACAGGCATGTGACATCACGCTTGGCTGATGTTTGTATTTTTAGTAGAGACAAGGTTTCGCCATGTTGGCCAGGCTGGTCTTAAACTCCTGACCTCAAGTGATCCACCTGCCTCAGCCCTCCCAAAGTGCTGGGATTACAGGCATGAGGCAGTGTGCCTGGCCCATATATAGAATTGGGGTCTCCCCTTCCCCAGATCTCTCTTTTCCAGGATTCCCCCTGCCTCGATCTCCAGACACTGTGTTTGTGCATACCCTGCCCTCTGGTTTTTCCACATAAAACCAGGTTTTTTTTGCAGGGTTTAAGCTACTCCCAGACCTTGGCACAGACTTGCCCTGCCCTCAAAAACGAGGCACTCACCCGGCTTGTCCCAAGTGGCAGCACCACTCTAGCACCTGCCTGCTTGTGCTCACTCCTCAGTGCTTTCAGGTTTTCACATTTTTTCCAGAGTTTACAGTTGTTATCTGCACAGGGTTGATCCAGGATGGGAATGAATTTTTGCCTTACTCTTTTTTTTTTGAAGAATGGGGTCTTGCTATGTTGCCCAAGCTGGTCTCCAACTCCTGGGCTCAAACAATCCTCCCACCTGGGCCTCCCAAAGCACTGGGATTACAGATGTGAGCCACCGCGCCCAGCTTGCCTCACTCTTTAACTGCCACATTTCACCTTCAGAAATGTCACAACCCAGCTGGGCGCGGTGGCTCACACCTGTAATCCCAGCTACTTGGGAGGCTGAGGCAGGAGAATTGTTTGAACCCAAAAAGTGGAGGTTGCAATGAGTTGAGATTGTGCCACTGCACTTCAGCCTAGGCGACAAGAGCAAAACTCCGTCAAAAAAAAAAAAAAAAAAAAAAAAAACGAAAGAAAGGAAAGAAGGAGGGAGGGAGGGAGGAAGGAAAGGAAGGAAGAAAGAGAAAGATCACAACTCTTCAACCCTCCTGTCTTCAGAGCAACAGGTGATATGGGCCATCAGATCCCAGATCATTTGAGCAATTTAAGATGGAGTGTGGTTTTGGTTTTTGTGTGTGTTGACAAATAAAACACTGTCAGCATGACCTTGGAAGGGCCGCTTCACCTCAGTTCTCATTTATAAAACTGAATGTCAATGAGTCTTTCCTTGCAGGCTTGCGCAGAAATTCAATGAGAAAGCACAGTGATGGTTGATATTTTTGTGGCACTTACAGTGTACAGGTACTGCTGCTCAGGTACTTTATTCCCTGCCACAGCCCATCAGTGAGGTCCTCTGATTATCGGCTCCATCTGATGGTGAGGACATGAAGGCACAGTGAGTTTACGTGATTTGCTCAGTATCCTTCATGGAGTACGTGGTGGAGCTGGGATTTGAACCAAGGCCATGTGGTGCCTGCATCCGTGCACCTAATCATGTGGAACCTATAATGTGGGGTTTGTTTTTGTTTTGTTTTGTTTTGAAGAGTCAGTGTCAGGCCAGGTGCAGTGGCTCATGCCTGTAATCCCAACACTTTGGAAGGCCAAGGAGGGCCAATAGCTCAAGCTCAGGAGTTCGAGACCGGCCTGGGCAACATAGTGGGACTCCCTCTCTACTAAAAATACAAAAATATAGCCGGGGGTGGTGGTGCACACCTGTGGCCTCAGCTACTTGGGAGGCTGAGGCAGGAGGATCACTTGAGCCCAAGAGGTGGAGGTTGTGGTAAGCTGAGATCACACCTTTGCACTCCAGTCTGGGTGACAGAGCAAGACCCTGTCTCAAAAAAAAAAAAAAAAAATTGCAAAGAGCCAGTGTCTCACTCGTTGACCAGACTAGAGTGCTGTGGTGCAATCATAGCTGATCCTCCCGCCTCAGCCTCCCAAGTAACTGAGACTACAGTCGTGAGCTACCACGGCCAGCCGAATGTGGTGCTTCTTCATCCTGGGTCTGCATCAGAATCACCTGGGCTTCCCTCAAAGACCTGCTGAATCAGAATCTCCAGCCTCTGTATTTGGAAAAATCTCCATGCCTTGGCATTGAATCAGTGCCGAAATATGAACATCCTTACCTCCTGGTCTCCCTTTTCCTGATTTACAGGGGAGGATTGCTGCTGCCAGCCTCTTATGGGTTCTCAACCAAATTGCAGGCCTAGATTATTAGGGTAACCTCTGACCCATTCCTGATAGATCTATGTCACCAGCCTGAGCAACAGGTGGAACAGGCTCCAGGAGCTTCGGCAGGAAACAGCTGCCCCTGCCCCTTGGATCATCCATACCTGCGTGGCTGAAGCTGTAACTCTGGTCATGTGGCCTCTGGCAAAGATGCTATGAGCCATGGTGTGTGTCACCCAATCTCTGCATTCTAAATAAACCACACCTGGCAACCCCATGCTCTCCTGAGCCCCTGCAAGTTCCTGGAACCTCCCAGGATGCTCTTGATGATAATTACAGTTCAGTTGTAAGTTGAAGGACTTAGGAACCCACGGTACCAACCATACTGAGAATCCTGAACATTAAAATAGGAATGTCTTCAGTTCTCATACCCTTCTAGAACATTCCCTTCTCAAATCTAAATTCATTCACGTGTCTTTTATGATCCTACACTATCTGACCTCTGCTCATCTGTCAGGCCCAAGCCCTACCACTCCCCACAACCCCAACCCCAATAACCACACTTCATTCAACCACATTGGCCTTTTGACTCTTCCCTCCCCCTCCCCTTTTTTTGGAGGCAGGGTCTTACTCTGTCACCCAGACTGGAATGCAGTGGCATGATAAAAGCTCCTCGCAGCCTCGACCTCTGGGGCTCAAGCGATCCTCCCACCTCAGCCTCCTAAGTAGCTGGGACTACAGGCAAGCACTAACATGCTCAGTTAATTTTTTAGTGTTTTGGTGTTTTTTTGTTTTTTTTTTTTTGAGACAGAGTCTTACTCTGTCTCCCAGGCTGGAATGCAGTGGCACGATCTCCGCTCACTGCAAGCTCCACCTCCCAGGTTCACGCCATTCTCCTGCTTCAGCCTCCCAAGTAGCTGAGACTGCAGGTGCCCGCCACCACACCCGGCTAATTTTTTGTATTTTTAGTAGAGATGGGGTTTCACTGTGTTAGCCAGGATGGTCTCAATCTCCTGACCTCATGATCTGCCCACCTCGGCCTCCCAAAGTGCTGGGATTACAGGCATGAGCCACCGCGCCCAGCCAGTTTATTTTATAGAGACAGGGTCTCACTATGTTGGCCAGGCTGGCCTCAAACTCCTGAGCTCCAGTGATCCTCCCACCTCAGCCTCCCAAAGTGCTGGGATTACAAGTGTGAGCCACTGTGCCTGCCTAAATTTCTCTTGATCAAACCTCAGGGCCTCAGCACTTGCTGTTCACCCTACCAAGAAAGTTTTTCCCCTAGAACTTCCTATGGCTAACTCTTTCTTGTCAATCAAATGTCAAGTCAAATGTCACCTCTTCACGGAGGCCTTTTCTGACCACCCAATGTTAAGTCACCCTTGCTCTCTGCCTCCCCATCACTCTCCATCTCACTACCCTGCTTTATTGTCTTCCCAGCACTTACTGCATTCTAAAGCTGGGTTTTACCATGTTGGCCAGGCACAGTGGCTCACACCTATAATCCCAGCACTTTGGGAGGCTGAGGTGGTCGGATCACCTGAGGTCAGGAGTTCCAGACCAGCCTGGCCAACATGGTGAAACCTTGTCTCTACTAAAAATACAAAAATTAGCCGGGTGTGGTGGCGTGCGCCTGTAATCCCAGCTATTCAGGAGGCTGAGGCAGGAGAATCACTTGAACCTAGGAAGCGGAGGCTGCAGTGAGCTCAGATCATGCCACTGCATTCCAGCCTGGGCGACAGAGGGAGACTCCATCTCAAAAAAGAAAAAAAAAAAAGAAGGTCCTTGAATAATACATTGTTTCATTCAACATCAGTGGTTTCACCATAACTCAATCGCCAGCCGGGGCCACTATCTGGAATTCGCACACTCTCCCCCCATCTGCATGGGTTACCTCATTAGGTTTCCTCCGACATTGTAAAGCTGTGCCTGTTCGGGGAACCGGGCGTCTACATGGTCCCAGTGTGAGTGAGTGTGTCTGTGAGTGTGCCTTGTGATGGAGAGTGTCTTGCCGGGATGGGGTCGCATCACGCACCCTGGGCTGCCAGGACAGGCTCAGGCCACCCGAGACCGTGAACTGGAATAAACAGGAAAATAACAATCTTACATGTTTTTCTTAATCTTTCTTAAAAGTATGTATAGCTCACATTCATTTCAATGTTCAATAGGAGAAGTGTGTTGGTCTTTATTTAGAAGTTTGGTGATGTTTTTCTGACCAGAAATATGCCGTAAGAATTTAACTCTTGTTAATATCAATAAACCTATGGTAAAACTGGTTTTGTTATGTGTTGTTTCGCTTAAAGTCACAGTTTCCAATAACCTGTTAATGACGTTAGGTGAGGACTTACTGTGCCTGAGATGGGCACTGGTGTGACAGACACCATTAGGAGCACCTAACAGGGAGGGCGAGCTCACCCCCTGAGTTTGAACCCTGACTCCATCACTATTAGCGGGGGCCCTGGACCCACCTCTGGGATATATAACCTGAGGTTTCCTTCTGTAAGCCCGGGGTTTCTTCCTCTGTAAAACAGGGAGAAGAATCAGGCCTCCTTCACCAGGTCATCACAAGGATAAGTGAGATAGTACCTGTTAAGCCTGTAGTACAGCACCAGGCCTATAGGACCAGCAACCCCGGTTGCAGAGTTGGGGAGAGGAGGGCGGGGCAGATATTTGCTGGCAGCATCACTCACAAAGCCTGAGAGATGACCCAGATGAGCGAAGGCTTCCCCGTCTGCACTTCGTCCAGGGAGGTTCAGCAGTGCGAGGGGAGACTCCAGGCCAGCACTCTGCTTTAATCTATCAAGCTTGTCACTGCTGCGGAAGCCAGACAGAACCACTTATCAAGAGTCATTCTGGGGCCCCACAAATAATTCCCCAACCCCTGCCACGAGCTTAGGGAAGACACAGGTGAGGCAGACAAGGTCTGTGCCCTCTGGGAATCTTATCTCAAAGCTGAGACAAGATAAAAACAAAGATAATAGGAGACTCACTGTCGCAAGGGGATATGTTGGTCTGTTTACAGAGGGCCAGCTCTGCTCCTGTTCTCCACGGGAAATGTTAGCCACATGCAGGAAAATAGAGTTGGTGGAGTGGGGGAGACACTGCTCTCCCTGGCAAGACACATCCCGTTTTCTTGGAGGTTTTGATGTTGTTTTGTTTGTTTGTTTGTTTGTTTGAGACAGAGTCTCACTCTGTCACCCAGGCTAGAGTGCAGTGGCAAGATCAGAGCTCATTGCAACCTCCACCTCCTGGGCTCAAGCGATCCTCCCACCTCCGTCTCCCGAGTAGCTGGGACTACAGACATGCACCAACACATCCAGCTAATTTTTGTATTTTTTGTGGGAATGGGGTCTCACTGTTGCCCAGGCTGTTCTCAAACTCCTGGGCTCAAGCACTTTGGCTTCCCAAAGTGCTAGGATTACAGGTGTGAGCCACTGTGCCTGGTCTCTGGTTTAGTTTTGTTTTTATAATGTAACTTTTTTGTTGTTGTTGTTGTTGTAGAGACAGCATCTCACCTTATTGCCCAGACTGGTCTTGAACTGATGTCAAACAATCCCCCAACCTCGGCATCCTAAAGCACTGGTATTACAGGCATGAGCCACCACATCCAGCTCACATCCATTTTAAATGATGGCTCCTGTGTGACCTCAACTCTCTAAACTTCATTGCGTCATCTATAAAATGGGATAATATTGGGATGGATTCACAGTGTTGCTGGGAAGATTTAAGAATTCAGTGCAGTAAAAAGTGTTTGGCTCAGGGTATGGTGAACAGAAAATGCATGGTAAATGCAAGCAGGTGTTGTTTTGTTGGTGTTAGGTTTACCAAGTTGGAAGCACTTCAGAGAAACATGCCACATGAATTTATGTCCCAAACAACCCCTAAGTGGTGCTTGTGTACCAGGCACGATCATTAAATTGCCTTAAAAACTCTATGAAGGACTGAGCATGGTGGCTTATGCCTGTAATCTCAGCACAGGTGGGAGGATAGCTTGAACTCAGGAGTTTGAAACCAGCCTGGGCAACATAGTGAGATCCCATCTCTACTAAAAAAAAAATTAGCTGGGTGTGGTGGCATGAGCCTGTAGTCCCAGCCACTTGGGAGGCTGAGGTGGGAGGATCACCTAAGCCCAGGAGGTCAAGGCTGCAGTGAGCTGTGGTTGTGCCACTGTACTCCAGCCTGGGTGACAGAATGAGATCTTGTCTCAAAAACAAAACAAAACAAAACAAAAACAGCTGTATGAGGAAGGTACTTTTGTTATCTTTCATATCATTTTTTTACACATAACATAAAATTTATTCTCGCAACCATTTTTAAGTGCACAGTTCAGTAGTATTAAGTATATTGACACTGTTGTGCAACAGATCTCTAGGAATTTTTGTCTTGCAAAACTGAAACTCTGTATTTTTTGAATACCATTTCCCCATTTCCTTCTTCCCCACCCCTCACTGCCAGTCCCTGGAAACCACCATTCTACTTTGTTTCTAGGAAGGGACTATTTTAGCCCTGTTTCACAAATCAAGAAACCGAATCCAGCTACATAATTTGAGGGACTCAGAGTAAAATAAAAACATGTTTAAAAAAATTTTTTTTTTCTGAGACGGAGTCTCATTCTGTCACCCAGACTGGAGTGCAGTGGGTGCAATCTCAGCTCACTGCAACCTCCGCCTCCCAGGTTCATGCAATTCTCCTGCCTCAGCCTCCCAAGTAGCTGGGATTACAGGCGCACACCACCACGCCCGGCTAATTTTTGTATTTTTAATAGAGATGGGGGTTTCACCATGTTGGTCAGGCTGGTCTTGAACTCCGGACCTCAAGTAATCCGCCAGCCTTGGCCTCCCAAAGCGCTGGGATTACAGGCGTGAGCCACTGTACCTGGCCCCCAGTGTTTAAACTGCTCTAAAGAAGGTCAAGACAGTGACAGTAGAACATTAACTGAAGCACAGAGCCCTTCTGAATAGTCACACAGGGCCGGTGAAGCTGACCGTGGAGAAAACCACGGGCCAGAGAAGTTGTATAACTTTCCCAAGGTCACACAGCAAGTGTTGGAGCCAGGATTCAAGCCCAGCCTCTAAAATGACATGACTCCCTTTACTTTTTGAAAACTCCCTGCAGGCAGGGGCTTTGATCTTATCACCACCGATTGCCTGGCTCCCTCTCAGGGCTTGTCACACATTGGCACTCATGACGTATTTCATATTTGGAGGAATGAATGAGTAGGTCACATTCACCCAAGAGCCAAGCAGCTTCTTGGAGGTTCTTTTGTTTTGCCTTGGCTCTGGCACAAGTAACACTCCCATTTCTGCCCCTCCTTCATGTTTACTTGAAGCCTTGAATTCCTAGAAAAAGCAAAACTGGCATGCCTGTCTACATGTAATGGCCACACGCCGGACACTTTTATGAGGCTCCACCTTTCCAGAGCATTCCTAGCCTCTGAGTCCCACTGTGATGGGGTGGAATGAAGCTAGAGGACATGAGATAATGGAAGGTCACTGATGGCATACCTCACTCCAGGCCCCCACATCACCTGAAGTCTGATGGCCAAGTCCCTGGTCTGATCCTAATGCAAGGAAACTAGAACCAACTTATTAAAGCAGAAGGAAAAAATGGGTTTTATTTGTGGTTATGGCATTAAGTGAAAAAACAGCTAATGCTGCTGGGCACAGTGGCTCAGGCCTGGAATCCCAGCACTTTGGGAAGCAGAGGTAGGAGGATCACTTGAGCCCAGGAGTTTGAGACCAGCCTGGGCAATATAGTGAGACCCCACCCGTACAAAAAATTTAAAAATTAGCCAGGAGTGGTGGCACGTGCCTGTGGTCCCAGCTACACAGGAGGCTGAGGCAGAAGGATCGCTTGAGCCGAGGAGGTTGAGGCTGCAGAAAGCTGTGGTTGTGCCACTGCACTCCATCCTGGGCAACACAGCAAGACCCTGTCTCAAAAAACAAACACACACACACACACACACACACACACACACAAACACCACCAGCTAATGCCATAACCGTAAATAACTAGATCAGCCAAATTTAATCTGGATTAATCTAATCAGAGTAATCTAATCTTAACTAGATTTAGGGAGCTAGCCTAATTATTGTTTCTTTGAAAGGAACTACATTTTTCTGTCTGAATGTTTATAAGATGCTTTGCTGGCAGTCGGTTCGTGGAGGGGGGGAGAGAAGGAAACTCAGGAAAACATAAATGAATTAATCATAATCCTAATGTCGTAACACCTCATCATCATTGCCCTAGGCATGACTCTCTGTTAGTTTAATTATTTTTTCTTTATTTATTTATAGTAAAATAATGAACACTTGTGAACTCACTCACTCACCCAAGAACAACATCATTACCAACAACTCACATCTCTGGGAGGGGACATGGAGGGATCGGATGGTTTCCTCCTATCTCATCTTTCCATCTCAGAGGTAATCACCATCCTGAATTTTGTTTGTTTGGTGGGGGTTTGTTTGTTTGTTTGTTTTTGAGACATAGTTTCGCTCTTGTTGCCCGGGCTGGAGTGCAGTGGCACGATCTCAGCTCACCACAACCTCTGCCTCCTGGGGGGTTAAATGATTCTCCTGCCTCAGCCTCCCAAGTAGCTGGGATTGCAGGCATGTGCCACCATGCCCAGCTAATTTTGTATTTTTAGTAGAGACGGGGTTTCTCCATGTTGGTCAGGCTGGTCTTGAACTCCCGACCTCAGGTGATCTGCCCGCTTCGGCTTCCCAAACTGCTGGGATTACAGGCATGAGCCACCGCGCCCGGCCTTTTTTTTTTTTTTTTTTTTTTTGATACAGAGTCTCACTCTGCCACCCAGGCTGGAGTGCAGTGGTGCGATCTCAGCTCACTGCAGCCTCTGCCTTCCGGGTTCAAGTGATTCTCCTGCCTCATCCTCCGGAGTAGCTAGGATTACAGGCAAGCACCACCACACCCCACTGATTTTTGTATTTTCAGTAGAGACAGGGTTTCACTATTTTGGCCAGGCTGGTCTCGAACTCCTGACCTCTAGAGATTCGCCTGCCTCAGCCTCCCAAAGTGCTGGGATTACAGGTGTGAGCCACCATGCCCAGCCCCTGAATTTTGTGTTGTTTAGTCACCCTTTTAAAAGAAGTATTAAGGTCTAAGTGCCATGGCTCTTGCTTGTAATCCCAGCACTTCCAGAAGCCAAGACAGGAGGATCCCCTGAGGCCAGGAGTTCAAGACCATTCTGGGCAACGTAGTGGGACCCTGTCTCTAAAAAAAAAAAAAAAAAAAAAAAAAATTAGTTAACTGAGTGGGTCCTAGCTACTCAGGAGGCTGAGTCAGGAAGATTGTTTGAACCCAGGGCAACAGAGCGAGACTCTGTCTCTAAAAAAAAAAAAAATTAAATTAAAAAGAGGTATGCCTAGCTAAATAATGTATTGCTCAGTTTTATGCGTCTTTGAAATTCATTAAAAAGTTATGTCATCTTTGGATACTTGCTTTGTGGACCCAGATGAGCTAAAAAGATTTCACCACCATATTATTACATGTAGCTATATTTCATTTATTTCACTGCTGTATGATATCCCATTATCTGGATAGACCACAACAACAATCTTTTCTTGTTGATGGGTGTTTGGGTTGTTTCCAGCTTTTTTTTTTTTTTTTTTTTTTGAGACTAGGTATCACTCTGGCACCCAGACTAGAGTGCAGTGGGATTATCATAGTTCACTGCACCTTCAGCCTTCTGGGCTCCAGCAATCATCCCACTGCAGCCTCACAAATAACTGGGACTACAGGTGAGCACCACCACGCCTGGCTAATTTTTGCATTTTTTGTAGAGATAGGATTTCACCATGTTGCCCAAACTAATGTAGAACTCCTGAGCTCAAGTAATCCTCCTCCTGCCTTGGCATCCCAAAGTGCTGGGATTACAGTTACAGGCACGAGCTACCATGCCCAGCCTTTTTTTTTTTTTTTGAGACAGGGTCTCCCTCTGGGCACCCAGGCTGGAGTGCAGTGGTGGCCTCCCGGGCTCACGCAATCCTCCTGCATCAGCCTCCTGAGTAGCTGGGACTATAGGTATGTGTCACCATGCCAAGCTTTCCAGATTTTTGTCTTAAAAAGACAGCTTCCATGAATTCTTGTGCAAGTATAGTTAAATTTTACCTCGGGTATAGAATCAAGAATAGAATTACTGATTCATAGGGTAAAGGAATGCTCAAAGTTGCTAGAATTAAATTTTACCATGGGTATATAAGCAAGAATGAAATTACATAGAGTATAGGAGTGTTCAAATTTGCTAGAAAATGCCAAATTGTTTCCCAAAGTGATCGTTCCAATATATATCCCATCACTGGGATACATCCCCCACCAGTGATGGAATGTATATTGGAATAATCACTTTGGGAAACAATTGGTCTGGTCTCCAACTCTCACACATGGTATTGTCAAACTTTTAAATTTTTCAAATTGAATGAGTTTTGAATTAAATGAATAGTGGGAAAACAATGGATTTCTCACATCAATTTTCGGAAAATCTATTCATATGATGACTTAATTTATTACTTTACATTTCTACAAATTGAATTTTTTTTTTCTTTTAGGAGACAGGGTCTCATTTAGGCCTGGCGCAGTGACTCACGCCTGTAATCCCAGCACTTTGGGAGGCCAAGCAGGCAGAGCACTTGAGGTCAGGAGTTGGAGACCAGCCTGGCCAACACAGTGAAACCCCATGTCTACTAAAAATATAAAAATTAGCTTGGCGTGGTGGTTCATGCATGTAATCCCAGCTACTCAGGAGGCTGAGGCAGAAGAATTGCTTGAACCTGGGAAGCAGAGGTTGCAGTGAGCCAAGATCACGCCACTGCACTCCAGCCTGGGCAACAGAGGGAAATTCCATCTGAAAACAAAACAAAACAAAACAAAACAAAACAAAACAAAACAGGGTCTTGCTCTGTCTCCCAGGCTGGAGCGGAGTGGCAAGATCATAGTTCACTGCAACCTCAACCTCCTGGGCTCAAGTGATCCTCTCACCTTGGCCTCCCAAGTAGCTGGGACTGCAGGTGCACACCACCACGCCCTGCTGATTTTTTAATTTTTGGTAGAAATGGGGGTCTCCCTATGTTGCCGAGGCTGGTCTTGAACTCCTGAGCTCAAGCGATCCTCTCACCTCATCTCCCCAAAGTGCTGGGATGACAGGCTTGAGCCATCATACTTGCTGAACATTCTTTAAAAGGCTGCTGAGAAGGCAAAACAAAAAGCAGTCAACTATAATATTGTAAAAATCTTCTAAAAACTAAAATCATCCCATGTGATTAAACCATCATAAAATATAGTAAAAAAAAAAAAAACAAACTTTTGGTAAATGTTGTAAGTTCAGCTAGTCATTTATCAAACTGGAATGGCTGAAAAATATTTAGAAAAAGGGTCAATAAACTTTTTCTGTAAAGGGCTAAGTAGGAAATATTTCACATTTCATGAACTATTATTCTTCTTTGCTTTTTTTTTTTTAACCCCTTTAAATTTTTAAGAAATGCCGGGAGTGGTGGCTCAATCCCAGCACTTTGGGAGATTGAAGTTGGGAGATTGCTTGAGCCTAGCAGTTCAAGACCAACCTAGGCAATATAGCAAGACTCCTGTTGCTACAAAAAATACAAAAAAAAAAAATTAGCCAGCCATGTTGGCACACAGCTGTAGTCCCAGCTACTAGGGAGGCTAAGACAAGAGAATTGCTTGAGCCGAGTAGTTTGAATTTACAGTGAGCTATGGTTGAACCACTGCACTCTACCCTGGATGACAGAGAGAAACTCTCACAAAAAAAAGCAAAAAACAAAAAAAAACCATTAAACTCGAAAATCGGTGCTATTGGAAGAATAGTACGGGTTACTTTTGGGAGAAATGATTTTCAGTGAATTATTATACTTTATTATTATTATTATTATTTGGGACAGAGTCTCGCTCTGTGGCCCAGGCTGGAGTGCAGTGGCGTGATCTTGGCTCACTGCAACCTCTGCCTCCAGGGTTCAAGCAATTCTCATTCTTCAGACTCCCAAGTAGCTGGAATTACAGGTGTGCACGAGCATGCCTGGCTAATTTTTGTATTTTTAGTAGAAACAGGTTTTGTCATGTTGCCCAGGCTGGACTTGAACTCCTGGCCTCAAGTGATCCACCTGCCTCAGCCTCCCAAAGTGCTGGGATTGCAGGCATGAGCCACCATACCCAGCTGAATTATTATACTTTTAATCCAAAAAACACAGTTGACTATTTGGAGAAAAAAAAATGTTAATCCATGAGAAAACAGAAGACTTATGAAATGACAGGTGCTGAGACATTTGGATATCCATATGTGGAAAGTAAAATGAAACAGAACCCGCAGTTCATGCCATAAACAAAACTGAACTCAGCTAGACAAAAGAATTAAATATGAATGGTAAACTTAAAAGCTTTTAGAATAGACTAAATGCACTGCCTATAAAGGAACATCTTTCAAATTTGACATTATACTTAAACATTTCTATTCATCAAAGTATATCTAAACTAACAACTAAAAAATTAAAAAGGAATGATGGACTTAGAAAAATCACTATTTTGCAACTGCCGTAGTAATCATTGTTCAGGTAGGACTCTTCAATGAATGCTAGACTAATGAGTGAAAAGTTGATGAGGAACAAGGTCTTCAAATAGTCTCAAAGTATCTCCCCACAAATTACTTATTAATTACAAAGGGGTAATATCTGTAGAGTGGATAAAACCAGCAAAACAACCTTATTTAAAAATCAAAAATAGGTTGGGTGTGGTGGCTCATGCCTCATGCAAATGTAATGATCTAATTGCAATTCGTGGTCCAGAATTGGATCAAAGGCCAGAAAAAAAAGAGATAAATTACATTAGTGGGTGGCAAAATTCAAATCTGAACTGTGGATTGGATAATAGTTCTGTATCAATGTTACATCTCTGAATTTTGGTAAATGTAATGTAGTAAATAAATAAGTAATGTAATAAATAAATGTAATGTGTGAGAGAAAATGTCTTTGTTCTCAAAATCCCAAGCTTTGAGAGGCCTAGGCAGGAGGATTGCATGAGTCTAAGAGTTTGAGGTTACAGTGAACTACAATTGTACCAGCCTGGGCAACAAAAGGAGACTCTGTCTCTGAAAAGAAAAAAATAAATAAAAATAACATCATCAATAATAAGTAGCCATCACGGACTCCCTGCTGCAATGATTCCCTGAGTAGGACACATCAATTCTGTGGTTTTTCTGCCAGGTATTCAAACCCTAAATCCAACTATGAGGAAACATTAAACCAAATCAAGAGACATAAATATACATGAATTATCCCGTACTCTTCAAAAATATCAAAAGACTACCGAGTGCAGTGGCTCATGCCTGTAATCCCAACACTGTGGGAGGCTGAAAAGGGAGGATTGCTTGAAGCCAAGGGTTCAAGACCAGTCTGGGCAACACAGCGAGACTCTTTGTCTCTACAAAGAAATTAAAAATTAGCCAGGCGTGGTGGCACATGCCTTAGTCCCAGCTACTCGGGAGGCTAAGGAAGAAGGATCACTTGAGCCAGGGAGTTTGAGGCTGCAGTGGTCATGCCACTGCACTCCAGCCTCAGTGACAGAGCAAGCCCCTGTCTCAGGAAAAAAAAAAAAAAATTCAGAAGACAGAGGCTAACAAAATGTTTCAGACTAAGGGAGATTTGAGAGACATGGCAATTAATTGCAATGTGTGATCCAGGAATGGCTCAAAGACCAGGAAAAAAAAAAGAGATAAATTACATTAGTGGGTGGCAAAATTCGAATCGGAACTGTGGATTGGGTAATAGTTCTGTATCAATGTTACACCTCTGGATTTTGATAAGTGTAATGTGTAAGATAAATGCCTTTGTTCTCAAGAAATATACATGGATTTTTTTAGGGATAAAGAGGCGTCGTGTCTGCAAAATCCTTTCAGAGAGATCCAGATATACCTATATGAAGAAGAGCAGGGGACAAATGGTTAACTAAAAAAAAAAATGGGGCCAGGCACGGTGGCTCACGCCTATAATCCCAACACTTTGGGAGGCCAAGGGGTGGGGGGAGGGCAGATCACTTGAGGTTAGGAGTTTGAGACCAGCCTGGTCAACATGGCAAAATCTCTTTTCTACTAAAAATACAAAAAATTAGCTGGACATGGTGGCTCATACCTGTAGTCCCAGCTGCTTGGAAGGCTGAGACATGAGAAATCGCTTGAACCTGGGAGTCGGAGGTTGCAGTGAACCGAGATGGCGCCTTTGCACTCCAGCCTAGGTGACAGAGTGAGTCTCCGTCTCAAAAACAAACAAAAAAAGGACTGGGACAAGACGGGGCACGGTGGCTCATGGCTGTAAACCCAGCACTTTTGGAGGCTGATGGGGGAGGATCACTTGAGCCCAGGAGTTTGAAACCAGCCTGGGCTGCATAGTGAGATCCCATCTCTACAAAAAAAAAAAAAAAAAAAAAAAAAAAAATTACCTGGGTGTGGTGGCTGGAGCCTGTAGTCCCAGCTACTCGAGAGGCTGAAGTGGGAGGATTGCTTGAGCCCAGGAGGTCAAGACTGCACTGAGCTATGATAGTGCCATTGCACTCCAGCTGGGGTGACAGAGCAAGATTTTGCCTCTAAAAAAAAAAAAAAAGGAAAAAAAAACCAAAATGGGAAAAAAAGGTAAACAATTGCTGAATCTGAGTAAAGGGTACATAGAGGTTTCTTATGTTCTTGCTGCTTATCCATAAGTGTGAACTACTCCAATCTGAAAAGGCTGTATGACTTCATCTATGATTCCAACTATATGACATTCTAGAAAAGGCAAAACTATGGAGACAGTAAAGAAATCAATGATTGCTTGGGGTCTGGGGTGGAAGGGAGGGTTGGGGAAACAGTAGCATAGGAGAGCCAGGGTAACACCTTATTTATTTATTTATTTATTTATTGAGACAGAGTTTCACCCTTGTCACCCAGGCTGGAGTGCAATGGCACGATCCCAGCTCACTGCAACTTCTGCCTCCCAGATTCAAGTGATTCTCCTGCTTCAGCCTCCTGAGTAGCTGGGATTACAGGTCCATACCACCATGCCCAGCTAATTTTTGTATTTTTCGTAGAGATGGGGTTTCACCATGTTGGCCAGGCTGGTCTTAACTCCTGACCTCAGGTGATCCACCTGCCTCGGCCTCCCAAAGTGCTGCGATTACAGGCGTGAGCCACTGTGCCCGGCCAGTGTCACCATTTTAAAACAGACTCCATCTTAAAACTAGCAAGGCACATTCCCTGCTGGTCACGGCTCATGGTCATAAGATGTTTACAACTGAAGAAACAGCTTAGTAATGCCTGCAAGGACAAACTCCTCCAACAACAAAATGTCCAGATGTCCCGATCTCTCATAACAATATATGATTTTACAACCATTATAGTCATGCTTTTTGATATACTTACGCACTAAAATGCCAAGGATAATTTTCTTTAAATCAACAAGGTAATAAATTTGTTATGCTGCCAGCCTACTAGCACATAGACACAGCTTAGCTTTTACATAGATAAGACCCTATATTAGAAGAGTTTAAAATAAAGACAGTGCATTCGTCCTGTTGCTTTCTGAGGATGCCCTACTCTGCAATGAAGTAGCTTTCAATACACTATCTCTTCTCACTGTACTCTGAGACTCATCCTTAATTCTTTCCTGTGCCAGATCCAAGAACCTTATCTTGAGGTCTGGATGGGGATCCCTTTGTCAGCAACAGGAAGGAGGGATGACTAAGAAGGACACAGGGGAATTTTTATATGTCACTATACATTTGCCAAAATCCACAGAATGCACAACACAAAAGGTAACCCCTAATATGAACTGTGGACTTTAGTTAATAATGTATCAATACTGACTCATCAATCCTAACAAATATATGACATCAATGCAAAATGTTAACAATAGTGGAAACTGTATGAGGGGAGAGGGGCATATGGGAACCCTATACTTTCCACTCAATTTTTCTGTGAACCTGAAACTGCTCTAAAAAAGAGTATATTATGTACCGACAAAAAATAAACATTAAAAAAAATTAAAATAAGGCTGGGCACGGTGACTCACGCCTGTAATCCCAGCACTTTGGGAGGCCGAGGCAGGTGGATCACTTGAGGTCAGGAGTTTGAGACCAGCCTGGCCAAAGTGGTGAAACCCCGTCTCTACCAAAAATACAAAAATTAGTCCGGCGTGGTGCTGAACTGTAATCCCAGTGACTCGAGAGGCTGAGGCAAGAGAATCGCTTGAACCCGGGAGGTGGAGGTTGCAGTGAGCCGAGATTGTCTCACTGTACTCCAGCCTGGACAACAGAGCGAGATATATATTTTGTCCCTTTTCTATTTATTTATTTATTTATTTATTTTTTGATACAGGGTCTCACTCTGTCACCCAGGCTGGAGTGCAGTGGCACAATCACAGCTCATTGTAGCCTCAACCTCCCAGGCTCAAGCAATCCTCCCACCTCAGTCTTCTGAGTAGCTGGTACCATAGGCATGCGACACCATGCCTGATTAAGTTATTAATTTTTTGTAGAGATGGGTTTTCGCCATATTGCCCAGGCTGGTCTCAAACTCCTGGGCTCAAGTGATACTCCCACCTTGGCCTCCCAAAGTGCTAAGATTACAGGTGTGAGCCACCACTCATGGACTCTTTATTAACAATATACTTCACAATGAAAAAGGGAATACAGTGATCTTCATTCTATATTATACCCTATATACCAAAAAAAATCAGATTGATTATGGAGTTTAAAATCATGAAGCTATATATAAACTGGAAGGAAATATAGCAAAAAAATATCTAAGGTGAGTGCTGAGTGGGCTACAAGCCATTTCTCAAAGCAAAAGCAAAAACCATAAAGGGAGAAAGGTCAATGGACTTTTGTTTGTTTGTTTGGAGACAGGTTCTCCCTTTGTTGCTTAGGCTGGAGTGCAGTGGCACGATCATAGCTCACTGCTGCCTCAAACTCCCCGGCTCAAGCTATCCTCCCACCTCAGCCTCCCAAAGTACTGGTATTACAGACATGAGCCACAGCACCCTGCCGGTCGATGGGCTGTATTACATAAACTGCAAAAAAATAAAAAATACCCCAACAACTGTAGGCTGAAATATTAAATAAAATAGAAAGGCAACATAAAAGCAATCAACTCTCTGGAGAAAATACAGTGTGATGTAAGGGATGTATCTACCTTCTGTGAATTGGACTGACAACACAGAGGCTTAGAACTATTTTTTTTTTTTTTTTTTTTTGAGGTACAGTCTCGTTCTGTCACCCAGGCTGGAGTGCAGTGGCAAGATCTCGGCTCACCACAACCTCCGCCTCCTGGGTTCAAGTGATTCTCCTGCCTCAGCCTCCCCAGTAGCTGGGATTACAGGTGTGCGCCAGTGCGCCAGGCTGATTTTTGTATTTTTAGTAGAGACAGAGTTTCACCACGTTGACGAGGCTGGTCTTGAAATCCTAACCTCAGGTGATCCACCCACCTGGGCCTCCCAAAGTAATGGGATTACAGGCGTGAGCCACCATGCCTGGCCTTGTTAGTGCATTTTTAAGATTACATTCAATATACAAGCATAGAACAGCTTCCGTGGGACCAGGCACAAGCTCAGTCCTGTAACCCCAGCACTTTGGGAGGCCAAGGCGGGAGGACTGCTTGAGGCCGTGAGTTTGAGACCAGGGTGGGTAGCATAGTGAGGCTCTGACACTACTGAAAAAACTAAAAATTAGCTGAGCATGTTGGCACAAGCCTATAGTCCCAGCTACTCAGGAGCCTGAAGCAGGAGGATTACTTGATCCCAGGAGTTCAAAGTTACAGTGAACTGTGATTGCACCACTGCACTCCAGCCTGGGTGACAGAGCAAGACCCGGACTCCAAAATAATACTACTAATAATTAAACAAACAAAAAGAGAACAGCCTCCATGAAATAGATCTCATTCCGACTTCCTGAGCTTGAGTAGTTCACTACAGACAGCAGGCAGGCAGAGCTCCTTGGATCTCCCAATTCCGCTTGCTGGAACTGAATTTTGACATAAGAAAATAAGTTAAGGGGTTTACTAACTGTCTATGGTCAATGGTATGAGGCTATACTGGGTTTGAGAATGACAAAGGTTTGAAATCCTGGGACATGGGAGCTCCAGAATTGTTACATTATGAGAAGCTTAGACAGGAATGCTTCATTCACTGTAGGATAGTACAAAAGGCTTTTTCAGGGCTTACAAAAATATTGGTAGGGAGAGAAGCGTCAGGGAGACCAGCTCCATATTACCCAAAGAAAACGGCAAAATTTACAATTCAGCTCACTGAAGAAAAAAGAAAATAAAAAGTTTTTTTTTTAAAAAAAGAAAACTGCAAAATGAAGATTAGTAAAGGAATTCAGTGAAATGGACCAAATGTAGCATTGTGTCAATTAGTCAGGCAACTCAAGTCATAGGCTTATTGCAGGTGGTGAATGCATTTTGACCTGTTTGATGTGATATGAAGTGAGGCCTCTGTAAGTGAGAATATCAAGGTTGAACAAAGTTTTTGGCAGATGAGAACGGTTGGACCAATAGACAACATTCTTTCCAAGGACATCCCCCCCTGCAGATTAGGTTATGATCCACTCTGTCATATCCTGAGGGTGTGGCCCACTTTGAGATCCCATGATGCACCACGCTGATTAAATTAGGCATTCAGTATATAAAGGGGTCGGCCACAGACGGGCAAAAGGAACAGATTCACCGCTTCGGAGTGAATTCCATGACGGCTTGCAATTTTCTCGTCGAGTTTTTCTTTCACTAGAGATAGCCCTCGCCCTTTCATTCACACAGAGGCTTTTAAGAAAAAAGCAACCAACCTGAAGAGGACCTGGCAGCAATAAGTTTTTGGTGAAATAACAAAGAGGTAAAAGTGGAAGAAACTTGTTATATATGAAAAGTACTGATGTGTGTGGTTGAGTTAAATTGTAATGGTATCTCTAGAGCTGCCCTTGACTACGGCCAAAATTTTATTGCCACGACATCTCTATGGATCACGTAAAAATGTATCCAGTTATTCAGCACGTATTTATTGAGCACCTACTATGTTCTAAGAGCTGAGGATACAGCAAAAACAAATATAAAGATAAGATTCCTATTGTCAGCCGAAGGTAGGGGTTGGGGGAGATAGATAATTAAAAAGTAAATGTGTAACTGTCAACTATCTGCAAGTGCTAGGAAGAAAAGACTAAAGGGATAGAGAAAGATCGCCATCTTATTTTAAAAAGATGGCCTTAGGAAGGCTTTTCTGGCAGGATGGTGATTAATTTTAAATCAAGTTCAGTAAGAATTTGGAGTGTGCTTGCAGGAAGTCCCTGGGAAACTCTGCTACTTCTCGGCTATAGGATCTTATTCTCAGTTGCCTAAATTCACTGAGCCTAGCCTGTAAAATTCAGAGAGGATGAGGAACATGGATTGTAAACGATAATAACTATCGTTTATGAATGTAATTTTATTATATTATGATTTTTTCTGAATGTAATAACGTCCCCATGCCCAAAGGAAAAAAAAAATTCCAATCTACTGAGGGGGTTCTTGTCACTGTTCCTGGCATTTGCGCTTAGGAATGGAATCGGGACCCTGCCACTGAGCAGGCATCCCCTTCTGCAAATTCAGAAAGTACATGATTGCTAGCTTCAGTTCCATCATCTATAAATCGGAAATAATGTCATGTTGACCACGTAGGGTTTTTGTTGTTAAATTGACATTTATTGAGCTACAGCTATTAATATTTCGGTGCATTGAGCCACGTCAATGCACCGGCATGGTCTTAGACTATGGATTTATGTGCATTTATTTAATCCAAGTAAACCAAGTACTATTTTTAATGGCATTTTACAGCCAAGGAGACCCAGGCACAGAGGGGTTAAATCTAGAGCCCCCACAGCCAGGGATCCAACCCAGACAACGTGGCTGCTGAGCCTGGCAATGTTGTTATGCGATCAGCCCTGTGCCTAGCACATAGTAAGAGCTCAATAAATCTGTATGGTGCTGGTGGCTGTTATCAGTTCTTGGCAGCGGCTGCTCCACGATTTCCACTTGTCAAGAGTATAGGGTAGCCAGTTTATTGGAAGCAGCAGCTAGGGAGCGCTTGCATAGCAACCATAGTTTTCTGCGTAGCAACCATAATGCTCACTTAAATTGGGAGGCTTAGAGGAGCTGACGGGGCCTGTGGGGAAGGGGGAGTTAGCCGGCCACCCCTAGGCAAGCCACTTTGCAGTGGAAACTGCACGCAGCCCCTGCAAGGCGAGCTCTCCCCACCGAGCCTCCCTGTGAGCCGGTCCTCCTGACGCGCAACCCCCCTCCCTTTTGAAGCAGATGGTTCTTCCCGTTGTCCCTGCTCTTTCAGTTTCCGCGCTTTGGAGTCACAAAGCGCGGGGTCACGTGGGCGGGCCGTGCGCTTTGTGACGTCAGCCGCCCCGCCTCTCGGCCCGCCTATCCGCGCACGCCAGCCCCGCCTCGCGCGCGCCGCCCGTGCAATCCCTGCTTAAGAGACCCCGCAGTGGGGCGCTCGTCCGAAGCCAGGCCGCGTCCGCCATAGTACCTGGCTTGGAGGTGTCGCCGCCGCTCGGTGAGAGCCCCCGAGCGGCAGGGGGCCAACACAAAAAGGGAGCCGGAGAAGCCCTAGCCGCTGCCCAGCAGCTTGCGGGCGTGTTCTCGCGGTTCCGGGCCTCAAGGCGACGGAAACGAAAGGCGAGCGAAGCGCGGAGGATCCGGCGAGAAGAAGCGTCAGGGAGCCTCGGCGGTGTCCCCGGGGTCCGCCGAAGCCACCCGGCCGCCGGCTGGGGCCCGGGGTGGTGAGGAAGTGCTCCGAGGCCTCGCCGAGGCCTAGCGCCGGCTTTGTGTCCGAGGCGGCGGCGGCGGCGGGGGGAGGCGGAGCCGGGGGCGGCCTGCGGGAAGGCCTCTCCTCCGCCGACCGCGCGTTTTCGGCCTAGGCCGTGGGGCCGCTCGTGGCCTCCGGGGAGCAGGCGCCAGGGGTTTGTGTGCGGTGGGGGCCTGGGCCTGGGCCTGGGGAAGCTGACGCCGGTCGTCCGGAAGCCAGGAGGAGGCGTGAGGCCGCTCGTGGACTCCGGGCCTAGGCCCTCTCCCCTCAACCTTCTCCCGGGGCCTGGGTCACCCCAATCCACGGAGAGAGAGACCCGCCGGGAGGTGCGGCCGCGCTATGGACCCCTGACCCCGTGGGGTCGCTCGGACTCTTAACGTGTGGACTGACCGCTACTGACTGCACCGCCAATCCCCCCGTCTCTGCCGGCCCCTTAGCATGAGCGAGGGGGACCCAGCCGGGTGACATTGTGCCCGTTGGCGGATTCTCGATTTCCCCTCTTCCCCGTCCTCGTCCTCCTCCTCCCCCATGAAGTGATTCTGAGTATCGGGGGGTCTCTGGATTATTGTTCTGACGAACCCCTGCTTGTGGTTGGGGGGTATTTAATCTGAGGCCTTAGGGTCCTTCGGTGTCTTTGAGTGTTTTGTGTGTACATATTTTGCTCTTAAAGTTTATAAATATACGTATATTGAGAGTGTCCACGTCTCCTCGCTGAACCTTAGGAATCCCTTGGCACCATGTCCTGTGTGCATTATAAATTTTCCTCTAAACTCAACTATGATACCGTCACCTTTGATGGGCTCCACATCTCCCTCTGCGACTTAAAGAAGCAGATTATGGGGAGAGAGAAGCTGAAAGCTGCCGACTGCGACCTGCAGATCACCAATGCGCAGACGAAAGAAGGTAAGGGCCGCTTGGTCTTAAGATATTTGGTGGCTGGAGAGAGATACTAGCTAGAAGGTGCCTGGCAGGAAGCTAACCGCCATTATGTCTCTAGTGGGGACTGTTCGTTCTAGTACTTTGGATACAACTTTCATTGATAGCCAAGGTTTGCAGCAGTTGGCCTTGGAGTTTCACTGGTTTATTTTATTTCTGCATACTTGGGTCATCTGTAACAGGCTAACCCAAAACGTGGAAGCCTGATTATTCTTCTCGCTGTTTTTTAAAATGAGGGAGGGAGGAGAGGGGGATAGCTATCTAGACTCTTTGAGTGCTTGTCTTAGGGCGTTTTCTAACTTATTTTCCATCAGGAGGGCAGGAGAGCCTGTGCAAAGCTTGTTTGTTCAATCAGCAAAAAAAAAAACAAAAAAAAAACCAAAAAAACAATTTTCTAACCTAACAACATTGTGGAGTTTGATGGCAAATTTTATGTCCTGCCTTCCTCCCTCCTCGCATTTATTTATTTGGAGTTGCTTGCCTGTGTTGTGGATAAGGGATCTGAACTTTAATATTTTTGAGGATTTAATCAGTATTGGAATTGTTTTTGGATCTTGAAATGTTCTGATGTCACCGCTCTTGTCTTGTGTGTCAATTCCAGAATTAGTAATACGGCAATTAAGTAGTTAAACTGTTAGTTCATCACATTACTCTTAAGCTTTATCAATTCGGTGAAGATCAAAAGTACTGATTTTTTTTAAAGTAGTAGTTGCTAGATTTTACGTGACTGTTGATACTAAGGTACTGAAAAATAGGCTGCTACCATAGAGTACAAATAAGCCACTGATAAGAATCGTTAGATTCTTTCTCCTTTTCAAAAGTATTTTGATAATATTGGGAACTTAACAGTAGATAAATGTGACAAGCAGTCTTTCCTGACTCTGAACTTGTTTTGGTTTCTTTTTCTCAGATCAGTAATGCTGATGTGTATTTTTTAGCAGTTCGGTGTTCTAAAAGTTACTGATGGAATGAGAAGAAGTGAAGTTACAATTAGGTTAGGGTATTTTTTTAGTCACTAAATTTTTATCACACTTAAGGTGTGACATGGATTCTTTTAGTTGAAATGGGAGGTCCCCCACCTCCAGCCTGTAGTTTAGGTAGAGTAAATCTTGTCATGTAGAAGACCAGTTTTCCATTTACAATGCAGACCTAAGTATAATTGTATTAGGTTAAGGAACAGCAGTGCTGGCATATCATGACTCAAAAATATTAAGGAAGAATTTATTTGCTCAAATGATATTATGTGAAAATACTGTCTGCTTCCCCACCTTTTAAAAACAAGTGTCATACCCTTTGATAATTGGAGCTATGTGTAATCCTCTGCCTAAGGAGAGGAAAAACTGGTGGTGGTCATGAACAGTTGAGAAATAGCTTTATTTAAGTGCCTCACAAGCATCCCTTAACTACAACAGTCACATTTCACAGAACAGATGGGTTTATAAGAAGTTTGGGCCATCTTGACATATTGAGTATTTATGAATGAGAGGAGAGACAATATGAATGGAATTAAAGGATATTAAGGCAATTTTAATCGTCATATATTCAGGTTTCATATTTTACTGGAGTATTACACAATCGAATCATTAGGGCTAGGCGTTATCCATCTTTTCGACCCAACAATTGAATGCAGCTTTTTTTTTTTTTTTCCCCTGAAACAGAGTCTCACTCTGTCACCCAGGCTGGAGTGCAGTGGCACCATCTTAGCTCACTGCAACCTCCGCCTCCCTGGTTTGAGCGATTCTCATGCCTCAGCCTCCCAAGTAGCTGGGACTACAGGCATGCGCCACTACACCCAGCTAATTTTTTTTTGTATTTTTAGTAGAGATGGGGTTTTGTCTTGCTGGCCAGGCTGGTCTCGAACTCTTGGCCTCAAGTGATCCACCCACCTGGGTCTCCCAAAGGGCTGGGATTACAGGCATGTGAATGCAACTTTAGACTGGGTAAGTTATAGTTAAAAGAATCCTGTCCGGAAATTTAAGAGTTTTGTGACTTTGTGTAACCAATTTTTTTTTCCTAGCCCAGGAAATAAATGATACGTAATTCAAACCCAGAAAGCCAGGAATGTGTTTTTGCCCAGCACATTTTCTTTTTTATATTTATGTGAACTGCCCTTTATTGGAGAAAGCTTTGATGTTCGGTTTGTTAAGAAAAGGGAGCTTTGAGGGAGAAAATGTGTATTTTATGCAGTCCTCAAATTAAGAGAGAAAGAGATATTGATGGTAGCTACTTAACTAGTTTTATGGGAAATAGTATCCAATGTCACAAGGCAGTTGAGTAGAATGCCATTTGGTTTTAGCACCGATATTCAACATATTTACTAAAGAAAACTATGGTAATCTTTTTATCACAGTTAAGGTCCAGTTTCTTAATTTCATTCTTATAATTTTAAAATCCCTAATCTACCATGTTTCTGTAAAACATTTCCTTACAGTTTTGGAATTATGTGCATGTTTAGGTCCCTTAAATCTTTTTTTTTTTTTTTTTTGGAGACACATCCTCACAGGCTAGAGTATAATGGCACAATTTTGGCTCATTGCAGCTTCAACCTACCAGGCCCAGGTGATCCTCCCACCTCAGCCTCCCAAGTAGCTGGACTACAGCCACACACCACCATGCCTGGCTAATTTATTGTAATTTTTTTTTATTTTATTTTGGTAGAGATGGGGATTTTGCCATGTTGCCCAGGCTGGTCTCCTGAGCCCAAGTGTTCTCCTGCCTTGGCCTCCCAAGGCCATCCCAAAGTGCTGGGATTATAGGCTTGAGCCACTGTGCCTGGCATAGGACCCTTAAATCTTGATAAGACTGAAACGCTTGGGTCAGAATTCCATGGATTTTAGACAAGAATCCTGCTTGTTTCTAGACTGTATTTCAAAATGAATATCAAGTAATCTTTGTTATATATGAGAAACTTTTCTGCACACCGACCCCTAAAAAACAAAACATCCTTCGTTCTGAAATTAAAGTGTGAGAGGTTTGGAAGCTGAATATGAAGTGTTTATAAATGACCCTTGTCACCTTTCTTACTCTCCATTTCTCGGATTCATTCTGTTTTTCATTTCATCCATGCCTTTCATGTCTGGGGTCAAAAAAACTGGCAAGCAGAAAGGGTCTTTTGAAGCCAACAGACTACTTGTTAAGGAGGTATTTTAAATGAAATACCCCCAAAGTGTCTTTATTACCCCTAGAAAGATACTTTGAGGGGTAAGAAATCATTGTAATTCAGGTATTTAAAAAGTCAGTTAGAACATCTGTTTTGAAGGGCATTGAGGCACCTTTTAGTTTGACACAGTACGGTGCTAATCAAATTAATAAGCTGTCTTGGAAAGCTCTTGTGAGTGCATTGAGTTGTTACATATTCAGAAACTTCCTGTCAGGTGTTTGACACAAAGTTTTATTTCTAGAATTAACTTTTAAAAAAATCTAGTCACCCCATGCTCTCAGTTTTTCTGACTCAAAGCTTCCTCGGAATTTGGGGCTATCATGAACTGTCCAAGATAAAGATTATAGTCCTACATTGGCATGCCTAAATCTAGGAAATTGCCTACCTCTAATTGAATGCCTGTGAGATAGTGCCTTCTACTTGAAGTATATAGAAAATAACCCTTGCCTGAACAATTTCATTTCTAACAATACTATTAGCATTATGACTAAAAATAATTAATATACATTAAAAGCCGAATATGCCTACATATGTGGTAAGCGTAATAATCGGAAGAACAGAGATAGTCACTTTGTGCAGAGTAACTTTAAGTGAAGCAAGTAAACTTAATGACAATAAAAAGGCCTGGTTGTGTGATTAAAGGAGATGGATACATTTTTGCATCTCTAGGTAATTTTTCTTTTTGGTAATTTTACAGATTCTTTCTGTAGCAAATCTTTTTACCATAGTTAAGGTCCATTTTCTTAATTTCATTCTTATACAAGTATTGCAAATAGCCCAAGGAGTGTAAAAATAGGATCCATTCTTCTCCCTCTTGGTTTTCCCAGAAGGTGACATCACTGTTTATCCGATGACTGAAGCCAGGAACCCAGGGATTCCTCTGGCCTGATTCCTCTTTCTTCTTCATTTCCTTCATCTCCCCCATATTCGGTCCATCAGCAAGCTTTGTCAATCCTACCTGCAAACATTCTGTCTTTATTTCTCACATCATAACACAGGTCGTCATTATCTCTACCTGGATTTTTTAGCAGCCTGGTTATTAGTCCCCTGGTTTCTACTCTTGTTCTCCTACAGTTTGTGCTCCACATTGGTGCCACAGTAGTCTTTTTTTGAGACAGAGTCTTGCTCTGTCACCAGGCTGGAGTGCAGTGGCGCGATCTCGGCTCACTGCAGCCTCCCAGGTTCATGCCATTCTCCTGCCTCAGCCTCCTGAGTAGCTGGGACTACAGGCGCCCACCACCAAACCTTCCTAATTTTTTTGTATTTTTAGTAGAGATGGGGTTTCACCGTGTTAGCCAGGATGGTCTTAATCTCCTGACCTCGTGATCCGCCCCCCTCAGCCTCCCAAAATGCTGGTATTACAGGCGTGAACCACCGCGCCTGGCCAGTAGTCTTTTTTTCTTTAACAAAAAGCAAATAATCACTTTGCTTAAAATCCTTCAGTGTCTTCCTGTTGCACTTCAAAACAAAATATAAATCAGTGTATGGTCTATACCTTTCTGTCATTCTTTTCTTTTATTTTCTTAGGCTCTTCAAGCCGTTTCGTATCATTTTTCTACATGCTTTTTTTATCCTTTGCCTGAAATAGTCCTCAACCAGTTTTTTTCCTGTATCTGGCTGGGTTCTCAGTCTTTAAGTATCCAGTAGAAGTTCCTCCAAGGGGCTTTCTTGGAATCAACATTCTATCTGAAGTTGTATTCCACTATTCATTCCTTATTAGAAAACCATTTTCTCTTTATTCATAACGTCATAATTTAATTTTTAGTCTATCTTCCTCAGTAATAATTTCTGTGAATGCAGGGATTGTAATACTCAACTAACGTTTAGGGACTAGGAGAGACAGAATATCTTCATTCCGAATAACGGCTTTTTCACCATTCACATGTTCAGCATTTCAGACTAAACTAAAGAATGACGGTGTTACTGAGATTTGGAGTTCCACAAAAGTAGAAGTGCTAGAGCCAAGAACCTGCTGATGATATTGGTTGTCCTTTGAAAAGAAGCCCTCTTAGGGCTTTGGATGTTTGTTCTGACAATATCAGTAATCTAGTTGCAAGGAACTTGTAGTTATTATATTTAAAGTCATTTCCCATGAAATTTATATTTGAAGTTTTCTAATTCTTGGTTACGCACTCAAATCCCCAAATGGAAATTCAATTCTGTCTTTTTATTTACAGAATATACTGATGATAATGCTCTGATTCCTAAGAATTCTTCTGTAATTGTTAGAAGAATTCCTATTGGAGGTGTTAAATCTACAAGCAAGACATATGTTATGTAAGTATCAAATCTCATGTATTTCTCAAAATAGACTTTTTTTAGTTTTTTTAATTTTGTGAGAAAAAACTGTATTTTAGAACTGAACTCATTACTTTAACCTTAATGAATACATCTTCTCAAGACTGTGAGGATAGTAGGTTTCTTTGTTCGTTTGTTTTTGATTTCCTCCCCCAGTTAAATTGACTTAGCCTGTTGTGAGAGGGCCATTATTAGGAAAAATTTTTCTCCATATGGCCAGTATTTACAGATACAAGAAAGTGATATTCACATTATTTCTGTGCCTTTCTTTGACTACTTTTTTTTGTGGGGGTTCCTTCAGTTTTCTTCACTACAAAAATTTGGTGTTGTAGACATCGGTCCTAAATATTTTGACAGCATCAAGAGTATTCAGTAATGCTAACATTTACTCTTTATCAATAAGGGGCTTTGGCTGAGAGGCATAAAGTATATAGGATTTATAATCATGGGCACTGAAATCAGGCTTAGATTTGACTCCATTTACTGCTTCATACCAGTTGTGTGACTTTGGACCTTGGGTAAGTCTCTGTGCCTCAGATTCCTCAAAAATAAAATAGGGACGTGAGTACTTAACTCTAGAGGGTTGTAAGAATTAAATAGTGTCTGGCACATGCTAAATGCACATTATTGGAGTAGGAAGAGAGCAGTCTCACAACTAGTCCGGAGCTGGTATTCACTAACCTGGGGCAGGATTAAAACCTTATATCCTTAACTTTCTCTGCTTTCTTGCAATTTCAGTAGTGATAGCAGAACTATAATATGTGAAAAGGGCAGCAACATAGGTTATTTAAAGAGTAGTGATTTTCACT